>NC_000010.11:104234004-104537034 GCF_000001405.40 Homo sapiens | reverse complement strand
CTCAGTCAATCTTCATAACAATTCTACAAAAGACACATTTCCCAGCCTCATTTATCAGAAAAGGAAACTGAGGCATGGAGACAGGAACAGGCCTTACCAAAGGTAACCCAGGGCTTGCCCAAGGTAACTCACTCCAGTGGTGGAGTAGGGTCTGCCATTTTTTTTACTACCGTATACCTCAATGAGGACAAAATGTTAGGGTTGGGACAATACGGGGAGACATGCTCCTTGGAGACTCTCCAGACACAGTACTCAGAACCTAATCCTCCAGCCGCGCTGATCCCACATCTGATTCCTACAGCTGGACTGACCCCACATCTGTCAGCCTTCTAGAGCCCAGCTCCTTCTAGAGCCCTCTCCAGACCCCCTCCTGCCCACCACCAATTCTCTCTTCTCTCCCTGGTTCTGGATCCTCCCTCCCTCCCTCTCTCCTCTCCTCCTTCACTTTGGGAAGTAATTAGCAAGGCGGGATTATTCTGCCCTTGCAGTCACAGCCCCCAAAACGAGGCGCCTGTTTTGGGCCATCCCTGGGAAGTTTTTAAGAAGCAATCTAACATAAATAGAATGTACTTCCCCCACCTCAGATTTCAGCAATGGAGTCATTTCTCCAGGAAATAATGGTAATGAAAAATGGCCTCCAATTATTCAAAGATTGTTTCTATGAATAATTCAGGAGCAGCAGAGCTGAAGCTCCATACCTGCTTGTCACAGCACCCCACACCCCTCCATCTCACTCTCTCCTTTGCTCCTGGGTGCTTCCTAACTCCCCAGAAATGACTGTAACTCCCTGGCACTAAGTCATCTATAAACTCTGTCACTTAGAAATGCCAGTTAAGATAAGCATCAATGTTTGTAGACCCATGCTGTGTGCCCAAAACTGGGCTAAACAGGCTGCGTGAATTCCCTTGTTTAATTCCACTGTACTCTTGTGAGCTAGGACGTGGTGTCATCCCCGTTTTACAGATGAAAATGCAGAGGTTGACAGACAGTAAGAAATTTGCCCAAAGTCATATGCCTAGAAGTAACAGAGCAAGGATTCAAACTCAGGAGATGCCAGAGCCTGGCCTTTTATACTGCTGCACCCTGCAGCTGACGTCCATGTACACAGAGGAGAGGGGGTCACTTCCGGGGCTGCATCACCAATAAGCCCTCTTCTTGCCCCAACTCACAACTGTGAAACAGGATAGCTCTTTTGGTTCACTCAGCGCTTTAGGGCTTGCACAAAATCATCTCTCTTCCTGGAATGTTACTGCCCCCAGTTTATAGCATTGGCCTCTTGCAAGACCTGCTGGTGGATGGAAACCTGGGAAAACTTCTTGAGTTTTTCAAGCTCTCTGGTGTCTGGGGCCTTGCTTCATCTCAAGTCCAGCTCCTCAGAGGAAAATTTACAAAGTTTTCTGTGTAGGTTTAAGCAGCCTCAGCACTCACAATCCACTCCTTCATTTTCCTATCGCCAAAACAACCTACATCCCATGGTAACTTATAGAGAGATGGGAGGAGGCACTTAGAAGAGGACTTTGCATTTCCTGACCTAAGATGTTGTTCTTGGGTCTGCCCTGATTCTTCACCTTTTCCATGTGAGATGGGTACCTTGGTGCCCTGCTCTACACTCAGCATAGGGAAGATGCCCAACTCAGCCAAGCACCCCCGTAAAGGACCAAACCTGAACACCAAACTGGGATAAGAAAGATGGCACAGTTGACTCTGTCTCTGCCCGTCATGAAGAAGCTTTAATCAGCTCCAAGGCAGAGACTGACACTGGACTCCTGGCATTCATTGCCTGCTTCTTCCTCAGAAATAGAACCCTGAGGCCAAGCACAATGGCTCATGCCTATAATCCCAACACTTTGGGAAGCCAAGGCAGGTAGATCACCTGAGGTCAGGAGTTCGAGACCATCCTGGCCAACATGATGAAACCCCATCTCCACTAAAAATACAAAAATTAGCTGGGCATGGTGGTGCGTGCCTGTAATCCCAGCTACTCTGAAGGCTGAGGCAGGAGAATTGCTTGAATCCAGGAAGCAGAGGTTGCAGTGAGCCAAAATCAAGCCATTGCACTCCAGCCTGGGCAACAAGAGTGAAATTCTGAAATAATTCCGAAATTCCAAAATTCCAAAAGAAGGAAGGAAGGAAGGAAGGAAGGAAGGAAGGAAGGAAGGAAGGAAAGAAGGAAGGAAGGAAGGAAGGAAGGAAGGAAGGAAGGAAGGAAAAAGAAAGAAAGAAAGAAAGAAAGAAAGAAAGAAAGAAAGAAAGAAAGAAAGATAGAAAGAAAGAAAGAAAGAAAGAAAGAAAGAAAGAAAGAAAGAAAGAAAGAAAGAAAGAAAGAAAGAAGAGGAAGGGAAGGGAGGAGGGAGAGGGGGAGGCTGAGGCAGGAGAATTGCTTGAATCCAGGAAGCAGAGGTTGCAGTGAGCTGAGATCATGCCATTGCACTCCAGCCTGGGCAACAAGAGCGAAATTCTGAAATAATTCCAAAAGTCTGAAATTCCGAAAGAAGGAAGGAAGGAAAAAGAGAGAAAGAAAGAAAGAGGGAAGGAAGGTAAGGAAGGAAGGAGAGAGAGAGAGAAAGAAAGGAGAGAAAGACAAGAGAAAAGAAAGAAAGAAAGAAAGAAAGAAAGAAAGAAAGAAAGAAAGAAAGAAAGAAAGAAAGAAAGAAAGAGGGGAGGAGCCAAGATGGCCGAATAGGAACAGCTCCGGTCTACAGCTCCCAGCGTGAGTGACGCAGAAGACGGGTGATTTCCGCATTTCCATCTGAGGTACCGGGTTCATCTCACTAGGGAGTGCCAGACAGTGGGCGCAGGTCAGTGGGTGCATGCACCATGCATGAGCCGAAGCAGGGCGAGCCATTGCCTCACTCGGGAAGCGCAAGGGGTCAGGGAGTTCCCTTTCCTAGTCAAAGAAAGGGGTGATGGACGGCACCTGGAAAATCGGGTCACTCCCACCCGAATACTGCGCTTTTCCGACGGGCTTAAAAAACGGCGCACCATGAGATTATATCCCGCACCTGGCTCGGAGGGGCCTACACCCACGGAGTCTCGCTGATTGCTAGCACAGCAGTCTGAGATCACACTGCAAGGCGGCAGCGAGGCTGGGGGAGGGGCGCCCGCCATTGCCCAGGCTTGCTTAGGTAAACAAAGCAGCTGGGAAGCTCGAACTGGGTGGAGCCCACCACAGCTCAAGGAGGCCTGCCTGCCTCTGTAGGCTCCACCTCTGGGGGCAGGGCACAGACAAACAAAAAGACAGCAGTAACCTCTGCAGACTTAAATGTCCCTGTCTGACAGCTTTGAAGAGAGCAGTGGTTCTCCCAGTATGCAGCTGGAGATCTGGAAGGGGCAGACTGCCTCCTCAAGTGGGTGCCTGACCCCTGACCCCCGACCCCCGACCCCCGAGCAGCCTAACTGGGAGGCACCCCCCAACAGGGGCACACTGACACCTCACATGGCAGGGTACTCCAACAGACGTGCAGCTGAGGATCCTGTCTGTTAGAAGGAAAACTAACAAACAGAAAGGACAACCACACCAAAAACCCATCTGTACATCACCATCATCAAAGACCAAAAGTAGATAAAACCACGAAGATGGGGAAAAAACAGAACAGAGAAACTGGAAACTCTAAAAAGCAGAGCGCCTCTCCTCCTCCAAAGGAACGCAGTTCCTCACCAGCAATGGAACAAAGCTGGACGGAGAATGACTTTGATGAGCTGAGAGAAGAAGGCTTCAGACGATCAAATTACTCTGAGCTACGGGAGGACATTCAAACCAAAGGCAAAGAAGTTGAAAACTTTGAAAAAAATTTAGAAGAATGTATAACTAGAATAACCAATACAGAGAAGTGCTTAAAGGAGCTGATGGAGCTAAAAGCCAAGGCTTGAGAACTACGTGAAGAATGCAGAAGCCTCAGGAGCTGAAGCGATCAACTGGAAGAAAGGGTATCAGTGATGGAAGATGAAATGAATGAAATGAAGCGAGAAGGGAAGTTTAGAGAAAAAAGAATAAAAAGAAATGAGCAAAGCCTCCAAGAAATATGGGACTATGTGAAAAGACCAAATCTACGTCTGATTGGTGTACCTGAAAGTGATGGGGAGAATGGAACCAAGTTGGAAAACACTCTGCGGGATATTATCCAGGAGAATTTCCCCAATCTAGCAAGGTAGGCCAACGTTCAGATTCAGGAAATACAGAGAACGCCACAAAGGTACTCCTCGAGAAGAGCAACTCCAAGACACATAATTGTCAGATTCACCAAAGTTGAAATGAAGGAAAAAATGTTAAGGGCAGCTAGAGAGAAAGGTCGGGTTACCCTCAAAGGGAAGCCCATCAGACTAACAGCTGATCTCTCGACAGAAACCCTACAAGCCAGAAGAGAGTGGGGGCCAATATTCAACATTCTTAAAGAAAAGAATTTTCAACCCAGAATTTCATATCCAGCCAAACTAAGCTTCATAAGTGAAGGAGAAATAAAATACTTTACAGACAAGCAAATGCTGAAAGATTTTGTCACCACCAGGCCTACCCTAAAAGAGCTCCTGAAGGAAGCGCTAAACATGGAAAGGAACAACCGGTACCAGCCGCTGCAAAATCATGCCAAAATGTAAAGACCATCGAGACTAGGAAGAAACTGCATCAAATAACGAGCAAAATCACCAGCTAACATCATAATGACAGGATCAAATTCACACATAACAATATTAACTTTAAATGTAAATGGACTAAATGCTCCAATTAAAAGACACAGACTGGCAAATTGGATAAAGAGTCAAGAACCATCAGTGTGCTGTATTCAGGAAACCCATCTCACGTGCAGAGACACACATAGGCTCAAAATAAAAGGATGGAGGAAAATCTACCAAGCAAATGGAAAACAAAAAAAGGTAGGGGTTGCAATCCTAGTCTCTGATAAAACAGACTTTAAACCAACAAAGATCAAAAGAGACAAAGAAGGCCATTACATAATGGTAAAGGGATCAATTCAACAAGAAGAGCTAACTATCCTATATATATATGCACCCAACACAGGAGCACCCAGATTCATAAAGCAGGTCCTGAGTGACCTACAAAGAGACTTAGACTCCCACACATTAATAATGGGAGACTTTAACACCCCACTGTCAACATTAGACAGATCAACGAGACAGAAAGTCAACAAGGATACCCAGGAATTGAACTCAGTTCTGCACCAAGCGGACCTAATAGACATCTACAGAACTCTCCACCCCAAATCAACAGAATATACATTTTTTTCAGCACCACACCACACCTATTCCAAAATTGACCACATACTTGGAAGTAAAGCTCTCCTCAGCAAATGTAAAAGAACAGAAATTATAACAAACTATCTCTCAGACCACAGTGCAATCAAACTAGAACTCAGGATTAAGAATCTCACTCAAAACCGCTCAACTACATGGAAACTGAACCACCTGCTCCTGAATGAATACTGGGTACATAACGAAATGAAGGCAGAAATAAAGATGTTCTTTGAATCCAACGAGAACAAAGACACAACATACCAGAATCTCTGGGACGCATTCAAAGCAGTGTGTAGAGGGAAATTTATAGCACTAAATGCCCACAAGAGAAAGCAGGAAAGATCCAAAATTGACACCCTAACATCACAATTAAAAGAACTAGAAAAGCAAGAGCAAACACATTCAAAAGCTAGCAGAAGGCAAGAAATAACTAAGAGCAGAACTGAAGGAAATAGAGACACAAAAAACCCTTCAAAAAATTAATGAATCCAGGAGCTGGTTTTTTGAAAGGATCAACAAAATTGACAGACCGCTAGCAAGACTAATAAAGAAAAAAAGAGAGAAGAATCAAATAGACGCAATAAAAAATGATAAAGGGGATATCACCACCGATCCCACAGAAATACAAACTACCGTCAGAGAATACTACAAACACCTCTACACAAATAAACTAGAAAATCTAGAAGAAATGGATAAATTCCTCGAAACATACACTCTCCCAAGACTAAACCAGGAAGAAGTTGAATCTCTGAGTAGACCAATAACAGGCTCTGAAATTGTGGCAATAATCAATAGCTTACCAACTAAAAAGAGTCCAGGACCAGATGGATTCACAGCCAAATTCTACCAGAGGTACAAGGAGGAACTGGTACCATTCCTTCTGAAACTATTCCAATCAATAGAAAAAGAGGGAATCCTCCCTAACTCATTTTATGAGGCCAGCATCATTCTGATACCAAAACCGGGCAGAGACACAATCAAAAAAGATAATTTTAGACCAATATCCTTGATGAACATTGATGCAAAAATCCTCAATAAAATACTGGCAAAATGAATCCAGCAGCACATCAAAAAGCTTATCCACCATGATCAAGTGGGCTTCATCCCTGGGATGCAAGGCTGGTTCAATATACACAAATCAATAAATGTAATCCAGCATATAAACAGAGCCAAAGACAAAAACCGCATGATTATCTCAATAGATGCAGAAAAGGCCTTTGACAAAATTCAACAACGCTTCATGCTAAAAACTCTCAATAAATTAGGTATTGATGGGACGTATTTCAAAATAATAAGAGCTATCTGTGACAAACCCACAGCCAATATCATACTGAATGGGCAAAAACCGGAAGCATTCCCTTTGAAAACTGGCACAAGACAGGGATGCCCTCTCTCACCACTCCTATTCAACATAGTGTTGGAAGTTCTGGCCAGGGCAATTAGGCAGGAGAAGGAAATAAAGGGTATTCAATTAGGAAAAGAGGAAGTCAAATTATCCCTGTTTACAGACAACATGATCGTATATCTAGAAAACCCCACTGTCTCAGCCCAAAATCTCCTTAAGCTGATAAGCAACTTCAGCAAAGTCTCAGGATACAAAATCAATGTACAAAAATCACAAGCATTCTTATACACCAACAACAGACAAACAGAGAGCCAAATCATGAGTGAACTCCCATTCACAATTGCTTCAAAGAGAATAAAATACCTAGGAATCCAACTTACAAGGGATGTGAAGGACCTCTTCAAGGACAACTACAAACCACTGCTCAAGGAAATAAAAGAGGATACAAACAAATGGAAGAACATTCCATGCTTATGGGTAGGAAGAATCAATATCGTGAAAATGGCCATACTGCCCAAGGTAATTTACAGATTCAATGCCATCCCCATCAAGCTACCAATGACTTTCTTCACAGAATTGGAAAAAACTACTTTAAAGTTCATATGGAACCAAAAAAGAGCCCGCATCACCAAGTCAATCTTAAGCCAAAAGAACAAAGCTGGAGGCATCACACTACCTGACTTCAAACTATGCTACAAGGCTACAGTAACCAAAACAGCATGGTACTGGTACCAAAACAGAGATATAGATCAATGGAACAGAACGGAGTGCTCAGAAATAACGCTGCATATCTACAACTATCTGATCTTTGACAAACCTGAGAAAAACAAGCAATGGGGAAAGGATTCCCTATTTAATAAATGGTGCTGGGAAAATTGGCTAGCCATATGTAGAAAGCTGAAACTGGATCCCTTCCTTACACCTTATACAAAAATCAATTCAAGATGGATTAAAGACTTAAACGTTAGACCTAAAACCATAAAAACCCTAGAAGAAAACCTAGGCATTACCATTCAGGACATAGGCATGGGCAAGGACTTCATGTCTAAAACACCAAAAGCAATGGCAACAAAAGACAAAATTGACAAATGGGATCTAATTAAACTCAAGAGCTTCTGCACAGCAAAAGAAACTACCATCAGAGTGAACAGGCAACCTACAAAATGGGAGAAAATTTTCGCAACCTACTCATCTGACAAAGGGCTAATAATATCCAGAATCTACAATGAACTCAAACAAATTTACAAGAAAAAAACAAACAACCCCATCAAAAAGTGGGCGAAGGACATGAACAGACACTTCTCGAAAGAAGACATTTATGCAGCCAAAAAACACATGAAAAAATGCTCATCATCACTGGCCATCAGAGAAATGCAAATCAAAACCACAATGAGATACCATCTCACACCAGTTAGAATGGCAATCATTAAAAAGTCAGGAAACAACAGGTGCTGGAGAGGATGTGGAGAAATAGGAACACTTTTACACTGTTGGTGGGACTGTAAACTAGTTCAACCATTGTGGAAGTCAGTGTGGCGATTCCTCAGGGATCTAGAACTAGAAATACCAGTTGACCCAGCCATCCCATTACTGGGTATATACCCAAAGGACTATAAATCATGCTGCTATAAAGACACATGCACACATATGTTTATTGTGGCATTATTCACAATAGCAAAGACTTGGAACCAACCCAAATGTCCAACAATGATAGACTGGATTAAGAAAATGTGGCACATATACACCATGGAATACTATGCAGCCATAAAAAATGATAAGTTCATGTCCTTTGTAGGGACATGGATGAAATTGGAAATCATCATTCTCAGTAAACTATCGCAAGAACAAAAAACCAAACACCACATATTCTCACTCATAGGTGGGAACTGAACAATGAGATCACATGGACACAGGAAGGGGAACATCACACTCTGGGGACTGTTGTGGGGTGGGGGGAGGGGCGAGGGATAGCACTGGGAGATATACCTAATGCTAGATGACAAGTCAGTGGGTGCAGCACACCAGCATAGCACATGTATACATATGTAACTAACCTGCACAATGTGTACATGTACCCTAAAACTTAAAGTATAATAATAAAAGGAAAAAAAACTTAAAAAAAAAAAGAAAGAAAGAAAGAAAGAAGGAAAGAAAGAGAGAGAGAGAAAGAAAACTCTGAGCTTTCTTCTGACATGCTCTCTCCAGGAATAAAGACTACAATGTTGCCTGGCCTCCCTAGGAAACTGGGTTCCAACCACAGGAAATGTAAGCAGAGGAACTTCCACTAAGTCTTCTATTAAAAAAGTGAGGGGAGGAGGTTCTCCTTTTCCTTCTCTTCTTCCCATGTGCAGCCAGGTGTTCAGATGTGACCACAGTAGAGGACCAGAGCCCCTGCAGAGCCTGCAGGAAGATGCTCCCTGACCTCACTTGCCCCTTGCCCTCCTAGCACCTGCCAGCCCCTCCCATTGGACATACTCACCTGGAAGACAGAAGACAAGGGCACTGAGTGGTCTTTAGAGGTTAGCCACTGGGGGCTCAGAGCAGGGCAGAGAGGAAAGAGGATGGTTATGGACGGATAAGTGGAGAATAAACAGCATAGCCACTAATTTATAAACATCTGGAACTCACAGGTGAAGGCAATTCCTGATGCAGACCTGCAGCACAAATAGCATGTCAATGCTTCCTGTCCTCCTTCTCCACGGATAAAAAAATGAAGATGCTGCTCCAGCAATGACGCCGAGCCTGGGGGCTCAGACAGGGGACCTCCAACCAAGGCATGCATGACTCCAGAAGACCCCTCACCACTTCCTCCTTAGGCAGAATCCAAATAGCTCATAACATTTCTGCTGGTCCTCCCCTCTCTTACCTCAGCACTCCCAACCAAAGACATTTGACCTCGGAGCCAATTTGCCTACAGACCATTATATGTACTCATTGATTTTTTTTGCGGTTGCTGTTGTTATTGTCATCTTCAATATTTTTACCGTGGTAAAATATATATACTGCAAATTTTGCCGTTTTATCCATTACTAAGTGTGCAGTTCATGGCATTAAGTATACTCACATTGTTGTGCAACCATTATTACTATTCATCTCCAGAATGTTTTCATCATCCCAAACTGAAACTCTGTACCCATTAAACAATCACTCCCCATCACCTCCTCCCACACTCCTGCCAGCCACCATTCTCCTTTCTGTCTCTATGAGTCTGACTACTCTAAGTACCTCATGTAAGTGGAATCATACAGTCTGTGTCTAGCTTATTTCACTTAGCATCGAGGTTCATCCATCATAGCATGTGTCAGATCTTTTTTAAAGATGACTAATATTTCATTGTCTGTATGTAGCACATGTTTATTATCCATTCATCCATGGTCAGGAAGGAAGGCCTTGCTGGCTACCATGTTGATGAGTTCAGCTTTATTGGGGCAGAAATGGGGAGGCACTGAAAGTTTTTGAGCAGGGATGTCATAGTCAGAGCTTTGTTTTAAGATAATGAAAGTGACAACAGTGCAAAGGATGGATGCGAAGGGAAGAGATTAGAGGAAGGAAGACAAGCTGAAGAGCCATTGTGCTTTTGACATGCACCATGTTATGTACCTTAAAACCAATGCTGAGGATAGAGTGGGGCTGTGTTTGGGAATCTGGTGGGAGACCACTGTGCAGGGTGCCCCATAACATGGGCTCATCCTGTCAAAGCTGGAGGAGCCCAATATACACCACCTTCCCTAGCCTCTCTCAGTTGACAAGGGGTATAGACACTAAGTCAAGTATCAGTTGGCCTTCTGCAGGGCTGCACCATGGCAGGGGTGAAATGACCCCACTTCAAAGGCTGGGAATAGGTCAGCTGGGCCAGGCCTAGACAGAGGCATGGTAGAAACACAGCATGCTCTGGTAGGAAGAGCTTAAGGGAGGCCAAGTCGGGATCTCTCCTGGACTCCAGTCTGGGAGCTGCACCGCTTCTGTCCTCTTCCTCAATTGCCAGCAAATGAGCAGAGACTGGATGGACAGATGATCTCACTGGGAGCTATGCAGATCTGGGAACTCCTGCATCTCATTGCTTTAAGAGAGGCCCCCACCCTTCCCAACAACAGTTTGGGTGGGGCAGAAATAAGAGAAACTGAGCAATAGCCCAGATTAGACCACATAAAGTGCATGCTTTCACTCATCAGAGCACCAGATCTATTACAGCTTAAAGGGCAAAACTTACATGTTCTGTACAAGAGAAGAAAATGCTCATACATTTTCTTTTTCTTCTTGAGAGGGGTCTTACTCTGTCACCCAGGCTGGAGTGCAGTGGCACAATCTTGGCTCACTGCAACCTCCGCCTCCAGGGTTCAAGCGATTCCCCTGCCTCAGCATCCCAACTAGTTGTGACTACAGGCATGTGCCACCATGCCCAGCTAATTTTTTTGTATTTTTAGTAGAGACAGGGTTTCACCATGTTAGCCAGATTGGTCTTGAACTCCTGACCTCAGGTGATCTGCCCACCTCAGCCTCCCAAAGTGCTGGAATTACATGCATAAGCCACCACGCCCAGCCTTGTATATTATTTTTTATCTCCTGCACTTGGAATAGGACTCCACTTTCAGTGCCTAACACGTGCAGCTCAGCAACACTGGCCACGCAACTCAGGGAGGCAGGTCCAGACTGTTGTCTCAAAGCTGTGAGAAGATGGCTGAGAATCAAGGAGGAACGAAGTGACGTGGGGCTGAGGAACAGGGCCACTGGGTATGCTCCTGCAGGTCACTGGGGGCATGAGAGGGCCTGGCAGACTGGGTGCCTGGCAGAATGGGTGCACAACAACTCCATACGGAGTAGCTATGACCTTGGTAAGACAAAGGCTTTGAGTGGCAAGATGAGGCATCAGAAACCATCTTCCTGCCTTGCTGCCCCAAAGCAAGTGGCTCTCTTATTTGCTCTTAGAGTCCTGTGGAGCACCTGTCACAGTTACAAATTTACATTAATTTGTGTGACTACTTATCAATATCCATCTTCCCCCAGAGGCATAATCTCCTTGAGAGCAGAGGATGAGGGGGCTGCTTTTGTGTCTGGCAGAGCCTGGCACGTAGTAGATGCTAAGTAAAACTGCCATCCCAGCTGTGGCCACCACAAGGCCCCACAGGATGACTTTCAGGCCCCAGCACTGGGCTCCAGTTCCTTGGGAACTGCTGCGGATTAGAAGTGGGTGAGAAGTTTGGCTTGAAGAAGGACCATGCACCCTCTTGCCTGGCCACTATCATGCTCTGGCAAGTCCAGGTCTTGAAGAGAGTGCACTGTGTGAAAACTCTCACGCCACAGGCGAGGATGGAAGCCCAGTTAGGCTCCCTCACCTCTTGTGTCCCATCCCTTATGCCAGCAGTAATCCAGTGAGCTGGCCAGGGAACCCCATGACGGAATGACGGAAAGGGCCAATTTTCCAAAAGGCATCTAAGTCAGACTCTTTGTCTGAAATCCATACACCCTCGCAAGCACACACAGACATTATTTTAGGCTGCAGAGTTACTCACAGAAGTCAGCAACGGGAAAACAACAACAACAACAACAAAAACAACACCATTTGTAACTATAGGGGGAAAAGTGCTGCTTTTCAAAGAAACCCCATTTCATTCTTTCCCTCACAAAAGTCATCATCCTTCAGGTTTTAGCAGCAACAAGCTTGGCTTGTAGGAAAGATTTGGGGGAAAATATTTTTTTCCTTCCTTCAGTCTTCCATTCGAGGAATAAGCAACCACTTCTTCAAGTCACTGATTGTTTCATTCTTTCTAAAATGTCCACCTCAACCCATAAAGACAATGAACATCACAAGGCCTCCTATGTTTTTCAGCCTACATTTTAAGTTAACAATTGTATTAAGCAACAGTTGCTGCATTAACAAACAAACAACCTCCAAATATCAGTGACATCCAATAATATGCATTTATTTGTCACTCACAGGCTTGCGGATTGGCTGGGGCAGGTCTGGTCCATGTGTTTCTCATCCTCCTCCTTAGGTCAGGAGACCTAACAGCACAGAGGGCAAGTCAAGTTCATACACATGTTCTAAGCCTCTACTTGCATGGTGTCTGTGAGCATCCCATTGGCCAAAGCAAGTCCAATGGCCAAACTCAAAGTCAAAGGGCATGGGTAGAGAAAGAAAAACCCATCCTCTGCAGCAAGTGAACTATCCGCTGTTCACCAAGTCCCACACTTGCTGCATTTTCACTATATCCCATGGCAAGGAACCATGGGATACCATGTTGAATTAGATCCAGTCTCCACCCTCAAGGAATTTACAATCCGATAAAGAAAACAAATGGATCCATAAAATGGTGACATTTGAATGTAAAGCAAAGATCATGGGAAGAGGGAAGGGAGTGACATATTTTGTCTATGATAGTCAAGGAATACTTTGCAGGGAGGGGGACAGCTTATGTACAAGAATGATTTTGATAGGTAAAAAAAGAAAGGAATCCTTAGGCCACCAGCCAAGGGCAAGCTATCCAAGATCAGTGATGATGGCTGATGATGGGTTCTTTTATATTGTAACCTGCTTTAATAAAACTGGATAATGACAGTCCAGAGGATGCTGGCTTCTGTGCATGAAAGTGCTGAAGAGGATTTGAGAGGTCACCGAATCCAACCCTATATCAGGATCCCCAAACCCTGTGAGGGCCTGGACACACAAAAATGAATGAGACATAGTTCTCTGCATTCAGATTGGGCAGTCCTTAAAGTACTCAGAATAAATGAGAAATGCTTGCATGTGTGGTGGGGTACACGGCTTGTAATTGTCAGAAATCCACAGGACAGGTAGTAACAGCAAAACCACACAAAGCAAGGACAGTGTTAACGTAGCAGCCTCAAGGACAACAGAAAAGCTGGGAGGCGGCTCAAAGCCAGGATCCATGCTCTGCCCCTTTCCCTGGAGGAGAATCTAAATTCTCTGTCAGTTCAAGTGCCTGGAGTTGAGTTTCTCTTGAAGCTCCCAGGCTCCGAAGGATTCAAAAGAAAACCCTGTTTATCTTCCCAGAACTTGGAAATTAGGGCCAAGATCACCTCTTCAGATCCATTTGTTCTCACTCTCATTGAGGAAACCAAGGCAGCATAGTAGACACTTTTCCCAAGGACATCTGGAAGTTAATGTGGCACGGAAATTCTCAATATGAATTCTAGGGATGGTCATCAGTATCTGTAAACATCCTGAAATGACACATAAAATGTGTTTTCATAAGTGTAATTTCGGAATAAGAAGTCATAGTTTTCATTATATTTATATTCTCAATATGATTATGACCCCTTCCCAAGACATTTAAAAATTTGGTCCACTCATCTCTTCATTTGTTTATTCAGTTTATTCAACAAACACTTCTTAATGCTGACGATTTGGAGACTGGGGAGATGAGACACCTTCCTCTCCTCCACAGTCTTCAGGTAGGACAATCTGTACATCATCTTGCTCTTCCAAGGGGCCTGTTAGACAGGTCAGCAGAACATTAAACCCTTTCAAAATGTGGGCTCATCTGGCCACTCACATTTACTCTGTGTGATTCCAAATCCTCTCCCTTCCACATCACTCCCTCCCTGCTTTTCTCCCTTCCTGCTTTCAACTAATACTTAAGGAGCGCCTGCTTTGTGCCTGGCCCTGGGCTACATCTTGCTTAAATGCTGGAGCCACATTCTGAACTGAGCCAATTCTGACGCAGTTTGTCTTTGTGGCAAAAAAAAAAAAAAAAAAAAAAAAAAAGCCTAAAGTCTTCCTTCTTCCCTTCTCCTCCCCTCTCCCCCCGCCACCCTGCCCTGCCCCATTCAGGGAAAGCTTTGTTTTCTTCTTGAAGGAGCTGTAATGAAGCCTTCCCCTATATTTATGGTTTATGAAAGAACATTAGAGAATTGCCATGGTTACAGGCCCTGTTCTGCCTCCTCTGAGGACCAGAGGGAGCTGGAGAAAAGCACCAAGCGATGGCTCCTGGTGCCACTCAGCCCAGAATCATCATTTAAAAAAAAAATGTTTACATCAGAGGAGAAGTTGCTTCTCAAAAAGCAAAGGGAAAACCCCAGGTTTGATGAGATTGTTACACAGATTCTTGGCTGGGTTGTTTCTCCCTCGCCCCTCTTCTCCCTGCTCCATTATTATTTAAGGTTGTATTAAATCAGGCAAAGGGAGCAGACGACAAAATGCAACTTCGTGTTGGCAGCTCTGGCAAGACGCCCAGGCTCAGAGCTGGCCTCACATCCCGTCCTCTTCAATCTTCAGCAGCAGCAGTGGCAGCAGTGATGGCTGCCAGGATCAGAGTCTCCTGGTCTCATGGCAGATCCTGCTTTCGACCAAGCCCTGAATTGACAAGTTTGACCTGTTCCAGCTCCAGTCCCTGGGGATTGATGGGCTAGTGCGGGGAGCAGGGGGACCATTCTGATTCTGAAACAGAACAGAGCCAGCTAGGACCTGGTGACCAGGGTCTTAACCCAGCCTGCTCCTCACTAGCTGTGTGTTCTTAGGCAGGTCTCTTTGCCTCTCTGAACTGTGATGTCCTTTTCTTTAAAACAAGGGCATAGGTAACCATCCTGAAGGCAAAGAGGTGGAACGCTGTCACTAGGGTCAGGCTGCCTGGGTTCAAATCATGACTCTACTGTTTGCCAGCTGTGTAACCCTGGGCAAGTTGCTTCACCTCTTCATGGCTCAGTTTCCTCACCTGAAAAACAGGAACGATGGCAGAACTCACAGCATGGAGTTGCTAGTGAGGA
Organism: Homo sapiens; assembly: GCF_000001405.40. Taxonomy (NCBI): domain Eukaryota; kingdom Metazoa; phylum Chordata; class Mammalia; order Primates; family Hominidae; genus Homo; species Homo sapiens. Next base: position 104,521,718 of record NC_000010.11, on the reverse strand, counting down.
TACTGACAGTCACTCAGAAGCGGACGTGGTCTTGGCAGACGCTCAGTAAATGAGTGCTGTCATCCTTTGGCTACAACATGGTATGAGCGTCTCCGTTCTTTCAGAAAGCCCAGCAATTGGCCAGGCACGGTGGCTCACACCTATAATTCCAGCACTTTGGGAGGCTGAGGTGGGCAGATCACTTGAAGTCAGGAGCTTGAGACCAGCCTGGCCAACAACATGGTGAAACCCCATCTATACTAGAAATACAAAAATTAGCCATGTGTGGTGGCGGGTGCCTGTAATCCCAGCTATTTGGGAGGCTGAGGCAGGAGAATTGTTTGAACCCTGGAGGCAGAGGTTGCAGGAGAATCGCTTGAACCCTGGAGGTGGAGGTTGCAGTAAGACAAGATTGTGCCACTGCACTCCAGCATGGGTGACAGAGCAAGACTCCAACTCAAAAATGAGAAAGGAAGCCCGGAAATTAATGCTCTTCTTTGATAAGGAGTGTGGTTTTGGCTCCCAGAGGGCAGAAGAGGTTGTTGGTGTTATCACAGAAGGATTTTGACCCCTGTTTCTTCCCCCAGTGCCCCCCTCAATGAACGCATGGATCAGGGATTACTGCGCACCAGCGGGAGGCCTCAGTTGCTTCACTTCAAGAGCTTGGAAGCAGAGATGTCTTTGGGGTTGTTTCTTGGAGAGATGAACCAGGAGCTAAGAGAGGGGTCTCTGGGGGAAAGCCCCCGCTGAAAGTGGGTGAGCCAGATCCCGTGTGTTCGTAACCATGGATGAGTCCACCACTGCAGGCTCCCTCTGTGCCAGGCAGCGCTAAGCACCATGCTCACCGCATCTCATTGCAATCGCTCGCTGGCCATCTGAGGCACACACGATGACTCTCCCATGTTTGCACATGAAGAAACGACAGTGCCACCTTTTGCCCAAGCCCATACAGCATCCACACATCTCAGCCCAACTTGACCCCAGAACAGTTTGGGCCTCTCTGCCCAGTTGCCAAACACAATACAACGCTGACTGGGAAAAGACCTGTGGTCGTGGTACAAAGTGCTGGGGGCCCTGGACCCAGATGGCCAGCCCCAATCCCTCTGCTCTTATCACTACTCCATCCTCTGTTGTCTCATTGCTGTGTCTGAGAACTTAGTAAGGCCTTGGAAATCCAGCCTTGCCTGGACTATACAGAAACCAGAAGGAGAATTTGTGGGTTTTGTTTTTTGTTTTGTTGTATAATTTTGTTTTTTTTATTTTTTGTGACTACATAGTGAGTGTATGTATTTGTGGGGTACATGCGATGTTTTGATACAGGTATGCAATGCACAATAATCCCATCATGGAAAGTGGGGTGTCCATCCCCTCAAGCATTTATTCTTTGTGTTGCAAACAATTCAATTATACTCTTTCAGTTATTTTTAAATGTACACTTAAGTTACTATTGACTGTAGTCACCCTTTTGTGCTATCAAATTGTAGGTCTTTTATTCATTCAATCTGTTTTTACACCCATTAACCATCCCCCTACTACCCTTCCAAGCCTCTGGTAACCATCCTACTCTATCTCCATGGGTTCAATTGTTTTGGTTTCTAGATCCCACAAATAAGTGAAGTGAGAACATGCAATGTTGGTCTTTCTGTGCCTGGCTTATTTTACTTAACATAAGGACCCCCAGTTCCATCCATGTTATTGCAAATGACGGGATGGCATTCCTTTTTATGACTGAATAGTACTCCATTGTGTATAGGTACCACATTTGCTTTATGCATTCATCTGTTGATGGACACTGAGGTTGCTTCCAAATCTTGGCTCCTGTGAACAGGGCTGCAACACACATGGGAGTGCAGGTATCTTTCATGAAGGGGAATCTGGAAACAAAAAGCAGCTGCCTGTGAAGCCCACTGGCCCTGCCCCACATGGAGACGCTTCACCTGCAGGTGGTCTTGAAAGAACCAAGCCTTAGCTCTTCCGAGAGGGGAGATTCCTTCTCACAGGCCTGGGGGCATTGAGTCAGTTGAACTAATTGGTTTCACCAGCGCGGCGCAAGGCCCTATGGCAGACAGGAGGCACCTGCTGACATTTCTTCTCCAGCCTCCCACTCTGGGCCAGCTGCTGTGTGAGGTACTTTCCAGCATCATGGCCCTTCATCCTCACAGCCCGCCATGAGATGGAGACTAGCTGCTCCCATCATATCGATGGAAAAGGAGCCTTGGAGAGGTCTGCACCCTCCTCAAGTTCCCAAAGCAGGAAGTGACAGAACCAGGATTTAAATCCAGGACATGTCCAAAGCTGGAATCCAAGGCCCTTTCTCTGTTTCCACAGGATCCCTCCGCAAGGCAGACCATGAGAAGAGCTGTCATGAAAGCACCAGTGCAGGTCTTTCTGACCCCTGCCAAGCCCCTGATGTTGGCCATTAGAATCAGTTCCTCTCCTGAAGGAAGTCAGACCCAGCTGAGGAGATAGGGCAGCTGAAAAAAAACAAGGAAGCAGCACCCAAGAGGGTCCACAGGTGAGGAGAAAGGAGGAGTGGGAGAAGCTTACAGAGGAGATAGCTCTGGGGGCTGCTGGGATGGAGAGGAGAAGAGGAGGGACCAGCCCAGCAAAGGCAGAGAGATGGGGACGTGTCTGGAAGGAGCAGAGGGAAGAGGGGAAAGTCCGGGGAGAGGGAAGCCGCTGTGTGACAAATTAGAGGAAGCCCCCTCCCAGAGCAGCGAGGAGGGGCAGGAGGTCTCCGAGGCAGGTGTGTGATGGACTTCAAGGTCAAGAGGGGCTGTAGACACTGGGCACTGAAGTCCCCGCTTGTCCCACAGAAGGAAACTGAACCACACATCTCAGACCAGAAAGCGTAGCCCTGGCGCCCCCACCCACCCTCAAGTCCCCACTCAGAAGGAAAAGTAATTTTCCATATTAATGTATCTGAGTCCCAAACCTGCTGACCTGTGAAAAAAAAACCCTTCCTAGTGATTTGTCTCCTCTTGCAAGACAACTGCCTCATTATTTTAAGTCATGCACACAGCAGTGGCACGCGCTCCCTTCTAAGGTCTGACTGGGCTTGCCATGGGGGCCAGAGAAAGCAAGGAAAGGTTCCCTAGGGTCCCTGGCCCCAGGAAAGCATTGCTTGGCAAGGTTGTTTTATACCACTTTGGTCCAGAGACCATGAGAAACTCCTTACAGCCCCCAGTTCTCCTGAGATTCGGCCGGGAGAGGCCAGACCAAAAGAAAACCTGGGTTCTTGGCAGTAGCCAGTAAAATAACCTCTGGAAAGTTCAGTTTAACTACCTGTGAAACTGGTATGCCAGCAGACATCCTGGGAGAGCTTTCATGGGGTCCACGTTGGATTCAGCTGCGATCAGAAACAATCTTACACTTTAAAAGATCTTACTTATTCTCAGATAGCAATAAAAATGATAAATAACCCTACCCCCATTTTCTCCTCCAATGGAAAAGGATGTGTGTTAGGCAATGGGTATTCGAGACTGGTCGAATCAAAAACAACTCAGAAATGGAAAGTCATTTCACAGTGGAACAAACGTTTATCCAGCACTTGGTGCACGGCAGCCAAGCTTCCCAGTGAGCATCAGAAGGGATTTGCACAGGGTAGTGGCAATGCCCTCTCAGCCACCCTCAGCCAGAGAGGCAGAGGAGTAGAAAAAGCAAGAGTTTTGGAGTCTGAGAATATATGGGCTCAAAGCCAGCTCTGCTCCTGCAGTGTGGTATTAGGCATGTTATTGGATCTCTCAGGTTGCCTCTGTCTCCTCATTAGCAAAATGGGAATCCTAACCATCATAGCAGATACTCAACTCGGATAATTTCTCTCCCTTTTTATGTCTCATTCATTTCACTTTGTGAAGCCCTTTGAAAGCTCACCTCTCTCTTTAAATATTAGCTGGCCACCCCTCTACCCCCTGTGGCCTACTAGTACTTCTTAGTGTCTACAGACATTTAAGTGTGCCTTCGAATATTTTCATATACTGTATCGTACTGTTTTCAGAGTGGATGTGCTGTCTCCTCAACTAAATGTGCAGTTTCTTGAGGACCAGGCTGTCTTTATGCTTACTGTTGATCCCTTCTAAGGTCTGGCACAGGGCTGGCATGAGGGGACAACAGGGGGAACTCAAGCAAGAGTGCTTCACCACCTGATCATGGAGGCAGAAGGGGTCTGAGGGCTAGAGAACTGGGTCTGCTTGACAGGCCAGGTAAGGACCAGCTCAGTGTGCACTGAAGATGTGGCCTGCCCATCGCCCTATGCAAACAGGTAATGGATGGATGGATGCATGGGTGCATGGGTGCACAGATAGATGGATAGAATGACCTTGTCCTGAAGAGATTTCTCTGGCCCCTTAGTTCCTACACATTTACCATGAATTTTTACCTTCTTTTCTCCTCCACAGGCTCAGTGATTCCAGCCAGGCTGCACCCAAGAGCTCCAGGGCCAGGCTGATTAGTTTTCTCACTCGCTTATGAGGTGTAAGTAAATAGTATAAAAACAACTCAGTGTCATGTCTCAAACATTTTGGCTGGTGCTGTCAGCCTCCTAATTAATGCCACTGCCTGGGAGTTTCTCAGCAGCCTGTCCCCCTGAGCTCCCGCTGAACCCCCAGCAGCTCATGCCAGGCCTGGTGCAGCCTGCATCAAACCCCAACCAGTGACTTCCTCCCAGAGATACAAACATTTCAGACAAGTTCAGTCAGAGGCAATTCATAACCATCACATTCCCAGGGACACATTACCAAGCCCATATAAGAAAACAGGCTCTGAGTCAGGTGCGGTGGCTCACACCTGTAATCCCAACACTTTGGGAGGCCAAGGCGGGCAATCACTTGAGGTCAGGAGTTTGAGACCAGCCTGGACAACATGGTGAAATCCATCTCTACTAAAAGTAAAAAAAAATTAGCCAGGTCTGGTGGCGGGCACCTGTAGTCCCAGCTACTTGGGAGGCTGAAGCAGGAGAATGATTTGAACCCGGGAGGCGGAGGATGCAGTAAGCCAAGATCATGCCACTGCACTCCAGCCTGGGTGACAGAGCAAGACTCTATCTCAAAAAGAAAAAGAGAAAACAGGCTCTGTCTTTGAGAAAATGCCAGGACAGTCTCACTAGAGCTTCCTCCCACTTCCATGGCTAACTTCAAGCTTCCCCCCACTTCAAGCTAACCCAGCCCAAGTCCCATCCTCTGGGAAGCCTTCCCTAATTTCTCAGCTTTTGTTGATCAGTTTCTTCCTCTGGCATCTACAACCTTCTGTCCACTCCATGGAGAAGATGGAACTATCTCTTTCCTTCACTCTACAGCATCCTTTCTAAGAGGTCTATTCCATCAACACCACTGACACCTCCTAGAAGGGCAGAGCTCTGAACTGGGCATACTTGGTGTTGGGGTGGGGAGGCAGCTGTTGGAGGAGGGGGAAGACTAGGAAGCATAGGTAGATGAGATATGGTTTTTGCCTTCTGTAACTTTGTGCTAGGGAAACAATAGAGACCCACATTTTAAACACACACACACAAACACACACACATGGCCAGTCCTCATCTCTGCCCTGCTCTATCACAGGAAAGGACCTGGGAGGCAGCCTTTCCCAGGCTCCTATGTCAGCTGACTTCTGGCTGGAGTGGACCAATGCAAGGCATTAGCAAGAGATTGGAAGGCAGGAGAAAGCAAGGTGTTTGTCCTCCTCCTCCTTCCCTGTCTGAGGCAGCGTCTATGGCAACAGATGCTTCTCCTAATTGGCTCCAGCTCCCAACAGAAACACCTACCCCATGGTTCCAGGTGACACCTCAGCCCCTCCACCCCTGTGCTCTGGTAACAGTATCTCTTCCCTTTGACTCTCCAGCCTAGCTAGGGGTGACAACTACTTCCTGCTGTTGCTAATCACTGGGTTGCCTCATTCCTTTCAGCTTGAAACTTTTCCGTCATATTGCTTTAAATATGCCCTGCTGTCAAAACTCACAGTGCTGTATGTTTTCCTGGTTGGATCCTGTCTTCTGATACCAGCTCTCCTGGTTATGTCAGAATCTCATGCCTGGAAGGCAAATCACCTTTGGTTCATCACTCTTCATGCAGCTCTTCAACAGGCCTGTGCTCCAGATTAGCAACCCTCAGACCCCAAGCAACTAAGAAAAAGGCTCAAATATTTCTTCATCCCAGGGATTTGAGCTGCCAGCCCTAGAGCTTCCTGCCTGTGACTCAGGCTCTCCACCTCTGTGGGACCTACCCCTCCCTCCAGATATGTCTGGGCACCCAATGGCCACATGGGCTGAGGGTTGGGTGGGAGTGGGGGGTTGGAAATGAGGTTTAGAGCAGCTTGGGGGAGATTCAGAGAAGCCGACCAGCCCTCCCCACTTCCCAGGTGTCCAGGGATTCTGCAGAGCAGCATTTGGGAGTCATTTCCTTATACCCAGGAGTGATCTTGTTCATAGACTTTCATTGTCCACAACTATGGCCATTAGCCAGCCACATTTGGCTTCTTAAATTTTACATTTAAATGCACTGAAATTAAATAAAATTTAAAATTCAGTCCTTCAGTTGGACAAGCCATATTTCAAGTACCCAACTTGTGGCTAGTGGCTGCCGTGTTGGATAGGCAGATACAGAACATTTCCGTCATCACAGAAAGTCCTACCGAGCAGCTCTGTTCATGGACATAGCTGTCTTTGTCAACAGAGAAAGAAATGAAACCTGCAAATACAGATTAACCAATTACATTTTAACAACCAAACATTCTCCCTTCAATGCGTGTGACCAAAGGATAATTTGGTTTTTATGCAGAAACAGCTTTTAGCTTGACCAGACTGGGGGCAGGGTGGGGGGAGTTCAGGCAGAGTGAAATAAGCAGAGAGATTATTTTCTAATGTCTCTTCCAAAGATGTACGAGTAGAAAGTTGATGGGATTAATGTAAGTATGAAAACCCACTGAAGCGAGGAGCTTTTTAAAAATGAAAGAAAGAGATTTACTTAAATGGAAAAGAGAAAAAACAACATGTTTATTCCTCACTTGGCTTTCTAAAAGAAAAGAATCAAAAGAGTGTCAGCTAAAGTGTCTTTAACTACAGCACAAGCTTAGCAGGCCAGGACTCTGAAGGCAGTGCTAGCGGTGGGCGAATGAGATATTTCACCTGTCTGCTATGACAAGAAAATGAAAGACAATGGAGCAGGGCATTAAACTTGTAGAAACAGAGATGGTCCCTTTGCATTAAACCTTCTCCCTCTGTAGCCCCTAGCTAGAAAGAAAAAGCTCTATTTCCAGGTTATTCAAAATCTACATACTAATGTGGGGGTCCAGGGTTGGGGAGGGAAGTGGTAAGGAAGGGACAGAAGGGTATAGGGAAAGTCATTTGTTAACCTTTAAAAAGTTGACACTTTTATTACACACCAAAAAGATGAGAAGGATACAGAGATGTGGTCCTGAACTGGAGAGAGATGGCCTCACCCCCCAAGAAATGGTTCTCACTAGTCGTTTGCTGGGCTTCACCTCCTGACTCAGTAGATCTAGGGTAGGGTCCACAAATTGACATTTTAGTAAGTCCTTAGGTGATGCTGCTGCAGGTAGGAGCCACACTGAGAACAACTTCTCTAAAAGAGAACCTCCAGATGGGGCAGCCCAAGTGAGGGTCGTATTCACTACTGTCCGTCCACTCAGGGCTGGGTCTAAATGAGCAGGAAGGAGGGAATGAGATGCACTGGTTTTGATTTTGGTGCCTCCCGAGGTGAGTGCCTCACTGTCCTCAACTACTCCAGCCCTGGCTGCAAGATTGGCCTAATAATCCCTATTTTCTTCCCTCTGGGGCTCAGAGATGTGGAGTGACTTGCCCAAGATCACACAGTAGATGCACAGCCATGACTCAAACTCAGGAATTTTAGCTCTCGAAAGTCAAGGACTTTCCACCAAAACCCTGTGTCCCATATGAATGCCCTCTGGGCCAATTGTGACTGGTCTGCCTGTTTTCCTGCTGCTCATAGGACTCCTTTCAGCAGGTTAACAGAGGCTGGTCAACCATCAGCGTCCTCTCAGTCCACAGCATAGAGCCCTTTTTCACTGCTTAGAGGCGTCTGGCTGGATATTGACAATCTGCCTATTGAATCATAACAAACAATGCCAAGAATCAGTGCAAATTAATCACTAACAATAACTTAACATCTACCACATATTACCTATATCATCTTGTTTGATCTTTATATCAAACCTAGGGAAGCAGGCACAGCTTGCCCTTCCACTTTACATGTGAGGTACAAAAGGGCATCTTTCTTTAAATTCACAAAGCCAGCAAGAGGAAGGTTGAGGATTCCAGCCTGGATGGCCAGCTTCAAGAGGCTCTACCTGCCGCCCACCCCCACACCACACCAGAGAAGAAAGTTGCCCACAGTGTCTGTATCAATCACACATTCCATGTAAGATGTTTCCAATTTATTCTTTCAGCCAAAGATGGATTGCACACCTACTATGTGCGGGCGATGAGTATGATTTAAAGAGTCTTAGGTCATAGTTCCAGCCCTCCATGATTTTACTTATTTACATCTTCCAGGCTTTCAGAGAAGTTGGTCCTTCATAGTGATAATGCCCAGATCATTTTTCTTTCAAAAGAAACATAGAGAAAAATAATGACACATTTTCAGCAAGAAAGAAGATGCCAGAAGGTAATTGCTTTGCAAATTACTGTAAGTTATAAACGGATCAATGATTTTCTCTAAAGTTGGAATCAACTGTAATTAGCAATATGCAAATCGCACCCTGAGCCCTTAGTGGCTCACAATGAAGTGGGAGACACCCTCAGCAGCCATTTATATTAATTCAGAGGAAGCTGGGAGGACGCTCGCCAAACGGGCTTGGCGGGCTGCGAACTGAAGGAAAGCAGAGAGAGACAGAATAAACACATGCCCTACCTGAAGCTGGAGGCCGGGCCTGAAGACACTTCAGAGACCTCCTAGCAAAATCTTGCCCTTGTTCCCAGCTCAGGCCCAAGTCGGGGTAGCAACAGAGGATGTCAGAGGTCTGGATAGGATACGACTTTCACACTATACAGTGAGGTTGGGAAAAGGGCAGGAAAACTGTCAGGATTTAAGTTCTAAATGAAACTGACTTGCCAGTCACCTGAACGAGGATGCTGGCCTGAGCGAGAGAAATGGGCACTGGACAAGGAGTCCAGAAGTAGCCTGGATACTAGTCCTAGCTCTGCACTGTCATCCGTGTGGCCTTGAGCTGGCCACTTCGCTGCATAGGTGCCAGGTTCTTCATTCCTAAACAAGGGGATCTACAAGATGTTCCTTGGTGTTCCTTCTATTAATTTATTCACTCGCACCAGGGACAGAAACCCAAATACAACGTATTACCATTGTTAGCAGCTCTCATTGCTGAGCAACAGATGTGTAACAATGTATGCTAAATCCTCCAGTACATGGGTGAACAGTCAGGAAGGCTTCTTGGAGGAGGTGACATTTGAACTGGGTCCCAAAGGATGATTCCACACTTCATTTCTAAACATAACTTCATTTCCAAATATAACTCCATCTGGGGCCGCAGAAGGTTTAAGGATCTTTCAGGAGCACATGGATCATTTGAAGACCACAGTTACAGTGTTCATTCCTGGGGCTTGTGTCCTACAGACTCTGATTAATCCATCAGACTGGGCCTGGGATTCTGCATTTTACCATGCTTCTGGGTGATTTTGAGACATTTGGTCAATAAGCCATATTCTAAGAAAGAAGTGGTTCAAGCCTTCTTGATTCTATCTGTATTATTACCAACAAACACATAGTCCCAAGGGCTGCTTTCAGAAGCTTTACATTTGAGAACAATTTGAGAACCTTCTGCATAGGTACCTCTCTCAAGAAGCAAAGCAGGCCAGGAGTTCAAGACTAGCCTGGGCAATATAGTTACACCCCATCTCTACAAATACTACTAATAATAATAATAACTAACTGGGCATGGTGGCATGCTCCTGTAGTCCCATCTACTTGGGAGGCTGAGGCAGAAGGATCACTTGAGCCCAGGAGGTTGAGGCTGCAGTGAGCTATGATCATCCCACTGCCTCCAGCCTGGGTGACAGAGTAAAACTGTGTCTCTAAAAAAATTTTTTTTAATTTTTTTTAAAAAAAGCAAAATAACAACAGTGGTGCCACCCAGAAGATCTTCTTTAGAGTTGAAGCCCCAAATTGCACTCATTACCTGCAAAGGGCCAGTGGCTGGGCATCTTGCTATTTTTCAGAGGTGCTCATGAAGCAGTCTGGGGAAATGTCCCAGGCCATTCTTTCAATCCTGGTTCTCCTGGTCTCTCTGTTGACTAATGACTGACTACTTCTGGTTTTCCTCCTTCCATTTTCCTCCTTCTGTTTTTCTCACTCCTTTCAAATAGGAGGCCCTATCCAGCTTCCCCTTGGAAGCAGAAGGTAAGGAGGGCATAGTAGTAGAGAAAGTCACACTGTCCCAACCTAGATTGCCCACACTCCCCTCCCCATCCCCTCATCATCACCTGTCTGGCTCTGCACTGCCGGTCAAGCCTCAGCAAACCTTCCTCAAGCAGCCCGCCCCATTAGTCTAACTATCCTAAATACCATATCTAGAATAGTGTTTTAATTGGTGGCCTCCAATACACAATGCCTCCAGTATTCATACCATACATAGTCCTGTCCCCTTAAATCTGAGCTGGTCTGGTGACTTGTGTTAACCATAAAATATAGCAGAGGTGATGCTGTGCATTAAGAAGGCCTAGTAGCTTCCATGTCTGTGCTCATGGAAGCCTAGAGGCCCAGTGCAGGAAGTCCTGCTAAAGAGTCCTCACCTAAAGAGACTTTGTGAACATACCCCATAGAAGAGAGACTTGCCACTATATGGAGAGAGAGAGCGAGGCCCCACTGATCTCAGATGACCCCAGACAACACCTGGTGACCTGCCAGCAGAATGCAGCCACATGGGTGACCATCAGCAAGACTAGTAAGAACAGCCCTGCTGAGCCCAGCCCTGATTGTAGAATTGTGGACAAATTGAACAGTTATTATTTAAGCCACTGAGTTTTAGAGTGGTGTATTATTCAGCAATAGATACCTAATACCATATCATTCTATTTCATTTTCTTCATACCATCTATCACAGATAACCGAAAAAAAGAACGTCTCTCCTCTACCTCTAGAAGGGAAGCTCCGTGAAGGCAGTGGCAGTCTGCTCATTGCTGTATCCTCTACACCTAGATCCTTGCCTGGCACAGAGCAGGAGCTCCCTAATATTGGTTGAATGAATTCACCACCAGCTCTACCAAACCTCAGGCAGGACCAGGAGAAAGATGTAAGACAATAATCGAATGTCCAGCAGCCTCTTGGCCAGAACCAGAGTCATTTTAAAAGCACACTGATTTTCCATTAACAAACTTTACACTGATCAAAGTGAACTTTAAAGGATCAAAAAAACAGCTAGTGAGGGATTTTATCCTTATTCAGAGGCACCATAAACAGCTGGCTTACAAGCAGCAAACGCTGCAGTTCCCTGAGGTCACAGGATGCAACAGCTGAGACCAAATGGCATTGGTGCCAATTCTTTCTCAGTCCCAGAACCAACATCTGGCCTTCTGCACTCCTGTTCACCCACCACGCATGAAGCACTCCCATCCTGACTAATGACACTTCCCAAAAGGAGCCTTGGCTGCCACCTCCTGCTGAGCACAGCCAGCTGCTGATGCTGAAGGAAGCCCTCTGGGGGTGGGCAAGCTGGCTGTATGTGGGACAGAGGGAAGCAGTGCAGAAAGATGCTACCCAGCTGCCTTTTCATCGAACACCTAATGCCAAACCATGGGTTACACTCTCTTTAATGCTCTCTGGGCCATACCCATTTACATGCTCTTCTGGGCCTCTTTCTCCTTCCTCCTATTCTCCTTGTCTGTGTTTGCGAAGGCCTGGAGGAGCCTTTCTTTATAGGTGGCATCTGGCTGCTAGAAAGAGGGGGAAATGTGATAGAGTGCTACCTGCCAGCCAGGCCCAGGGACCCCACATCGGTCCAGGCTGGGACTTTAGAGAAGACCTAGGCAACCCTTCTCTTTAGCCTTTCTGGATTTCTTTATCTTCTCCTTAATGAGAGTTTTCTCAGTGCTTTTGTGAGGGTTAAATTAGACACCGTATTTAAAGCGGCAGTTCACAAACACAAACATGCACCAGAATCACCCAAAGTGCTTGGTAAACCATAGATTGCGGGTTCCCACCTTCAGAGTTTCCATGGGCCAGGCATGAGGACAAGAATCTGCATTTCTAACAAGTTTCCAGATGATACTAATGCTGCTGGCCCAGGGACCACACTTTGAGAACCACTGATGTAACACAGTAGAAATGTAAATATGAACATTTATATAGACAGACACGCATGCACACAGAAAGCCCAAATTTTCTGGAATTGTCCCAGTTCTTAGTCAATGGAAATATATAGATCATTTCAAACAGCCTCTACTACAGCCCTCAAGGGGCTGTCAAAGAAAAACAGCCTTGCAGCAGAGTGATTGTAAAGGATGCAGAGAGGAGAGGATAAATATTTCACAGGCTCAGAAATTGGTGTTCCTCATGTGTTTGGAAATGAGCCAGAGAGTTGAGGGAGAAGGGAGAGGAATCACACATCTTCTGAATCCTTTGGTCAGGGAACACTAATCACTGCTCATCAGCAAGGAGGACTTTTAGGTAGAGATGGGCTTGTGGGGCTGGCAGACTGTTTGGTGTACTCGGATAGAGTGAACTTCTTCCTATAAGGTTCCTGGACCACGTGCATCAGAATCACAGAAACAGGCTCCCAGACCTCACTCCAGACCTGTGGAATCAGAATCTCTAAAGGGGAGATCTAGGAATCCTTCTTTAAACATGATCCCCAGGTAAGACTTATACACGTGTGAGGAGTTTTTTCCTGGAGTGTCTTAAAGTCCCATCAGGGATACAAGGGGCTGGGGAAGGGGGAAAGGGGGAGTTCATGTTTAATGGGTACACAGTTTACACTTGGAAAAATTAATAAGTTCTGGAGATGGGTGGTGGTGATGGTTGCAAAACAATGTGAATGTACCTAATGCCACTGAACTGTCCATGTGGAAATGGTTAAAATGGTAAAATTTTATGATATATAGACATGTATATAAATGCAATATATAATATATATTATATATATAACTGCAATAAAAAATGAATTCCCATTAAACAGGTAAAAGTATACTGACCAGATAAGTTGTATCTGATTGACTATATGTTATCTTGATAAAGTTGTCATAATACATTGGACATTGTGTGGAGTACAGAAAGACAAAAGCCATGGAGAAACAATGTTTTGAGTATCTCCTGTCCAGTTGAATGGTTGGTCTGGTTCTAATAATAAACACTTCTGAATGAGACAAAAGTATCTTCAGGATAAGTAGGAGGAAATATTCCTTGTGAATATCCAACCTTTTTTGCTCTTATTCTGCACTCCTCAGGCAACATTCTGATTCAGGATGGACCCTTCTCAAGCACCCTTCCTGACCACAGCCCCAGGAGGCAGTGGCCCTCCTCTGCAGGTACATGTGGCTGGCCCCTAACTTCCTGCTGGAGAAGCCTTCTGTTGTAAATGTCCATGCCAGTTATGTACCTCATTCCCCTGAGAGCAGAGTCCTGTTTAGCCACAACGAATCCATTCCCCAGAACCACAGTGCCCGGCCAATTGAAAAAACTGAAGTTCTAAACCTACAAAGCTGATGAGGCAATGGCCCCCTAGGGGAGCACAAATTCCAGAAAGTCCAGCCTGGGAAGTGAACTGCCAACTGCATCCACCGCCACCTTCCTTATACCACCACTCTCCACACACTCACCTGTTTACAATGAAATCATCAGCCAAACCTGCGAAATGCTCTCATTTTGTCCAGCAATGGAGGAAACATTATCTGCTTCTGTTTTCCAAGCTCATCACAGGGATCTGTCAAGTCCCACTTTAATCTCTCCTCCTCAGCAAAATCTTGGCTGAATTCTCCATACTCCATGGATCTCCCCACTGTCTCAGCTAAATGCCTACAGAATCAGAACCAAGGATTTGCCATTTAATTATGCATGGCCTGGTGTCTCTTCCTGGCATAAATACCTTGATGGGGTGGAAAAGGCATGGATTTTGTAGCCAGAGAGATTTAGGCTCTGCCACCCCTTGGTTGTGTGACCTTTTGACTCTGAGGTGGATCTGCACCTGTGCTTATGGAGTGTGAGAAACTTGGTCAAGGTAATAGAACTAGAAAGGTGAGCTAATAGCCACAAGAGTGCCCAGCACTGTGCAGATGCACAGCTGGTACTCTCTGCATACACTTCCAAATTTCCAGAGGCTAAGGAACTCTTGCCCTGGAGTTGTTTTCCACCCTGGCTGCATATTAGACTCTGGCAGATAGTTTCTGATCCCAGGAATCCTGGGATGAGGCTTGAGGATCTATTCCTTGAAAGCTCCCCCAGCCATTTCCCTAGAGCTCACAGCACATTACTGGGTTCAACAAATGTTCAAGAAGGATTTCATAAGTTGATTGAGATGTTCTGTGATAAATATGATTGACAAGGAAGGGCAATTCCTTTTGGGCATCATTATGAGGTTCCACTTTAATAGTGAGAAAACCTATAAGAACATTAGGCAATTCCAGACGAGCATTAACCGAGCTTTCAAACACTTAGTCTTAAGACCAAGCATCCCAACAATATTTCTGCTAATTATTCACAACAGCAGTGTCTCTTCACATACCGAGAGTCCTTTTAGGGGAAATAACCATCTTCTTCAAGACATACTTCATTTGCTACAGTGGTGAGAAATAACAGGGTCATGGAAGAACCTCAGGAGGAAGAGCTGAGAAGCCCAGTGGTGTATAAATAGATAGCTGGATGGTTACTAAATTTGACTGCAGAGTCATGTAATTAGAGAACTGGGAGGGGGAACCTCATTAACTACAAAAATCATTATCCGGAAAAGAAGGAAAAGGAGGGCTGAAGGTAAAGGTGTTGAGCTGTGAGGGAAGGCTGCTCTGGAGGAGGTCGGGAGTGCAGCAGGAGTGAGCATTGTGGGTCAGGGCAGGAGTTCCAGAGATGCGAGGGAGGACGAGGAGCTGGTCAGCAGCAACACCCACCCTGGGGCTCCCATATGGAAAAGGCAAGGGGTTGGAAATGCTTAAGGCATTTAAATGACCACAGCCTCTGCTTCCAATGCCCAAGCCCAGGGGTTGTATGGAAACACTCCCTGCAGGCACAGACATCTGCAGAGGTTCCCTGACTCCTTCTACTGTGTGCATGGATCTGACGGGTACTCTGTGATCTGGAGAGTAGCCAAGGCAGAACTCAGAACGAGGCCAAGGACCCAGGTAAGACTGGTCCCCAGCTAGTTAGCCCTATAGGATGCTTGCACCCCAAATCACAGCTCCCTCTTCTACTCCCCAAGCCAGGGTCCTGCCTGTACCCAAACAAAGTGAGTGCTGACTCCTGGCATGTCCCATGACCTAAGGAGGAATTGGTTCCCTTTGACATGATTCATTCAGCTAATGCATGCTGTGCTCCTGCTCTGTGTCAGTGGGCAGGGAAGTACAGCCAGAGAGGATTTATCTGATGAATGAATGAATGAACGATAAATAATAATAACAACAGTAACAACAACTAGCGTGTATGGAACATATGCTAGGCGCTGTGCTAAGCATCTTAATGTTACGATCGTATCTTTAAACAACTTCTGAAGAGGTATTATCATTATTCCAGTTTTACAAATCAGAAAACTGACATTCTAAGAATTTAAACAGCCAGTCCACACAGCCAGAAATTGGTGGACCTGAAACTTAAGTCCACATCTGCCTACCCCACCATTTGAAGAGTTCAAAGCCTAATTGAACAATGAGGGAACCATGCAGGATAAAATGGTGAAAGAAGCAGGAGAATACCGCAGACACCCACCACTAGGGGAGAAGAGGAGGGAGAGATCAGGGCAGAAGGGGCCAGGGGTACCCTGCAGTGGGGCAAAGGGGAGTCTAAGAGCCTGGTGGTTTGCTGCTTAGAAAAATCCATAAATGCTTGGCCAGCAGTTTTTTGAGGATTGGTTTAGACTGGGTTTTTGGATGTGGAATGTGTACCGTTCCCTAATGTCTTACCACAGTCTGAAACACACGTGGGTCATCTGCCCAGCTCCTGTAATCATTCAATTTAGGGACTCTGGGAAAAGACTGTGGGCCTCTAGCAAAAATCAATTTCTCCCTGACAAATGGTGAAGTTACATTACAATACTCTCTCTGCCTTTTTGTTTGTTTGTTTTGTTTGTTTGTTTGTTTTTGAGACAGAGTCTGGCTCTGTCACCCAGGCTGGAGTGCAGTGGCGCGATCTCGGCTCACTGTAAGCTTCGCCTCCCGGGTTCACGCCATTCTCCTGCCTCAGCCTCCAGAGTAGCTGGGACTACAGGCATGTGCCACTACGCCCGTCTAATTTTTTGTATTTTTAGTAGAGACGGGGTTTCACCGTGTTAGCCAGGATGGTCTCAATCTCCTGACCTCGTGATCCACCCGCCTCGGCCTCCCAAAATGCTGGGATTACAGGCGTGAGCCACTGCGCCCGGCCTCTGCTTTGTTTTAAAAAACATAAAGGAACTATTTTTTCTTAACCTATTTAAAGGCGTGTGTGTGTGTATGTATGTGTGTGTGTGTGTGTGTGTGTAAGTAAATATGCCTGAACAGTGAGACCCCAAACATGGGATATGGGATGTGCATAATAATTCTCTATTATCCCTCCAAGCAGATATGCATGTAACTTATACGATGCAGTAGTAGCCTTGGCCTACCTTGTTTAAGAACAATGGTCATAATTCCTTAGTATCCTCTGGATCCTTTACAAAGGACAAATTCATCACATGGCCATTGCCAGAGATTTCAAATCCTTTATAGGCTTTTCCCAAGGATCCTTCATGGGGCCTACCCACACACTTCCTTCAGTAGGAAATAAGACACAGAATTACAGGTGGTATCAAAGGAACTGCGTATACAACGAGAGAGTGTCAAGCATCCATACATCATCGATTGGGTGTGGAAAAGTGGCTAGAACTGTATTTCAGAAGAAATGATCTCTTATCTGGAGCCTTCTGCCATTCTACCACCCTGCAAACTATCAGCCTCTGCAAGTAGAACAGCTCCAGGGTTTCAGGCAAGGGCGGTGTGAGTATAAGATGTAGGAAGATATTCAAAAGAGTGTTTACACTCCTGACACTCTAGTGCTGCTGAACACTTCGACGTACCGGGTATCCCCAGAAGACACCCAAATCCCACACCTGAAACCAAGTCCTATTATGTCTGGGTTCACTGTTAACCTGAGTCAGCTTCCTCCAATAACATAGCAGGGTCATTTAAATGGTAGAAAGTTCTGCATGCTCTGAGGAGCTGAAGGATGGAAGGAAATGAAATGTATGCCCATTGCCAACAAAGCTGGAGCCAATAATGCGTCTTTGGGGATTCTTGGTTTCAGGGAGCATCAGTATATTCATAGTGACTTTCACAAATTGTTCAGGAAAACCTCTCTCCTCCAACACAGGCAACACCATCCCTTTGTTATCCAACTCGGCCTTCCAAGACAAGAGGCAAGCCCAGGTTTCCTGATGCCTCATTCAGATACATTTTTTTGAGTGTGGGAAATTAAATCCTTCATCTGCATCCTCTAATAGAGCCTATTATATGTCTCTGCTCACGGGGGGCATTTTAAGTAAATATCAAAGAACTTAGTAGCTGTCATTATACACATACACACACAAAGACACAGACACACACACATATGCAAAAAAAATGCTACTATGCTTAGACGCATAGGTGGACAAAGAGATAGAGTCAAATGAATAGGGAACAAGAGGGAGCAGTTCCCATGTTGAGCCTAAGATGTATCAGCTCTGGGACTCAGATATGTCTGAAGAATTGGTGACTCCCTTTAGGAGATTATTATAAGGCCTGAGAGGCCTCCTGGCAGTGAAATTCCTAAGAGAAGAGGGAGATACATAAGGGAAAACTTGACCCAATATCAAGTCCTCAGGGTGAGAGGGGAGGTGCAATTCTATTGATAGCATTGAATCTGTCACTTGTCCCTGTCTGTCCCCAGCCTCTGTGCTGTATCATTGAACTCTATTAGCTAATTAATATCAGCCAGCATTACAGGGCATTTACCAAGTACACCGAGTTTTGTATGCATCAGCTCATTTTGCCTCCATGAAACCCTGAGTTAGGTACTACTGTTTTAGTACTGTTTCACAAATGAAGGTTTTGAAGAACTTTCCCTAGCACAGATGCTACCAATTGGGAGATTCGGGCTTCAAATCCAAGTCAGTTTGAATTCATTACTCAGATCTAACCTCACACTACCCTGATCCTCCAGGGAGAGAGGACCTAAAGTGGAAGCTGAAAGAGCTCTACACCTGAATACTACTTCGGGCAGCAGCTGCAGCCAGTACTGCTTTGGGGAAGCACACACTGGAGACAGCCATTCCCTCCCAACATTGCCACAGACCACCATGCCTGGCACCTGGAAAGTTCGTGGGCATTCATGATGCCTCAGTGGGAGGGCTGGCATTGTTGGAGGGAGTTCTTGGTGTTCTGTGGGAGATGGCAGTGAAGTATGGGGAAGCAGCAGTGCCCTGCAGATGTGGTGATATCCAGCAGAGGCAGAAATACACAGATGGCCCGGTGGCAGGCCAGGGCAGCAGTGCCTGGCAGAAACCTGCAGCAGCCGACCAGGCTTGCTTGTAAGCTCACACGGCATACTCTCTGGGTATGTCCAAGAACACTTGATGGGCTTTGGGCAACGATTGCAGCCCTGCAGTAGCAGGAGGGGTTGAGAGATAGGGAAACAGGAGATTACTGATGGCATGATCCGTTTTTAACCTCACACTGCCACAGCTTGAAGAAACTTATGTTAAATGCATGTGAGAGAGACAGAAAGAACAATCTTCTGCCCAGCCTGACTTTTAAAAAGTTATCCTGATTCTTTCAAACCAAAAGGCCAAGTTAGACATTAAAATTTATTTTTTTTTTTGCATCAGAATCAGGGCAATAGTTTCAGTTCCCCAGCCACATCCCCTAAATTGTATTCAATATTGATAAGAATCTTTGGCTTCAGTTTTTCTAAGTGTCCTGACCAGCTCTGACCATCCAGGTAAACAGCTGCTAACTCCATGAACAGAGCTCACAGCCCACATCCCACAAGCTCACACAGGCGTGTACCCTACATGTGAACCCAAACACACCCACGCAACAGGGACCCACCCACAGATCACAGAGTTGACAAGGATAGGGTTAAAGACCCAGCCCTGCTTGTCTCAGCTGATGCCATGTGGAACAGTGCTGGCCTGGCAGTGCCCTGTGGCTTCAGCAATCCGGCAGGCAAGGCTAATTAGTCAGTCTGAGATCCATGGGGGAAATGCTGACAAACTCAATGAGCAGCAAGTGCTTGGTCCCTCAGCGGGAGCTGAAACCACATAAAGGCAGAAGAGCAGCCGGTCCGGGGGCAGGGAAGGGCAAACAGGTGTCCTCCAAAGAAGCCTTTGTCCTGTGACCTCTTCAGCCTTTATTCCAGAGATTATTTTGGATCAGGATTAAATGAGCCTTACCAAGCACCAGGCACTGTGCTGACACTTTCTCAGACACCCATGCTTCAGGGACTGGGTGGTGGTGACAGGTAGCTGATGCCAAGGGCTCCAGGGCATCACAGGGTGCACACAATACACAGGCATCCTGGAATGTCAGTTCTCTAGCCAAAGAGGTAAGAGGCAGAGAGCACTATTTACATGGAAACGAGCATGGGCATATATTATAGAATAAAATACAAATGGCAGGAATGTTTAAGATACAGCAGAAAGCTTTAGGGTTAGGGTTATGCTCCAAGACCTGCTTTGGGCACATGGTCAGTGTTGTCTTAAGTTTGGGATATGCCATTTGGAAAGCAAAATACATCTTTACTCTTCATTCTCATCTAGCAACTCTAAGGATTAGATTTCAGAATCTCAGAAAAGAGAAGAGATAGCTTAATGACTTGCTCACCCAGCTCACGACTGAGCAGGAAGTATAAACTAAGTATGTCTGAATCCAACACCCCATTTGAGAGGGCAGCTGGCAGAACTTAAAATCCCTGTTGATATGATCCAGGATACCCACTACTAGGCATACAGCCAAGGGAAATGAAATCAATATGTCAAAGGGATGTCTGTGCTGCCATGTTCATCAGAGCACTATTCACAATAGTCAAGATATGGAATCAACCTAAGTATCCACCAACGGATAAAGAGAAAAAAGAAAATGTGATATCTGTACATAATGGAATAATATTCAGCCCTAAAAAAGAAGATCCTGTCATTTGCAGGAACATGGATGAACATGGAAGACATCATGTTAAGTGAAATAAGCCAGACACAGAAAGACAAACCACACAGTCTCACATGTGAAATTTTAAAAAGTTGGATGATAGTTACTAGAGGCTGAGGGGTAGGGTGGAGTTGGGGAGATGTTGACCAAGGGATAGAACATTTTAGTTATATAGGAAGAATAAGTTCAAGAGATCTACTGTACAGCATGGTAACTACAGTTAATAACAATGTAGCCTATACTTGAAAATCACAAAGTAGATTTTTAGTGTTCTCACCACAAAAAAAGAGAAGTATGTGAGGTAATACATATTTTAATTAGCTTGATTTAGCCATTCCATAATGCATACACATGTCGATACTTCATGTTGTACACCATAAATATATATGATTTTTGTCAATTAACAAGCTTTAAAAAACAAATTTAAAAAATCTAGAAGGAGGGCATCCAGGCTTCTCAATTATTTCCCAGGTTTTCCTGAGAGCACTGAGGGCACCCTCGCAGGTGAAGAGAGATCACTGTCCAGAAAAAGGCCCTGGACACGCCCAGAGAGGATCTGGTCATCCTCAATGTCCCAAGAGCCACATACCGGGAAGGGTGTAAGCTGACCCCACCAACTGCTCATCAGGAAACCCTGAAAAAATAAACAAAAATCGTCCTGTCCCTCAGGTGTAGTTAGGGGTTACACTGGGTTATGCAGAGAAAAAAATGTTTCTTAATTTTTCATTTCTTGTAATACACTTTCCTTTTGATGTCTTGTGACTCAGGATATCACAGAAGCCCACCAGGTGTGAAAAACGGATTTAAATTTAGTAAATACATTTGCTCACTTTCTGGACCTTGGTGGAAACATTAAATCATAGTGGTTTCCAAGTATTTCTGAAGATTAAAATATATAAAGCTTGGGTGAGTTTTTATTTCATTAGCATCTCTTCATTTCACTAATTTTCTTACATATCTTCCAAATTGAAAGATCTACAGGAGGCAGTGAAAGTTAGAGCTTCAGGCTGCCCAGTGAGGAGACTCTCCCAGGGGTATGGGGGCAGGCACTGGCAATAGACCTCCTTGGAGAACCCGGAGTCTTCTAGTCCAGGCAGCCCTGCCTGAAGGTTACATCCACACAGAGGAGCAAAAAAGTAGACTGTTTTGGAATTCACCAATTCAACAGGGAACAAAACAGTCAAAAGGTTGTGCTTCAAGGTGTCAGAGAACTGATGCAGTTTTTGTTTTGTTTTGTTTTGCTTTGTTTTGAGACAGGGTCTTGCTCTGTCACCCAGCCTGGAGTGCAATGGCTGGATCTCAGCTAACTGCAATCTCCACCTCCCAGATCCAAGAAATTCTCGGGCCTCAGCCTCCCAAGTAGCTGGGATTACAGACATGCACCACCAAGCCCAGCTAATTTTTGTATTTTTAGTAGAGACGGAGTTTCGCCATCTTGGCCAGCTGGTCTCGAACTCCTCACCTCAAGTGATCCGCGCACCTCGGCCTCCCCAAGTGCTGGGATTACAGGCCTGAGCCACCACACCCAGCCTGATGCCTAACTTGATATGACTCTAATAATAACAGTAGCAGCCCCAGCAGTGGCAGTAGATGGGGCTTACCCTGCTGCTTAATTTACTTCACCTTAACTCTGTTTCCCCTTCTTGAGCCTAACTTACTTTCCTAGCCTATAAATGAAGATGGGAGTAATTAGCCATTATTATGAAGGTTATGACAACTAACTAGCTTAAAATATGTAAAACAGAAAACACAGCATAGCACTGTGATAACGACATGCACTTGGGATCAGAGACCTGAGTCTGAGGATGTGGCCTCCAAGTTAGTTATCCTTTGAATAGCAGATGATATAAGAACAGGTGAGAATAAAAAGGTACTTAAAACAATGCCTGGCAAATGTAAGCACTCCATAAATATTAGCTTTTATTATAAACAGTAACAAAAACAAGAAGATGTAGAACTGACTATTCACTGAATGGCATCTAATAAATATTCAATGTATAAGCCTCTGTTACCTTCCTCTGACATCTTTTCCCTGTTCCCACCTGGGTGCCAGAGGAGGCTGGGAGCATACTGCATGGTAGTGAATGCATGCATCCAATCTCTGGTTTCACTCTAAACCAGAGAAAAAGAAATGATTTTGAGCTTCCCTTGGTTTTTGCCTCACTTGCACCCGGGGAGAGCTGAGTGGTGCTTGCATCTGCATTACTCTGGGCTGAGTTACCCAGGCACGTGAGGTCAAATGTAGGGCTTTCGTTAAAATTTTGTTCTGTTTATCCACCTTGATAATTCAGATAATAGCCTTATTTCTCTAGTGGATGGGGCAGTGGAGGCAGCTCACATGACATGACTTGAAAAAAAAAATCAGTGTAGGGGGGTGGGGTAGGGAATGCTGCCAATTCTGTCAATTGCATGAAAAGAAAATCAGGTCTGCAAGCTATTCCCAAATAGAAATGGGGCTGGTTCCACTAAATGTAGGTGTTAAGTAAAATGCGCAGCCCTGGGGCGCACACACAGAAGGGAGGAGGAAAACATTGCTTCTTGGGCAGCTCCTCCTAACTGCCTTCCCCTCCCCTTCATCTCCCTCACCCCCACCCAACTACTGGCCTTTAGCTGGGAGGAGGGGGCCCCGTTCTTACCAAGTAGCAACACAAAGGAACCAAGTGAGGATCTGAGGGGAACAGATGTCTTGATTTCTTCCCTGGGATTCTTAATGCTGCTTTCAGCTTAATTAGCCAACTGTGCTCCTCACATCTGGATGGGATCATGGGAGCTGAGCAAATACCCACTGGGCCCCTCAAGGATGCCTCTGTAGCTTCTCGCCCTCCAGCTCTGTCTGAGCTGAAGGAAACCAGTTAGTAGCCAGGCCTCTGTCCTGGAACTCTGAGCCATAGCCAGGAAGGACTGCAGGGGCAGGATCCAAAGGAAAGCAGGCTCCCAGGAAAAACCTGTTCTTCCCAAATGCCACCTCAGAAGCCAGCCAGGCTGTGGTCCTTTAGAGGGGGAAGGCAGGATGATGTTGGTAGGATATTAAAGGAGTTCAAGTAACAGAAAATGCCTGGCACAGTGCCTAAGCCTACTGGGAACTCAGTGTATAAGTGATGGTTCCCCAACCATCCACCTTGCCTAGTATTTTAGAGTCATTCAAAAACCTCGCAGCCCATCTACCTCATCCCTGACCAGACATGAGACCTTTTTTCTTTTCATTTTTTTTTTTATTTTTTGAGATAGGGTCTCACTCCAGGGTCTTACTCTGTCCAAGCTGGAGTGCAGTGGTACAATCATAGCTCGCTGCAGCCTCAACCTCATGGGCATAAGTGATCCTCCCACCTCAGCCTCCCAAGTAGCTGGGACTACAGGCATGGGCCATGACATGGCTAACTTTTTTAAATTATTATCTGCAAATACAGCATTTTGCTATGTTGTTCAGGCTGGTCTTGGACCTCTGGGCTCAAGTGATCCTCCCACCTCAGCCACTCATAGTGCTGGGATTACAGGTGTGAACCACCTTGCCCAGCCAGGAAAACCATTTAATCACTCTGGGCCTCATTTCCCTTGTTTGTAAAAAGGGGAAATTTTTTACTTCCTATGTCAAGTATAGGATCATGATAAAAATTATGTGACATAACACTTCTAAGGTGATTCACGAAGTGCTGCCACAAAGTGGGAGTACCCAGCGAATTAGTATTTCCATTGTTATCATTAATATGCAGATTTTTATACATGATGAAGTTCCTAACCTCTAAGTCAATTTTCACAAACCTCCTACTTCTTTGTTCATTGATTAAGAAAAACACTTAACAACCCATAGCTACTCTGGATGAAATAAATCTTTTTAATAGATTTGTATTCTTAAAAGGCTGGGCATGGTGGCTCATGCCTGTAGTCCCAGCATTTTGGGAGGGAGAAGTGGGATGATCACTCGAGCCCAGGAGTCCGAGACCAGCCTGGGCAACATAGGGAGACCTCATCTCTATTTATGTTTCAAAATAAAAACTAAATTTGTGTTCTCAAATCTAAATAAATCAAAGTCTAAATAATATCTAAAAGTTTAAATGATCTAATAATCTAAATAAATTAAATCTAATAATCTAAATATTCAAATCTAAATACATCAGGCCCTGAAAGAAATCAAAGTATTATACCCTAAAATATATTTCCTGGACGTATTTTGAAATGGCCCTGCAACACTGTCTTGTGGGGGAGGAAACTTACATTGTGTAGAGAATCCCCTTTCCTTTCCAGGTCTTTTTCTGATCCTGAAGAGATTAGCTGAGAGTCCAGCACCTTTTAAAGATCTGAATAGGAAACATTTGCTATCTATTGCCTGTAAAGTGACAGTCACCTATGAGACTTCATCTATGTAATAAGAACCTTGGTCTCCACAACTCCTTATCTTAACCCAGACATTGCTTTCTATTGATTTTAGGTCTTTAGATAATAAACTAACTCTTTTAACAAATTGCCAGTCAGAAAATCTTTTAATCCACCTATGACCAGGAAGCTGCACCAACCCTCAACTTCCCCCCAATCCCCCTTCAAGATAGCTCATCTTTTGGGACCAAACCAATGTATACTTCACATATATTGGTTGATGTCTTATGTCTCCCTAAAACTTATAAAATCAACCTGTAACCCAACCACCTTGGGCATATGTTCTCAGGACCTCCTGAGGCTGTGTCATGGGTCATGATCCTAAATGTTGGCAAAATAAATTTCTCAATTGATTTAGACCTGTCTCAGATACTTTTTGGCTTACAGTAAAAAGGCTATTTTGCACTTTTTGGGGCTTTTCTTAAGCTCTGGACTTAGAGACACATTGAGGTTTTTCAAACTCACCATCATCATTTATTTTGCATTTAAAATGACTCCCAAGACAGCCCCCCACCTCTCTCTTCTCACATGAGCCACATTGGTGGGGTGATCTAAGCCAATGTTGCAAGTCATACTTAGCCACATTAGCGTCCATTTCCTCATCTATAAATAATTTTCATCTGTATAATAGGACTCACTTCAAGGCTTGTTGCAAGGACTGACCAGTCACAGACACTGGATCCTGGGCACAGCTGGGGCCATGGCACATGTTCAATAAGTGATGCCCTTCTATCATTCATCACTCTTTCTCCCATCTCCCTCAGAAGCTAGAAACTGTTCTGGGTGCCAACTGACTGGGGCTGGCGTCAAGGGTGGTAACAGAATTTACCAAAATAGTAGTGAGTTAAAGAAAAAAAGTTTATTAGAGGGAAAGTACATTGCAAGGAAGCAATGGGCAGCGCAGCAGAGAAGGGGCTGTTGGCAAAGAGGCAAGAGCTTCAGGGAAGTTTAATAGGGTCACACTGGAGGGGCTATGTGCAGAGAAGGTCATGCTGCTGGGGCCACATATGGAGGGAGGTATTTGGGAAAAGAAAGTTGTGCCAGTGGGTTGTTTGTGGTCAGCCATCTCTCAGAATAATTGTTCCCCACCGCCCCCTACCTGGGTCCCCTTCCTCATTGTTGCTTACTTATCTTATCAGGACTCCACAAACACCCCAAAACATTTCTGATCATTGATCATTATGATGGACCAATTACATGGTGCCAACTTGTAAATCCATATTTAAGTGGTCTCCTCATAATACCTCCAGGTTCAGGAAAATCACAAACCCCTAGAAGTTCATGGACATAATTAGAGCAGATTCAGAATGATTTTTAAAACCAGTGGTTCTTATCCATGGCTGTATCCAAAATTTATAAGGAGCTCAAAGAATTCAATAGCAAACAACCAAATAATCTGATTAAAAAATGGGCAAAAGATCTGAACAGACATTTCTCCAAAGAAGATACACAAATGGCCAAAAAGCATATGAAAAAATGCTCAACATCACTAATCATCATGGAAATGCAAATCAAAACCACAATGAGATATCATCTCACCCTAGTTAAAATGGCTTATATCAAAAAGAGGCAATAACAGATGCTGGCAAAGTTGTGGAAAGAGGGGAACCCATACACTGTTGGTGGAAATGTAAATTAGTACAATCACTGTGGAGAACAGTATGGCATTTCCTCAAAAAGCTAAAAATAGAATTACTATATGATCCAGCAATTCCACTACTGGCTGTGTATCCAAAAGACAGGAAATTAGCATATCAAAGAGATATCTGCACTCCCATGTTTATTGCAGTTCTAGTCACAATAGCCAAAATATGGATTCAACCTAAGTGCCTATCAATGGATGAATGGATTAAAAAAAGAGGTATATATACAGAATGGAATATTATTCAGCCATAAAAAAGAATGAAATCCTGTCATTTGCAGTAACATGGATAGAACTGAAGGTCATTATGTTAAGTGAAATAAACTAAGCACAGAGAGACAAATATTGCACGTTCTAACTCATATGTGGGAGTTTAAAAAGGGGATCTCTTGCTGGGCATGGTGGCTCACCCCTGTAATCCCAGCACTTTGGGAGGCTGAAGCTGGCAGATCACCTGAGGTCAGGAGTTCAAAACCATACTGGCCAACATGGTGAAACCCCATCTCTACTAAAAATACAAAAATTAGCTGGGCATGGTGGTGGGTACCTGTAGTCCCAGCTGCTCAGGAGGCTGAGGCAGGAGAATCACTTGAACCCAGGAGGCAGAGGCTGCAGTGAGCCGAGGTTGCACCGCTGCACTCCAGCCTGGGTGACAGAGAAAGACTTTATCTAAATAAATAAATAAATTAATTAATTAATTAAAATAAAATAAAAAGTGGATCTCTTGAAGATAGTGTGTAGATTGGTGGGTACTACAGGCCGGGAAGGGTAGAGGGGAGGAGGGATGAAGGGAAAAAATAGAATATAAATGTACATATTACCATTAACTGTACACTTAAAAATAGTAAAGATGGCATGTATGTGTATTTTACCTCAGTAAAACACTAAGTTAAAAAAAAAAACAGGTGCCCACACATCACCCCCAGTGTAATAATAGTAATTAGTCTGCAATGGCATCTCTAGTGTCTTCTAAAAGGTGCCAAGTTCATTTCTCTCCAGCTCTTTTTCTTTCCATCCAGGCTGTCTCTCTTTTTTTCACCAAGTCCCTCCTATGCGATGCATTTTCTGCTCTCACTGGGCCATGGTGCAACATCAGCTATTCAGTTAACAACCTTATTTTGCACTTAGGCCTAGGTATATGGTGATCCCTGCCTTCAGGAGTTAACATCACAATCAATATTATCACTAACTGAGCTTCTATTATGTGCCAGTCACTGTCCTGGGCGCTCTCACCTACTTCATTTCAGGGTGTTACTATTCCAGATTCAGAGGTTTGCTACAAAGATGTCTTGCATTCTATATCTCTGTCATCATTTTTGCCAAAATGAATTAGGACAGTCCAGTGTCTGAGTTAAGATTTAGACCCTGATGTCTTCTCCCCTTAACGGGTTAGAAACCTGACGCTCTCCCCTCTGATTTCTTCCCAGGTTCTTTTCTGTTGTTATTTTGTCCCAAGGAGAGGGTATCATTTGCCATCAGCACAAGCAAGTATATATTGTGATAAAAAATTAAATTTAAAAAATTTAAAGTTTTAAAAAATTTAGAGCAGAGACATTTGGGTCCAACCACTAGAAAAAGAAACTCCAAAGATATTCAAGTTTTATCAGGAAAAAAAAAATGCCTGATGTTTCTGGGTGCCTTCACTCATTCTGGGCATTCTGATCTACTCTTAGCTGTAGGAATAACATTGCAGTAAAATGATAAGGAGCACCATACATTTTGGGGGCCCCTGTCCACAGCTAATTCAATCAATCAGTGATGGCCATCGGGCCCAATGTGATGGCCTTTGATGTGCCTCTCCCAGGAATTTGAGATGGAATCTTTGAGATGGGAGCAGAGCCGATAAAACATTAACATGTAGAGTTTAGCTGTGGAGTTAATGGCAAAGCTCCAATGCCAAGGTCAGGAACCCTGCTGCTACTGCTGTCCTAGGAGTAGCCTGATCCCCATCGTTCCTGTGGCTTAAATGGCCAGATTTTATTTAGATTCCAGCAGGTCCATAACCTTAGAATACTCTTCCTTACCTAAGCTAACTCTGGGCAACTTCTGTTCCCAGCAAATACATGCTTTCTAAGATAAATTGGTTTTGCTTTAAAAAAAAAGTACCTCCTTTGCAAAAATATGACAGACATTCTCTCTTGAGCTCCAGATCATACACAGAGGCTTGCAGCTGAGGCTGAGGAAGCGACAGAGCAGGCCTATCCCATTTTATCAGTGGGGGAAGGGAAAGGAATAAGAGCAGAAGGCCTGGCCTAGGCCCAAAAAAAAAGGGCAGAAATGAAGAGATGACTTATCCGGGTGCGGTGGCTCATGCCTGTAATCCCAGCACTTTGGGAGGCTCAAATGGGAGAATCGCTTGAGCCCATGAGTTCAACACCATGCTGGGCAATATAATGAGACCCCCATCTCTACAAAAAAATAAATAAAAACTAGCTGGGCATGATGGTGCACAGCTGTGGTCTTGGCTACATGGAAGGGTGAGGTGGGAGGATTGCTTGAGCCAGGGAGGTTGAGGCTGCAGTGACCTGAGATCGCGCCACTGCAATCCAGCCTGGGTGACACAGCAAGACCCAAGAAAGAAAAGAAAGAAAGGAAGAAATAAGGAAAGAAAGAAAGAGAGAGAGAGAGAAAGAAAGAAAGAAAGAGGAAAGAAAGAGAAAGAAGAAAGAAAGAAAGACAAAGAAAGAAAAAGAAAGAAAAGGAAAGAAAGAAAGGAAAAGAGAAGAAAAGAAAGGAAAGGAAAGAAAGAAAGAGAGAAAAGACAAGACAAGACTTTTGTACTTTTGTTCCCTGTTCACTCCTCACTTGCTGCCAGCTTTCTGGCTGCCACAAAGACGGGCTGGGTTGTTTCCCAGTCTGAGCACTTCTTGTCTGGGAGCTGAGACAGGAATAAAGCCACAACCAAACTGGCAGATACCTTTGCCAAGCCAGTAAACTGCAGTTCATGGGAAAGGTGAGCTCATCCAAGATGGTAATCACTAATGAAAAACTGTGCAAGACATGAAAATAGCTTTTTTATAGGGGGCCTGGAAACCAAAATAGAACAGCTTTTGAAAGTTTTATGTGTCTGTATGTAGAGCGTATGTGGTTTGTGTGTGCCTGCATATCTGCCACTTACTGTGTGTCCTTGAACAAGTTATTTAACTTCTTTGAGCTTTAATTTCTCTACCCATTTTTTAAAAAAAAAGAATAATAAGGCTGGGCGTGGTACCTCATGCTTGTAATCCCAGCACTTTGGGAGGCCGAGGTGGGCCAGTCACGAGGTCAGGAGATCGAGACCATACTGGCTAACATGGTGAAACCCTATCTCTACTAAAAATATAAAAAATTAGCTGGACATGGTGGTGGGCACCTGTAGTCCCAGCTACTCAAGAGGCTGAGGCAGGAGAATGGCGTGAACCCAGGAGGCAGAGCTTGTAGTGAGCCAAGATTGTGCCACTGCACTCCAGCCTGGGTGACAGAGTGAGACTCCATCTCAAAAAAAAAAAAAAAAAAAGAAGAATAAAATATATGCCACGTCCACACCATGGCTCATACCTGTAATCCCGGCACCTTGGGAGGCTGAGGCAGGTGGATTGCTTGAGCTCAGAAGATCGAGACTGCCTTGGCAACCTGGTGAAACCCTGTCTTTACGATAAAAAAAAAAAAAATACGGGTAGCATGCACCTGTAGTCCCAGCTACTTGGGAGGCTGAGACAAGAGAATCACTTGAGCCTGGGAAGTTGAGGCTGCAGTGAGCCATGATTGAGCCACTACACTCCAGCGTGAGTGACAGAGTGAGACCCTGTATTAGTCCATTTTCATACTTTATAAAGAACTGCCTGAGACTGGGTAATTTATAAAGGGAAGAGGTTTAATTGACTCACAGTTCAGCATGGCTGGGGAGGCCTCAGAAACTTACAATCACGGTGGAAGGTGAAGGGGAAGCAAGGCACCTTCTTCACAAGGCAGCAGTAAGGAGAAGTGCCCAGCAAAGGGAGAAGAGCCCCTTATAAAACCATCAGATCTCATAAGAGCTCACTGTCATGAGAACACATGGGAGAAACTGCCCCCATGATTCAATTACCTTCACCTGGTCTCTCTCTTGACACATGGGGATTATAATTCAAGATGAGATTTGGGTGGGGACACAAAGCCTAACCATATCAGACCCTGTCTCAAAAAAGAAAAAAAAAATCTATACCATATGGTCATTGCCAGGCTTAAATGACCTAATATATAATGCCTGGCATATAGTAAGCACTCAATAAGCAGTAACTACTTTTCTCATATTGCTTTTGCCTTTTTCTTTTTTCTATGTTTTTCATTTTTAAAAAATAGATTTAAGTGATACAAGTGCACTTGTGTTAGGTGGATATATTGCATAGTGGTGAACTCAGGGCTTTCAGGGTACCTGTCACCCAAATAGTGCACATTGTACCCAATAGGTAGCATTTCATCCCTCACCGCTCCCACCACCTTCCCACCTTTTGGAGTCTCCAGTGTCTACTATTCTACTCTATATGTCCATGTGTACCTATTGTTTAGCTCCCACTTATAAATGAGAACACTTAGGATAATGGCCTCTATTCCATTCAAGTTGCTACAAAAGACATGATTTCATTCTTTCATATGGCTGTATAGCATTCTATGATGTACATATACCACATTTTAAATCCAGTCCTCCATTGATGAACACAGGTTGATTCCATGACTTTGCTATTGTGAGTTGTGCTGTGTTAAACATACGAATGCAGGTACGTTTTTGATATAATGATTTATTTTCCCTTAGGTAGATACCCAGTAGTGGGACTGCTGGATCTCATGGTAGTTCTACTGTTAGTTCTTTGAGAAATCTCCCTACTATTTTCCATAAGAGTTGAACTAATTTACCTTCCCACCAACAGTGTATAAACGTTCCCTATTCTCCATATTCTTACCAACATCTGGTTTGTTTGGTTTTTTTGACTTTTTAATAATAGACATTCTGACTGGTGTGAGATAGTATCTCATTGTGTTTTTTATTTGCATTTCTGTGATTAGTGATATGAGCATTTTTTTCATATATTTGTTGGCCACTTATAGATCTTCTTTTGAAAAATGTCTCTTCAATCCTTTGCCCACTTTTTAGTGGGGTTGCTTGTTCATTTTTTCTGGTTGCATGAGTAGCTTTTTTTTAATCCTGTGTCTGGTCCTACATCATGATGCCTCCTAGCCCTTTGCTAGCTGAGTAGGATGGATTTAATTCCAACAGCATTAAACGTACCCCTCTACTCTGACAACAGAAACCCCACAGCATTCTTCCGGTATAATTTTTTTTCCTTTATGGGAAAGTTGTTGAAGGGGTGAGGCAGAAGAGGAAGCACCAGGGAATGGGCTGAGTGCGTGTCAGCACTTAGCATCCTTCGCCCCTGCTCCCTGTCCCTATCACCTTGCCCAGATTCGTCCAGGTGTCCAGAGCAGAAACTGCATTGAGTTCTAGAACAGTCTGAGTGCAAGTCACACAAGAAATTGGGTCTGACCAACTCAAGGTTTCATATTTTAATAGGGCCAATATTTTTTAAATCAGATTTTATATTTTAAGAAGTCCAGACTTCTGGTCCCTCCTGAAAAGTCACAAATCAGGTTACCCTGGGCCCTCCTTCCTCTGTGTCAACAACAAATAGGCTGGTACTCAGTAGTGCATGCCTCTTTTAGTTGAGGCAGGCGGTGTTCAGTTTGCCACAGTCCCCACCATTCCCCATTGCTATCCCTCATGTACATGGTTTGCCTGGCCCCATGGGCATCTGCAACATTTTGCCTAGAGCCACATACTTAGCTACTTTCCCAGCTAAACGCTTACTCTCTCCATGGGTCCATTATTTTGTGAGAAGACAATCAGAACGAGTCCTGCAGGGTCCCATAGGGTCCCCTGAAGTCCTTAGAATGATGCCACAAGAAGAAGTCAAGATGATTATGCCCTCTGAGCTCCTGTCTTCATCAAGAGAGATGGCATCATATCCCCACAGCTGGTGCCTTAGATGAATGGCCCTGATGAGAAGTTCTCAGTCGTGTTCTCACTGGCCTATGAGTGACATGTGGGGAGATTTATGTGTGTTTTTTCCAGCTATGAAGGCCTTGGTCTTCTTGGAAATCATGCTAGGGCTCCACTCACCCTGAGACTGGACATTGCATAATTCCCTGGCAATCAGACCCCAGGGAGATCTAAAAAAAAAAAAAAAAAAGGAGGCCGGGCGCGGTGGCTCACGCCTGTAATCCCAGCACTTTGGGAGGCCGAGGCGGGTGGATCATGAGGTCAGGAGATCGAGACCATCCTGGCTAACAAGGTGAAACCCCGTCTCTACTAAAAATACAAAAAATTAGCCGGGCGCGGTGGCGGGCGCCTGTAGTCCCAGCTACTCGGGAGGCTGAGGCAGGAGAACGGCGTGAACCCGGGAAGCGGAGCTGGCAGTGAGCCGAGATTGCGCCACTGCAGTCCGCAGTCCGGCCTGGGCGACAGAGCGAGACTCCGTCTCAAAAAAAAAAAAAAAAAAAAAAAGGAGCACTGGACTGGGAATCTGGCACCCAGAGTGTGTGAATTCATCTCCCCCATGTCATTTCTCTGAACTTTGGCCTCTCCTGTGAATTAGGAAGATTTAAGGAGAGGGACTCAGAGGCTCAGTTTGGTGCTAACTTATATAAGGCAGAGTCAGTAACTCTGGTTCTGTTGGGAATAGAACTGCACAATGACTCCAGGGGCCTCAGTTGTTGTTCAGAGCTGGTCATGCCCGTGATTTCCTATTAGAGACAGGCCGAGCTGAAAACTCCCAGGCCTCTGAGCCCCAGCATTAACAGGGAGATTAGCTAGAAACCTTTGTTTCTTGCTGCTAGATGGTTCATTTACAACCCAAAAATGCATGGTAGGTGGGTGTCAGAGAAAATGGAATCTCAGGCTGGGGTTAGGAAAGCAGTAAAAACATGAAGAAAAGAAAAAAACATTAAGAGCAGGAAGGATGGGGGCAGAAAAAGGAGGTGAACAGAGACAGGCTCCTTGTTAAAGAGCTACACAATTTTGGACTAAAAAAAAAAAAATTAAATCCTGGGGAATAAAAGCACTAAAAAGAGGCATCAATTTGTGTGACTCATCCTGGTGCCACCCAAGCTCCTGGGGACATTCAG
Source organism: Homo sapiens (assembly GCF_000001405.40). NCBI lineage: Eukaryota > Metazoa > Chordata > Mammalia > Primates > Hominidae > Homo > Homo sapiens. The sequence goes on along the minus strand of NC_000010.11, from coordinate 104,488,275 downwards.
AGGCTCGGCCTCACCCTCCCTGCCCCGTGCTCTGTCAGAGTGCACTCTGCTCAACTTGCTCCCCCTGTCCCGTTTGTCTCTCCCCACTCCAAGCCCTGGCTGCTTCCAAAGGAGTCCTCGGTGCTATAAGCCATTTTCTTAGATTGCATCTAATGTAAAATGTTCCACTAGAATAACTCTGTTTTCATTTCACCAAGCAAGAGAAAAGAACCAAGATGCTTTGAAAAAGCAGCCAAGCCCAGGCACTTTTAATAGGCTAGTGGGTGGGGTAATAGTGCTTTAACATAGACTCAAAGTAAAAGCTCCAGAAAGAGAGACAGAGAGGCAGGGGACAGAGATGGGGAGGGTGGAGAGAGAGGGAGGGCAGGGGAGGGGGGAGGGAGAGAGAGAGAGAACGAGAACAAGAGAGAACGAACGACCTCTCAGGGTAGGTTTTTTGAACAGCCTCTCAAACTCTGATACTTACCTGAAATCTAAGAAGCCTCTAGGAAAATGAGTGCTCACTGCCATGTCCTGGCCCATCAACAATATCAATAAGGCAGCCCTGGGATGGTGTCAGATCCCTACAGCTGGTGCCTTTGAGGGACAGCCATATGCTAGCTGGCCTATGGTGACATTTTGGTGAGACCTATGTGTGTTTTTTCCAGAACTGGTATAAAGGCCCTGGTCTCCTGGGAAATCGTGCCAGGGCTCCACTCACCCTGAGACTGCATGTCACATAGTCCTCTGGCAAAGAGACACCAGGGAGATCTAAACCCAGCCAACTCATGGCTGGAGAGCGGTCCTCTTCTAACCCTGAGTTCTGGAACTTTCTTTGAGAAGGTGGAGTGGAAGGGAGTAACTCTCTCTACTGCTAATGACTTTTTTTTATCATTAGCAATCACATGCAAGCTCGACCCCTCCAATCCACCCTCCTCACTGCAGCCAGAGTTGCCAAGGAAACCTGAATCTGATTCTGTCGGGGGAGAATGTCATCTGCTAAAAAACCCTGTAGCCACTTCCCGTTTTCCAGAAGAACTAAATCCTTAATGTGACCTAAGAAGGTGGCCATACATTCTTTCATCCAAACCAAGACACTATTCCTAGTTTGCTAGGGAAACAAGAGTAAACCAGGACTGTCCTTGGCAAACTGAGATGTATGGTCCCCCACCATTCAGGCTCTGCATGGTCTGGCCCCAGGCTCCCTCTCCAGCTCTGCCTGCTTTCCTGCTTCGCTCCACTTTCTAGCCATCCTGACCTTCTTTTACTCCCCAGAATTCTTTGTGCTCTTTCCTACCACAGGACCTTTGCACATGCTTGTCCCCCAACCTGGAAACCCTTTGGCCATCTTTAACCAGGTAACACCAACCCATCACTCATATCTCAGCTTAACTTGGAAGAGAGGCTTTCCCTGACCTCCTCTCCCCAACCCACAGCAAGCCCAGGTAAGATTCCTTTGTTATGTGTTCCCAAAGAACTATGTTTATTTCCATTCCATCCTTTATTGCCCTTTGTGGTTACTTACTCATTTGTGTAATTATCTGACTGCTGTCTGTTTCCCTCAGAAGACTGTGAACTCCATGAGGAGAGGGATTGGCTATGCTCTGCTTTTAACACACTTAGCACCCAGCTCAGTGCCTGGAATACAGTGGGTGATCGATCGCTCCATGACAAATTAATGATGACAGGCTCAAGCCTCTTCTAGAACTCAAAGAGAAACTTTATTTGGGCCCAATCCCCAAGCTGTGGACCTACCTTATATCTGGTCCTCATGCTGCCCCTGCCTGCCCCAGAGTATTCACCCTTCCCCCTGTCCTTCCATCTACCCTGGTCTCTCCCTACCCAGAGTCACATATAGTCTGGGCCACCAAATGTAGCACTGGATTGTATCCTACTTTGGAACATTCTTGAGTGATTTCATGGGTAGCAGTCATGTCTCCCCAGCTAATTAAACTCAAGAACATGAGCCTCAGAGGTGGAGGGAATCACCAAGTTCATCCAACTCTCTACTCAAGTGGTTCTCAATTTTTTTTCTGCCCCAGCCCACCTGAGATACGCACTCTCTCCGCAGACTTTAGCTCAGTGACTAAGAACACACATTGGAAGACAGACTGCTTGGGCTCAAATCCTGGTTCCACCACGCATTAGCTGGGAGACTTTGGGCAAGTTGCTTTACCTCTCTGTGTCCTCATCTGTAAAATGGGGATGATAATTACATCACCCTTATAGGGTGATTAAGAGGGTAAGATGAGTTTCATGTGTGTAAAGCATGAGAACACAGCCTGACACATACTAGGTGTACAATGAACAATGTGTACCATTTTATCAGGAACACACTAGCAGTGATTCTGGGCCAATGGGGAATGGGTAGATTTAAAATCTCAAAGTGATTCCCAAGTCATTTAAACACGCATTCCCTAGGAGATGTCTCTCCCCATTGTCCCTCACACACTGTCATGGAAACCACTACCCTAGTGGCTAAAGTCTGTCAATGCAGAGACACTTCTGATATCTTCCCTGACTTCATTTCAGGGTCAGAGAAATCACCGCCTCCTGAAATAGGCCAATCACATCAGACACAGCTTCTGTCCTTTATTCATTCAACGAACATTCTGTGAGGCACTGAAGGTTAAGGAAACCCCTCAGACTGGGGGGATCATGTCTCTTTTCTCCACTAATTTACTCCCTGTGCCAGGCATAGTCTTGGCACATAGTGGGTTCCCAATAAACATTTTTGACCCATTAACCACTTTATGCCAGGCACTGATCTAGCACAAGGAGATCCAGCAATGAGTAAAAAAGACACAGCCTCTGCCTCAGGGAGTTCACAGTCTAGCTGGAGAGATAAAGACCTTCCTTAAGAAGCCATTACATTACAGTATGCTAAGTGTGGGCCCGGAGGACCGGGTCAGAGAAGTACAGAGTGCTATGAAAGCATGTAGGAGAAGCACCTAACCCAGACTTGGGGAGCCAGGGAAGACTGCCTGGAGGGAGGGAGGTTTACCATTTACCACTTAGACATAAAGGATGAAAAAGAGTCAGCCAGAAGTTTTGGTGGAGGAAGGGTGCTACAAGCAGATGGAACAGCATGTGTGAAGGCTCTGCGGAAAGAGGGAAAGGAGTAGCCAAGGAACTGACGAAAATGTGGGGCAATAGAATTGTTGGAGATAAAGGAAGAATGTCTGGGGAGAACTTAGTGAAGGGGCCAGGCCACTTTATGCAGGGCCTAGGAAGCCACACTAAAGCATACGGACTTTATCCTAAAGCAGTGGGAAACATCAGATGGATATTTATAAAGCAATTGCCATGTGTTAAGACTGGGCTGAGTGTTGTGGATAGGGAGGAAAACAGACACAATCCTTGCCCTCATAACTTTATATTCTAGTGCAGGGAACAAACGTGAATCCAATAATGCCGAAAAAATACATCTGTAATCATAAAGAGAGAGAAACAATCCAGACAGCCCTGCTCGGACCTTTCTGTGGTGAAGGGAATGTTCTATGCCTGCGCTGTCCAACATGGTATAGCCACACATGGCTGGCAAGCACTTAGAATGGATTTAAGATGATGGAAGAACCAAATGTTTACTTAATTTTTTCAGCTTAAATTCTAATTTAAATAGCCAGTAACTAGCCTTATTGCACAACACAGAAATAAACGAACCCAGTTCTCAAAGCCAGTTATTTTGAGATTTTAAATCTACTCCCCCTCAACCCTGAGACTCACTGCTTGCGTGTTCCTGACAATGATAGCCATTGTCTATTGTGAACCTACTATGTGTCAGAGAGCACATAACAAGGAAGCTGGTCTCAAGAAGGGGATCAGGGCAAGTGTTCCTGGGGGAAGTGACACAGTTAGGACCTCAATTATGAGATAGTAGATTATGTTGATTGGTTTATCTCAATACCCCTAATATGCAATGGAAAGAACACTAACCTAGAATACACAAGATTTGGGTTCTGGCCCCAGCTCGGTATCTTACAAGCCAGGCAACACATTATTCAAATCCCTAATTTGCTCTGAACCTCAATTTCCTCATCTGTAGAATTGGAATAATTGTCCTACCCAATTCACAGAACTGTTATGAGGATCAAATGAAAGTCTATATATTAAAAATCTTGAAAATTATAAATACCAAATGAATGAAAGATATGATTTTAATACCTTTTTCTTCTCATTACAAAAGTAATACATGCCTACTGTAGAAAATTTGGAAAATGTAGAAAGTGTCAAAGATGAAAATCTAAAAATATATATTTCTCTCTTTTCAGTTATTTTTTTCTTTACATATGTGAGTGTATAAATACTTTTTTAAACAAAAACTGGGAGCATCCTCGCATGCTGTTTTGTAGCCACTTTTTTCCCTTAGCAATATATCATGAACCTTCTCCCGAGTCATTAGTTTTTCTACAACATGGTTTTCAATAGCTACAGAGTGTTCTGTAAAATGCTGTCATTTTACCTTCAGAGCCCATTACTTCCTTCATTAGCAGGTTGAGAGTGACTTAAGGGAAGTCCCCAACCACTTTTTCTCCCACCACAAACCTGGCACTGGGCCCAAGGACACTGCCGGCATATTCAAACTCCAAAGTACCAGGTTCCTAGAATCCATTGCCTTGATGCCAGTGAGCAAACCAAAGAGGTCTCCCGGGGAACTCACCCGATCCCGCCTGTATCTGTGCAATGCCATCCCCAGGCCCTGGAATCAAGTCAGGCCAAGACGGCAGTTTTGCCTGATTCGAGCACCCAGTGCTGTGTGGGTGGAATTCCTCAGGGGGTGACCCTCAATCTCCCCTCACCAAACCACTGCTATGCCAGTCATTTGAGGAATAACTTCCTTTCTTTGTCACCTGTAAGCTTCACTGGACTGTAATATTTTCAAAGTTCTGGTGGGCCTGGACCCTCCAAGCAGCACTCCTGCCGAATTGGTTTTCAGACTGTGCCACTTTAAACATGATTCAAGAAAAATTACTGGAGCCTCCACTCCATCTATCTCTGGAAATGGTCTTTGTGCTCAGATCATTTGCCAGCGACACTCCATCTCCACAATTACCTCGGCTGTTTTATCTTTATCTGTCTGGAACACTGAAGGGGAAGCAGCAGATAATGCTGTCATTTAAGTGACTTGTTCAGCTTAAATACTTTTGCACCTCTGGAGCATAAAATACCCCCACTGCAGCCCTGGTCTTCCCTGGAGGACCAGCCCCTATGCTGTCTTAGAATTTAAGTATGATCAAGGGGCAGGGGTGGTGGGGGAAGCTGCCAGCAAAATGCTTGGTGCATAACGGGGCTGCATCCCTTAGGAATGCAGGGATGGGACTGACTACCTGGCCATAGTTGGAACTTCACGTGCCTCCTGACCCCCAGGTGGCCTCACACCATAGGTGGGTATTTTAACAACTCTCTAGTACTAGCATGGCTTCTCTGAAACTGGAATTATTCTGCAATGGACCAAGTTTTGGCATGCCTGAAAGGTCAAGAAGGAGGAGCAAGGACCAGACAGCTGGGATGTTAACCTGCCTGATATTTCTCTACTGACGTATCTTTTTAAGCACTTGCTATACGAACATACTATAGACACCAAGAGAAAGAAAGATGCTACCTTGTGCCTCCTGCCTGCAGGGAGATAAACTATGGCAAGATAATGAACAAAACAAGGTAGTGCATGCCAGGTTAATAACAGCTAGCGTTTGTGGTGCTATTACCACGTGCCAGGCATTCTGTTAAGCACTTCATCACATTTTCTTATTTATTCCTCGTAACTATGCTATGAGGTGCTACACGATGAGCCTCATTTTTCAGATGAGAACACTGAGCTATAGTGAGATTAAACCACTTGCCCAACATCGCACAAGCTGTCATTGCAGCCTGAGCTTTCCTCTCCTTAAGGAAGACACCACTGCATCCACAGGGAACAGTTATGAGATGAAGAAGAGGGAGCCCCGCCCCACTTCCGAATAAATCCAGTCCATTGGCCATTTCTAGTAGCAGGACCAGAGATCCAGAAAAAGAATGCACAGCAGCCCCAGCAAGTGGAGAACCTAGCTCACCAGTCCCAGTATCCTCCAGAGAAACAGCCCTATATATTCTGCCTAAGATGTGGCCCTTTCCATATTCTCTTCGCCTCAAGAGGGAAATTTTTTTTTTCTTTCTATTCATGTCTCCCTTAAAAATGAGATTCCATTCCTTCCATGCAAGGGCTGGGCCCAAATCAGCAAGAATTCCAGCTACATGGGCCAGGGGAGGGTCCTGGGAGTCCAACCAGGTCATTTCCTGGAGGAGCCTGAATCAGACATGACCCAAGAAGTCATACAAATCCAAGGTAAAGAAGGGAGCCAAAAAGAGCCCATGACAGTGCAAGACAAGCCACATTGGGCCCAGACCCCAGGTGGGACACTCAGGGCAGAACCAGGAAACAAGGTGTGAGGTCTGGCTCAGCTTGTGGCCCCCGAAGCAGGCTCTGAGATAAGGTTTGGGGGTCGGTGGTTCCTTTGGGAGGTGATCCTGCAAAGCAGCAGTAGGAGATGGGGAACTAAGACAAGGAAAGGAAGGAGGCAAATACAGGGTGTATGATAAGAAGTTCACCATTTGGGACAACTGAGACTCCATCACACTGGGGAACTGTGGGAGACCACGTAGAACATATTTCAGGGTTGTCCCACCAGAGGAGTCAGGGAGCTGGGGTAGTTACTCCTACCTCCTTCCCATTAATAGCTGAGGGATGCTCCACATGTGATAACTCCAGGCATTTCAGCCTGCCCCACCTGCTCAGGCGAAACTGGGTCCCCCTGCAGCCAGAGGAAGCCCACAGGCAGGCAGTCTTGGGTGCTTGCAGAAAAACCCCTCGTTGGCTGAGCCCAGGAACTGCTGAGGTCAGAACAGAGCAAACAGAAACTGGGAGGGAAAGAGTGTAAGAAAACGGTTAAAATCCTCAAGGTGACAAAGGGGACAGAAGGACTGTGAGCTCACCAGTGTACCTGGCCGATGACCACATGACACAGAGGAGGTGGGGCTGGGGTTTCCAGGGTCAGGGCTGGGCTAAGGAGGAAGCAGCTCCCATGGGCATACCATGTCCATGCCCCTCACGGACCTGCTCTGTGTTCCCTTCCCTGTCCTAGGGATGAGCTGGACAACCAACCTGGGCGTCAGACTCCAGGAAATGGCAGGGTCCTTAGTCCTCCTGTCACCTTCTAGCTTCTCTCTCTTCCCCCATTCTGCCCTGCCTGAAACCCCATGCACTTGCTCCCTAGGTGAGGGCAGCGTGACATTTCTAAGATGATATCTCCTCTCTCTCCAGCCCAGACCCACAGCCTGACCCTGTGACAAAGGCCCCAGAGCCATCACTCTGCAAATAACTGTGGCTGGGTGAGAGGTACCAAAGCCAACGTGATGATCTGAGACAGACACCTGTAATTTCACATTCAGAAAAACCCAGACCTTCAAACAGAAGTGCTATTTCAATTTTCTCACTCCCATTCTTCTTTAACCTCAGACTAAGAGGGGAATAAACCCTCTTTGATTTGTAGACTGAATTCTTTAAAGAGACAGCTTATTCTTTTTCAAATTTATTTTTTCCTTTTGCTTGGGGCAGACACCAGGGTCCCAAAATGGGAATTTGGTACCTTGGTTAGATGGCTCAAACTGCCAAAAGTTACTATAGGGAATACTGCACTACCAATCCATTTTTCCTGCTAATCCAAAAGTCAAATAAGTCCATGGAGGGCTTTTTTTTCCTCTAGAATTTCAGGCTCCCTGAGGGCTAATTTCTCGGAAAGCTGCATTAAACTAATAGCACCATAAAAGGCCCATTGTGAGATGTAATTGGTTTGCAGGACTTCCTATAAAAATAATAAAAAGACTGCCAGAGGCAGTTTCCAAAGGTCAATTATCTTTGTGTTGCTTGAGTTGAGTGGAGGTCAGTCCCAGAATTCCACTTTATAGGCATATTAATCAAAACTGGGCCTGCCCACCCATCTGACCCCATCAGCTGTGAGGGAAGTCACAGGTCCCACCCTTAAGCTGGTTGCCAAATGGTGTTTTGGGCTCTTCTTTTCCCAAGAAGAGACTAGCCCATTGTCACCAATGCAGAGCTGGAAGCTGAAATTGTTAAGGCAGAATGAAAGGGAGAAAAGCACGTCCTGAGCACCAAGAAGAAGATAACTCGGTGAGTCACGCAGGCCATGGGGCAGGCAGTGTGCTCAGAGACCAGGCTAGACAGGGCCCTATTCCCAAGGAGCTAGGGAAGTGGTTGAGCCAGAACTCTTGGTTATATTTGGCATAAACCAACTTAAACTAGATTAAGCGAAAGTGAAGTTTAGTTGGCTAACATAACTGGGAATCTTAAGGATGGATGGATCCAAGGGCTCAAACAATGCCAACTGTTCTCGTTCTCTCTCTCTCTCTCTCTCTCTCTCTCTCTCTCTCTCTCTCTCTCTCTCTCTCTCTCTCTCTCTCTCTCTCTCTCTCTCTCTCTCTCTCTCTCTCTCCCACCCCCCCCCCGCCCCCTCCCCTTCCCGCTTCCCGTCTATCTCTGCCCTGCTGGGCCTTTCTCTCAGGCACGCTCTCTGCCACGTGGCAGTCAAGCAGACATCAGGCTTCTTGCCTCTCTTCCCCATTGAGCTATCTCAGCATAAAGAGGGACTTTTTCTCCTACTGTTCATCAATTCCAGGAAAAAACTTGCTAGCCCTGTGTGGTTCACATGCCTACTCCAGACACTCCAGACCAATCATTGTATCCAAGGGGTTGTAATTATCTGATTTGCTGAGACTGGGTCACATGCCCACCCCTGCCCACCCACTCCTGGTTTTACAGGAACAGGGTTTTCTGCTTTCTCCTGCTCAAAATAAAATCTGAATAACAATTGCTCTTGCAAGGCCCTAAGTTCCTAAAATAATGAATTATTCTCAAGCCCTAGAATATGCAACTCTCAATAAGGATGCATGGAAAAGTATGGAAGGATGTGCCAAAATATTAACAATGCTTATGCCTAAATGCTAGGTGTGACTTTTTACCCTTACTATGTATCATGTTTTCTAATCTTTCTGCAATGAAAATTTATTGCTTGTATAATTTTTTTTTTTTTTTTTTTGAGACGGAGTCTCACTCTGTCACCTAGGCTGGAGTGCAGTGGCATGATCTCGGCTCACTGCAAGCTCCGCCTCCCAGGTTCACGCCATTCTCCTGCCTCAGCCTCCGGAGTAGCTGGGACTACAGGCGCCCGCCATCACACCCGGCTAATTTTTTGTATTTTTAGTAGAAACGGGGTTTCACCGTGTTAGCCAGGATGGTCTTGATCTCCTGACCTCGTGATCCGCCCGCCTCGGTCTCCCAAAGTGCTGGGATTACAGACATAAGCCACCGCGCCCGGCCTGCTTGTATAATTTTTAAAAGGAAAAAATAATCCTCGAAACTTATTGATCTAATTACTTTGATTCTATATGCACCAAGCAGCCCTTTGAGGACCTAAATTGGTTTCCAAAGTCAACTTTGCTACTGAAGAGAGATGGGCCAACCATCCAGAACACTCAGTGGCCATGTCTTTTAATAATGCTACTCAACCATGCTGAGTATCAAGTCTTGGATATATATATCTCCTGCTCGCAAAGTGCCAGCTCAACAGCCAGCCTCTTCTTGGCCCAATCTGATGGCAGCATCATGAGGTCCTGAAGGATAAAAGTGTGTGCCTTCTCACAATAGCCCTGCTGTGGCTGGCCACATTTGTGGCTGACCACAGAGCAATTACTCATTAGCAGCTGAGTAAAAGCCAGTGCATTTTCTATCATCTACATGAAGGGGTGGGCTCTTGATATAATCAGTGACAGTTCACACTGAGTATGAAAGGGATGCGCGGTTCCTGGGAGCAGCAGCAGAAATGTTCCACCTAGGGTCAGGAGTTCCATAAAGAGTCATTTCTGTGTTGGGAATAAAGGTGGACATTATCAGACCTTTGAAATAGCTGAAACTTAGATCTTGATATTTGAATAGGATCAAAGGGCCTTGGCATAATACAGTACTTTTTATGGACTCCTTTGTCACACAGGTATGGAGATACGCATGTATTCAGTCAAAAGTATTTTTAAATTTTTATATCTAGGCTCATCTTGGAAGAGATAGGATTACTGGCCAAATAAGGAATAAAATTATTCAGGCCCGTTGATGCATCTTAGATGTGAAACTAAGTGATTAAACACCAAGCTACATTTATAATATTCACATGGACCCTAAACCTGGTATTTTTCCCAAGAAAAATAGCTATTATTCATAACTAAACTAATGTTTACCATTCATCTTCTATGATGTACTCCTATTATTTTAAGTGGTCTCTTACAACAACCCTAAGAATTTTTCAAGATGGGAAGTTAATGAATAATACTAGTGATTGGAAGAACCAGAATTTAACCCAAGTCTGATTCTGTCCCATCCTTCCCACATGCCCACATACCCTTCTCAGCAACACCCCAACTATACCTGCATATAGTATGCCTATCTGTAGACATCTCAGATGTGATTAACTCATGTAGTGTTTGCAGGCCACATTTTCTGCATCTTCCACATATTAATATGGGGCCAATGGAAAGGGATGCCAAGTGAAAAAAAAAAACTCAAATAAAAAAACAGAAGGTAGAGTTAACTCTGCAAGAGCTAAATCAATTTAACTCAAAGAGTCCGTCTTACACTACATAGAAAGTACCAGCTGAACAGTGGGCTCTGAACCAGCTTGGCCCTTTCTGGCTTAAATACAACCTCGCTGGAGGAAATTTCCTGAAGTGTCAGGTGGGCATAATTCTAAACATAATGCTAAACATCAGCAGGGAAATAAGCCCTGTGGTTATAAATCCCATATGAAATAGTAAAAATGTCTCTGACTAGATAACAGCATGACACAACAATGTTCCAGAAAGACAAACATAAATGTAAGTTGCTGCCTACTTTAAAGAAGAAGAAGTAGTGACAAACTCCCTGTAGCCACTTTGCCAAGTCCTTCATATTAGTGCTTGGAAAGTTACAGGGCCTCAGGGTCTGTTCTCAGACAACGCTTTCTAGGAGGGGTGCCCTCCAAACTGGGTTTATTTCTTCTAATGCTCAGGCTGGGGAATGTACAAATCTTTCTTCAGAGGTTTATAGAAAACAAGACTGGCTTATTGAGAGTATGGCTTTTTGTTGTTGTTCTTTACAATAACAAGAGGATTTGGATACACACTTGGGTTTCTAAAGTATAAATCCTGCTTAAATCCATAGAAGTTAAGAAGACGTGATGGTACTTTGGAGAAGAAAGCAACACCTGAGTCAAATTGCACTGAGCAACGTTCTTTGTTGTTGTGAGATATTGATAAATCTCCAGGTCTTCAACAAGGGGAGTCGAGAATAGGAAACTCATTTCAAATCATATCTCAGGTAGGCGTCTGAACCAAAATAAGATGAAAGTCATTAATTTTTTTTCTATTAAGCCACCTAGCACAAGTGGAATCATTCTCTCCTTTTCTTATTTTGACCTGAAATCTGTTAAAGACAAGAGCCAAGATTCCTATTCCAAATCTTCAGAGAACTGCACAAAACTGTTCGTTTCTTTTTTCCTTAACGAAAACAAGATGTGAACAAAACTGTCACTTAATATGTTAATTAATACAGGGAGATATAATTAGCTGCTACAAGCATTCCTTTCTCATCTCAACCATCACTGACACCAAGGAGGTTAACATCTCTATTGCTGTTAGGGTAATAAGCCACCTGATGGATAGGTGTGTTCTACTTGTCTTAATTTGGTCACACAACATCTCAAACTAATTTCAGAATAATCTCCAAAATCCTCTTCATAGATAAAAACAGAGGCAGAGAAAAAATGCTTCCTCGGGCAAATTTTCACATCTGTAAACATAAACAGCCTTATACCAAATCACTTAACTTTCCGTAAAAACATAAATATGGGTCGCAACAGTAAGACTGCCCAAACTTTGCAACTCAGGGCAAAGCTAGAACAATCTCTCCAGTAACAAACTAAAGAGTGCTCAAGTATTTAACCACCTAAACTAAAAACCATACTATCACCAGTTTACATAACACCCCAGAACAAAAAGATTAAAACACCATCTTCACTAGGCCGTGTTTAGGTGAGGTTGTGCACTGTTTATGCTATTCTTGGCTTTCCTTTTATTTCAAGAAAATCAAGGCCATTCGACCACAAGATAAAATCCAGGCATGCAGTTTGCCTAATGATGAGCATGCTGCCCCTTTAACTGCATCATTCCCTCACCCCCTCTTCACCCTCCATCTGAAACAAAACACGAGCTGCTTGTCTTCCCATTACCTTCTCCTGTGACCAATTTTCTCCCCACATCTCTGGTCATTTCTCACCATTGCCTGCAGCTTTACATCTTCAGTCAGTTCCCTGTAGTCTTTGCATATTTTTTTAAATTGAGTGCTTTAATGCAGTTGTCTCAATATAATCAGTTATTAGGTATAATTACCTCTTTACGGGTAGAATTACCATTCCATTAAGTTTATTAATTCTTCAGGAAAGTGGGGTTACATAATATTTGAGTTGGAAGCACTTCTTCCAATGTCTTTGCTCCAAGCTTCTGTGATACACAAATACTGTCTTTGATAGCCCTGATTCATGACGTCTTCTCTGCTTAAACACTCCAGGTGACAAGAAGGTTACCATATTTGAGGCAGCCTGTTGGGTTGCCTGACGGCGAAAATCTACAGAACATTCTGCCTTACATTGCTGGAGACTGTCTCCTACAACTTGAGTCTTTGATACTGGTGTCACTTTCAGGAGCTCTAAGAATACGTCAACTCTCGCTTCTGAGTTGGTGACCCCTCAACCAAGAAAGGACGGTGATCTCATTCCTCTCAGCAGGAGTGTTGAGCTCAGACAACTATGAAAACCAAAAATCATCCCAGGTAGGTTATAAGGGATTGAAGAGAACCAGAGAGTGGCTCATTCATAGGAAGAAGCTGTGATTTGGCACCATGTGAGCGTCGTCAGAGATAAATGAAGATCCAACACTGCCAGAGCTTTCAAATCTCCAAGAGAAGCATTCAACCTGAATTGGTATGTGAAATGTCTCAGTTTTTAAAAGTTGACAACCAAATCAGAAAATAATTTTAAACACCATGTAGGCCCAATGAAACACATCTCCAAGCCAGATCCAAATCACAGAATTCCAATCACAGGTTGAAATCCACTTCTCTAAAATCTTTTCGTCTCTGACCGGGCATGGTGGCACACGTCTGTAGTCCCAGCTACTCAGGAGGCCAAGGTAGGAGAATTGCTTGAGCCCTGGAGTTCGACGCTAGCCTGGGCAACACAGCACGACTCAGTCTCTAAAAGTAAAAATAAAATATTTTCTCCAAACTAGAGGTGTGGTGGTTTCTACAACAATGGCAAATGTTTGTGATCTCTTTCGATTTTTATTTTCCTATACACCGGCCTGCAGAAATGGTTAAGTGTCTTGATGAGAGCATGTATTTGCATTTACCTGAAGGTTTTCTTTTTTAAAGCATTTCAATCAAGCTTATCCCCCATGCAAGTTTGCCTGTATGAATACAAGTTAGATCGTTATAAGTTATTTAGGTAATAAGCCAACATCATTATTTAACATCTCTGAACTGGGGTTCAGAGAGATTATTTAACATCTCTGAACCCTCATTTCCTCATCTTAAAACAGGATTTTAAAAAATATCTTCCTTGGTGGAACTTAATCACTACCAATCCTTTCTGGGCTGAGGTTGCTCCAGAGTTAGTGACTTGCTCCCAAAGGACAGAGTCAAGAAAGAGAGAAACAGTGATTTTACAGTGGGAAACCTGACAATACTACCTTAACCAAATGCTGAAAGTGAACATCATCAGTGAAGTTGTGTGGCTATCACATACCTCCTGATATGAGGGACTTTGCCTCTGTGGTATACTTCCCAGAAGGCCATAACCCAATCTAGTCATTAAAAAAAAACAATTTTATTTCAGGGGATATTCTACAGAACAGTGCTTCAAGGAGAAAATAGTCAGTTGGAGCAAATGTAGTTGAGAGATTGTATAAGATTAGGACAGGAAAATTTCTGCTGGATTTAAATGTTTCCAAAAGTATGTTGGAGATCAAAGCTAAATTCTAGAGAATTAAAAAGTGAGAAGGATACAAGAAGCGACAGTGGGTTCAAGAAGATTTTCTAGAAGAGAAAGAATTGGGGTGAGCTGAGAGGATATGAAATCAAGAAAGACTGTTGTTTTCTTAATGGGTCATGCTAGTACAAATATCTGCAAGATAGTGGTAATGAGCTTGTAGAGGAAAAACCAATAATGCAGGAGAGAGGTGATAAAGCTTGCTAAAATAGCAAGCCCTTGAGAAAGTGAGGAGATAAGTTCCAGAGCACAGGAAGAGTTTGGCTTTTGATAGAAGTAGGGGCATAAGCCAGGCACATTGGCTTATACCTGTAGTCCTAGCCCTGTGGGAGGCCGAGGCAGGAGGATCACTTGAGCACAGGAGTTTGAGACTGCCCTGGGCAATATAGTGAGACCCTGCCTCTAAAAAAGTTTCAAAAATAAAATTTAAAAAAAAATTAAAAAATAAAAAAAGAAGTAAAGGCATGTCATACTTCTTAATGATAGGGAAGTAGAGAAGACAGGCACCACTGAAAGTAGATTTGTAGGTTTGTTGGTGGTGAAAGGAGTTAGCCAGCTTGCTTTAGGCAAACAGTAAGGCAAGGAAAGTTCCCTGGAGAGCCTCCAACCCACCCTGCAGGTGCTTGCACCAGATGTTTTGTGCAGATAAGGGAACTTGCACAAGGTGCTTGCCTAAATATGCCCACAGCAGACTAAGGGCCTGTATATGCACTAGGGGAATAGGGTGGAGCCACTAGGAATTTGTGCCTTATACAAATAGTGAACCCAGACCCATCAGCTTATATATAAAAGCCCTGGTATTCCACTGTGAAGGAGGCAACTGGGAACCTGCTTTCAGGACCCCTCTCTTTGCTGAGAGCTTTCCTTTTGCTTAATAAATTCTATTCCACTTACTCTTCAAGTGTCCACATGCCTAATTTTTCCTGGTCATGAGACAAGAACCTGGACCTAGCTGAGCTAAGGGGAAAGAAATCCTGCATCAGTGGGAAGATTATGACTTTGGCATTCCCAAAGTATGAAGCAAGCCATGAGTTAAAAGTCAGAAAGCAGGTTCCCACGGTGGTAGAAAGAAGGCA
This sequence comes from Homo sapiens, assembly GCF_000001405.40. Taxonomy (NCBI): domain Eukaryota; kingdom Metazoa; phylum Chordata; class Mammalia; order Primates; family Hominidae; genus Homo; species Homo sapiens. The sequence continues at coordinate 104,473,100 of NC_000010.11, read as the reverse complement.
GTGGAAGCACACTCACACTAGCAGAGTTGCCAGTCCATTCCAGCAGAGATGGAGGGTCAAGGGAGTTGAAAGTGTTTTCATGGAAACAATAACAATTGTGAGCCACAAAATCAAAGCTGTATAAGAAGGGAAAGGAAAAACGAGATAAATAGTAACAAAGTAGGGGAGCTGATGTTTTGAAGGGCTCAACAAAGTTGGAAAACAGTTGTATTGGTTATTCTAGACCATATTATCTGGAAGATTAGGAAGCCATTGTCAGACAACAGAATATTTAAAACCAAAATTTCAAGACTGGTGAAATAATTGGATGGTGACATGAGGTAGAAGGGAGAAAAAGTTGTTGGAACTGAGGAACTCAAGTAACTGAGAGCCCTGGGGCATTGCGTGAGTCATCCACATAGTTGCTGAAGTCACCAGAAGCAATAAGAGATTTAGGGATGGAAAAGCAAACACTAAGCTAAAGGGTAAGGCCCTTGGGGCATAAGGAGCATGACCAGGAGGTGGGTAGGTAGATGAATGCAATCTGAAGGATTGGTAGATGGTAGAGCCAGGTGGTCCAAATTCAAATACATTGACATTCAGAAGAAAAAAATAAGAATAAATGCAGTAATGCAGAGCAAGGATGACATCTGCTCCATATTCTCAACCTGAAGAGCATGGTGTATGTGAGATTTAACAAGAAAAAGGTCTACGTATAAGAGGACTACAAGGGTAGAAGGGGTAAGCTGGGTCTCCTTTAGGGCAAGAAAAGAAAGGGGAACTTCCATTCAGAGAAAAGGTTGAGGACATAGGGAAGTTTGCCAACCACAGGTAAGAGTTCAGAGGGCACAATAAGGTAGAGGAGGGATGGGGGATTGGGTAAATCCAATTAGATTACAGATTGAAGTAAACCATGATGTGGGGCACGATAGGATTAATCAAAGGGGCTTATCAGTTTAAGTCTTGCCTCCAGAAATCAAGTTCCACAATCCAGGAAATTGCTTCCTCTCCCTGGTGAAGCTGTGTGTGTGTGAAGGGGGCTTCTCTCATGGAGGAGATACTGTATATAAAGCAGCTATTCTCAAGCCTAGCTGAGCATCAAAATCACATGGGAGCTTTAAAAAATCCTGAGGCCCACATCACACCAAGGCCAGTGAAATCAGAATATCTGGAGAGGGACCCAGACATCAATATTACTAAAAGTTCCCCAGGTAATTCCCATGTACAACCAGGTTTGAGAATGCAGGGTCCTCTTCCAGAGATTCTGCAGTGAAGCCAGATATCAGGGTTTTTTAAAGCCTTTGTGATGGAGGCTATTCCTGTTTTTGTTATGCTTATTAAATTCCCTGCTGGGCGTGGTGGCTCACGCCTGTAATCCCAGCACTTTGGGAGGCGGAGGCAGGAGAACTGCTTGAACCTGGGAGGTGGAGGTTGCGGTGAGCTGAGACTGCGCCACTGCACTCCAGCCCAGGCAGCAGTGTGAGACTCTGTCTCCGGAAAAAAAAAAAAAATTCCCTTGCACTGCCACAGTGGGAAGGAGAAAAAGGAACTGTCTTAGTTTAAGCCACAGAAGAGAAGTGTTATTTTGGAACTCGAGGAAAGAGTTCCTGGCATTCTGTCTCAGATGAACTGTAAAAAAGATTAATCACTTATGTGAAAGAGACAGAATTGATACAATATACTTTAATAGCCATTCAACTTCCTAATATCTATTTAAAAAGCATAATATAAGGCCTCATAATCCATTGAAGATCCTTGACCATATCCACTCAGACAACAGTTAAGCAATTTCCATGATGTTTATTATCCTTCAACTGACCACTTAGAACAATATTTTAAAACTTTCCAGGCTATTGTTAGGAGCAAAGAGATGATTTTTAGGTAAGTGCTGACAATTGTTGGGCACTTACTATGTGCCAGGCACTATGCACACATCACATGTAATCAATATCCTATAATCCTCATAGGAATCCAGTGAGATGGGTGCTATTATTACTCTCATTTTACTAATGAACATCCAAAAGCTGGAGAGGTTACTTAACATGCCTGAGATCAAACAGCTATAAGAGGAAAAGTGTGCATTCAAATTTAAGAGACAGCTGCACTCCCATGTTCAATGCTGCATTATTTACAATAGCCAAGATATGAAACCAACCAAAGTATCAAGCAGTGAACAAATGGATAGAGAAAATGTGGTATATACACACAATGGAATACTACTCAGCCTTGATAAGAAGAAAATTCTGTCACTTGCAACAACATGGATGAACGTGGAGGACATTATACTAAGTGAAATAAGCCTGGCACAGAAAGACAAATACCACATGATCTCACTTATATGTGGAATCTAAAAAAGCTAAACTTATAGAAGTAGAGAGTAGAATGGTGGTTACCAGAGGCTGGGAGGATGGGGAAAGGGTAAGGGAAGATGTTGATCAAAAAGTAAAAAGTTACAGTTAGACAGGAGACATAAGTTTTTGAAATCTATTACACAACATGGTGACTATAGTCAACAAAAGTGTATTGTATATTTCAAAATTTAAAATAAAAATTTTTTAAATGAACCTCTAACCTCACATCTTACATAAAATTAACTCTAAATAGGTCATAAATATGAACATAAAAGCTAAAACTATAATCAAACTTCTACAGAAAAATGCAGGCAAAATTCCTTACTATCTGAGTAGGCAAAAATTACTTAGACAAAACAAGAAAAGTACAAACCACATCAGAAAAAGAAGAACAAGTTGGGCCTTATTAAAATTCAAAATGTCTGCTCTTCAAAATACACTGTTAAGAAAATGAAAAGGTAAGCCACAGACTGAACAAAAATATTTTTAAATGTGTGAGATGCATTTAAAGCAGAGCTTAGAGGGAAATATATAGTTTTAAAGGCTAAAGTTTTTTTTAAAAAAAGAAAGGGCTAAAAACAATTACCTAAAGAAGCCATAAGAAGATTAAATTACACTCAAGTAAAAAAAAAAAAAAACCACTAAGTATTAGGGCAGAAATCAATGAAATAAAAAAAAAACACTGACAAGAAAAATCAAAGAAAGAAAAAGCTGGTTCTTTAGAAATATCAATAAAATTGTATTGATAAATTCCTAGCTAAATTCATCAAGAAAAAGAGCAGAGAAGATTCAAATTACCAATATCCAGAACAAAATAATCACTTGTTCAGATCCTACTAATGTTAAGGGTAGTAAAATAAGTATTTTTTAAAACTTTATGTCAATGAAGTCAACAATTTATATAAAATAGATAAATTCATTGAAAGACACAAACTATCAAAAGTGACACAAGAGGAAATAGAAAATCTGAAGAGCCTCTATACCTATTTAAAATCTTTCTATAAGAGAAAATGTAAATTCAGATTGCTTTACTGGCAAATTATATCAAACATTTAAGGAAGAAATTATACCAATCTTACACAAAGTAGCTCAGGAAATAGCAGAGGAGGAGCATTTCTTAATTCAGTTTATGAAGCCAGCTAAACCTTAATACTGAAACCAGACAGATACATTATGAGAAAAGTACAGACAACATCCCTCAGGAACATAGTTGTATAAGTCCTTAACAGCATATCAAATCTAATCTGATTTAAATCAAATCCAATACTATGTAAAAATGATATTATGACCAAATGGTGTTTACCCAAAGTGTGTGAAGTTGGTTTAACATTTAAAAATCAAAGTAATTCACCATGTCAATAAAAGAAAAAAAACAATTAGCCTAACACATGCAGAAAAAGTACTGATGGAATTCAATATCCATGTCGGACTAAAACTCAGCAAACAAGAAATAGAAGGGAACTTCCTCAACTTAATAAAAGGCATCTATAAAAATCCTACAGCTAACATTGTATTCATGATGAAACATGCAATACTTTTCCTTCTAACATTAAGAAGGCAGAGATGTTGCTCTCACCATTTTAATTTAGCATTGTACTGGAAGTCCTGGTTAGTGCAATGTGATAGTTAATACTGAGTGTCAACTTGATTGGGTTGAAGGACACAAAGTGTTGATCCTGGGTGTGTCTGTGAGGGTGTTGCCAAAAGAGATTAACATTTGAGTTAGTGGGCTGGGGAAGACAGATCCACCCTTAATCAGCTGCCAGCAAATATAAAGCAGGCAGAAAAAGTGAAAAGGAGAGAGACTGGCCTAACTTCCTAGCCTACATCTTTCTCCCATGCTGGATGTTTCCTGCCCTCAAATATCGGACTCCAAGTTCTTCAGTTTTGGGACTTGGACTGGCTCTCCTTGCTCCTCAGCTTGCAGATGGCGTATTGAGGGACCTTGTGATTGTGCAAGTTAATACTTAATACACTCCCATATATATATGGGAATATACATACACACACACAGACACACCCACTCCCCTTTATATACATACTCCCCTTTATATACTTTTTTTTTTTTTTTTGAGATGAAGTCTTGCTCTGTCACCAGGCTAGAGTGCAGTGGTGCGATCTTGGCTCACTACAATCTCCACTTCCCAGGTTCAAGTGATTCCCCTGTCTCAGCCACCCAAGTGGCTGGGACTACAGACGCACACCACCATGCCTGGCTAATTTTTTTGTATTTTAGTAGAGATGAGGTTTCGCCATGTTGGCCAGGATGGTCTCAATCTCCTGACCTTGTGATCCACCCACCTTGGCCTTTCAAAGTGCTGAGATTACAGGCATGAGCCACGGCACCCAGCCATATATATTTATATGTATATAAAGGGGAATATATATATATATATATATATACACACACACATACACACCTTAATTCTGTCCCTCTAGAGAACCCTAATACAGATTTTGATACTAGGAGTGGTTCTAGAAGAACAGAATATTAAGGATGGAGTTCTTTCATTGGCTTTGGGGTTTCTGGAGTTGGCTGCTTAATATGATTTAGTCCCCAAAATGCTAAGGACTCTACTTCTAACAGTATGGAGAACACTGATAGTCCTTGGTGGGAACTGTTATGAACCAGAAACGCACCAATCCCCAACCCAAATACTATTACATAAAGTTAACAATACTTAAATGCTGATATGAAAAGGAAATAAAATGAAAATATTTTCTTAGTACAAGTGTATACATGCACAAACATGTTTTTAACAAAAGGAGGAGGAAATACTCAAGACAATTACAGTCCTCGTTTCTGCAGCTGGTCATGTGGTCCTAGCTGCTATTGATGACTACCTTCTTCTACTACCCATTCTACTACCCTCTCTACTACCCTTTGCCTTCAGCAAGCACCTCAGCAGGTCGTGGGGTTTTTTTTTCTGCTGGAGTACCCAAACCTTCAATCCTGAAGGGTCTGGGCCATTTGTAGTCCTGCCTGGATTGGGCTGTTGTAGTTTCCCATTGACCTTAATCACAGGGCATGGGAATACTAAGAGACACCATAATGGATCTCCTTTATTCCATGCATACTCTTCTTTACCTCTGTTGCAGAGTAGTAGACTGATTTTATCTTGAGAGTCTGGGTCAATCACCCCAGCCAACACTGTAACTCCCTTCTTAGCCTGTTGACTTAAAGGTAGGAGAAGCCAAAAGTGTCCAGGTGGCAATCTTAACATCCAGTTTAATGGAATCATTGTTAGGTCTTCTGGTGGCAGTGTTCCTCCCTCTGGAACTAAGACCTCTAGGCCAGCAGAACATAATGTCGTGAAACAGGAAACAAAAATTTTGCTAGTGGATCACTAGGGGTGATGGCGAGTGGTGTCACTTCCACTTCCACCCCTGATTCCTGGACCCTTGAATCCTGGCTATGGGAGAAACAGTACCATATATTGGATGCTGATTCAGAGTATACATGGCCTTCTGGAGAACTTTGCCCCAGCCCTGCAAAGTATTGTCACCTAGTTGGCGTTGTAATTGTGACTTCAAAAGGCCATTCCGCCATTCTATCAATCCAGCTGCTTCAGGATGATGGGGAACACAATGAGACCAGTCAATTCCATGAGCATGAGCCCACTGCCACACTTCCTTAGCCATAAAGTGAGTGCCTTGGTCAGAGGCAATGCTCTGTGGAACACCTTGACGGTGGATAAGGCATTCCGTGAGTCCACGGATGGTAGCCTTGGCAGAAGTACTGCATGCAGGATAGGCAAACCCATATCCAGAGTAAGTGTCTATTCCAGTGAGGACAAACATCTGCCCTTTCCATGATGGAAGAGGTCCAATATAATTAACCTGTCACCAGGTAGCTGGCTGATCACCCCGAAGAATGGTGCCATATCGAGGGCTCAGTGTTGGTCTCTGCTGCTGGCAAACTGGGCACTCAGCAGTGGCCATAGCCAAGTCAGCCTTGGTGAGTGGAAGCCCATGTTGCTAAGCCCATGAGTTGCCTCTATCCTTGCCACCATGGCCACTTTGTTCATGGGCCCATTGGGCAACGACAGGGGTAGCTGGAGAAAGAGGCTGAGTGGTGTCCAAAGAATGGGTCAACCTATCCACTTGATTACTAAAATCCTCCTCTGCTAAGGTCACCCATTGGTGAGCACTCACATGGGATACAAACATTTTCACAGTATTTGACCACTCAGAGAGGTCCATCCACATACCTCTTCCCCAAATTTCTTTGTCACCACTTTTCTAATTATGCCTCTTCCGAGCCCCTGACCATCCAGCCAAACCATTGGCTACAGCCCATGAATCAGTATATAATCGCACATCTGGCCATTTCTCCTTCCATGCAAAGTGCACAACCAGGTGCACTGCTCGAAGTTCTGCCCACTGGGAAGATTTCCCTTCACCGCTGTCCTTCAGGTATGTCCTAGAAAGGGGCTGTAGTGCTGCAGCTGTCCACTTTTGGGTGGTGCCTGCATATCATGCAGAGCCATCTCTGAACCAGGCCTTGGTCTTCTCTTCCTCTGTCAACTGATCATAGGGAACTCCCCATGAGGCCATTGGTGCAGGCTGGAGAAGGCAGGGTGGCAGGAGTGGAAACTATGGGCATTTGAGCCACTTCCTCATGTAACTTGTGCCTTCAAGACCTGCTTGAACCTGATCACATATATACCACTTCCATTTGATGATAAAATGTTGCTGTGCATGACCCACTTTATGGCTAGATGGGTCAGAAAGCACCCAGTTCATGATAGGCAGTTCAGGTCACATGGTGACTTGGTGACCTATAGTCAAATGTTCAGTTTCCACCAAAGCCCAGTAACAGACCAAGAGCTGTCTCTCAAAAGGAGAGTAGTTATCTGCAGAAGATGGCAGAGCCTTGCTCCAAAATCCTAGAGGCCTCTGCTGTGATTCATCTATAAGGGCCTGCCAAAGGCTCCAAATAGCATCCCTATCTGCCACTGACACCTCAAGCACCACTGGATCTGCTGGGTCACATGGCCCAAGTGGCAGAGCAGCTTGTACAGCAGCCTGGACCTGTTGCAGAGCCTTCTCCTGTTCTGGATCCCACTCAAAACTGGCAGCCTTTTGGGTCACTCAATAAATGGGCCAGAGTAACACCCCTAAATGAGGAATGTGTTGCCTCCAAAATCCAAGTAGGCCCACTAGGCATTGTGCTTCTTTCTTGGTTGTAGGAGGGGCCAAATGCAGCAACTTATCCCTCACCTTAGAAGGAATATCCCAATAGGCCCCATACCACTGGACCTCTAGAAATTTTACTGAAGTACAAGGTCCCTGAATTTTAGTCTCATTTATTTCACATCCTCTGGCATGCAAATGTCTCACCAATAAGTACAGTGTGTTTGCTTCTTCTTGCTCACTGGATCCAATCAGCATAATGTCATCAATGTAATGCACCAGTGTGATATCTTGAGGAAGCGTGGTGATCAAGGTCTCTCCAAATAAGATTATGACACAAAGCCAGAGAGTTGATATACCCCTGAGGTAGGATGGTAAAGGTATATTGCTGGCCTTGCCAGCTGAAGGCAAATTGCTTCTGGTGGGCCATATGGGCAGGAATGGAGAAAAAGGCATTTGCCAAGTCAATAGCTGCATACCAAGTACCAGGAGATGTGTTAATTTTCTCAAGCAATGAAACTACGTCTGGTACAGCAGCCGCAATTGGAATCACCACTTGGTTAAGCTTATGACAATCCACTGTCATTCTCCAAGATCCACCTGTCTTCTGCACAGGCCAGATGGAAGTGTCAAGTGCGGATGTGCTGAGAATCACCACCCCTGTGTCCTTCAAGTCCCTGATGGTGGCACTAATCTCTGCAATCCCCCCAAGGGATGCGATATTGTTTTTGATTTACTATTTTTCTAGGTAGAGGCAGCTCTAATGGCTTCCATTTGGCCTTTCCCACCATAATAGTCTTCACCCTACCAGTCAGGGAGCCAATGTGGGGGTACTACCAGCTGCTAAGTATGCCTATGCAAATTATGCATTCTGGCACTGGGGAAATGACCACAGGATGAGTCCGGGGTCCCACTGGACCCACTGTAAGTCAAACCTGAGCTAAAATTCCATTAATTACCTGACCTCCATAAGCCCCTATTTTAACTGGGGGACCACAATGACGTTTTGAAACCAGCGTCACCTCAGAGCCAGTGTCCACTAGTCCTCGAAATGTCTGATCATTTCCCTTTCCCCAGTGCACAGTTACCCTGGTAAAAGGCCGGAGGTCTCCTTGGGGAAGGATGGAATAAAGACTAACAGCATAAATTGTCATCAATGTATTGGGGTCCTTCCTCAAGGGGACCTGGCGTTTCCTTCATTGAAGGGGTTCTGGGTCTGCAAACAGGCTGAAGTCTGGAAATTGATTGTGGGGCCATGATTCTCTGTTTTTATAATTCAAATTAGTCTTTTGTCCATTCAACCTAGAAGTTTTCTGCTCATATAAATTAAGTAGAAATGCAGTAAGCTTCCTATCAATTTCACTTCTAGGAACACCATAATTAATTAGCCAATGCCAGAGCTATACACAAGTCAGACTATACTGATTGCCACTTTGCCTCTACTGTCCATTACTGTAACTATGCCCACCTTGCCTTTGATGGTTGAGTGCCGCCACTTGGCCCCTGCCACCTCAGGATCCAATTATTCCCATTGTATTTAAATTTTGTAGTTGAGTGACTGTGGTTCCCACTGTTAGATCTGACATACATAGAAGAACAATTACAGGGCTCTTCAAAGATGCAGGTGCTGCCCTCACAAATCTATTTCACAGGCATTGGTCAAGGGTAAATCTTCTGGACCCTCCCAGCTGGGATGAGTAGATCCAAAGTGACTAATCCACTCCACCATCCCAATCTCCCTAAGCCTTTGGATCCCTTCCTCTACATTAAACCAAGGGAGATCAGGCATTTCCAGCTCGCTCACAGTGGGCAATCTTTTAATCCATATTTCAGCTAACCAAGCAAATAAACTATTAGAACCTTTTTTAACTCCCCAAGCTGCAACATTAAATGCAGACTCTTTACTTGGTGGGCCGAAATCAATACATTCAGCCTGATCCAACTCTCTGTTCCTTCCACCATTATCCCATACCCTTAATATCCATTCCCATGCCTGTTCTCCAGATTGCTGTTGATATAAATTAGAGAACTGAAACAGTTATTTTCAGGTGTAGCACACCTCCTCACGGGTCACATTCTCAACCTCACCTCCAGGGGCCCACTGAAACTTTAGTCTAGTTACAGGTCTAGAAGCAAACAGGGGTGTTGGGGGTGGCTCCTGAGGAGAATCGATATTATTTTGCCTGGCAACTGCCTCAGGGGAGGCCATCACTGTTGCCTCAGGCAGCACTTTATCTCCTCAGACAAAGGTGGAAAGGCTGATGGCAGCATGGGTCAGGGAGGGGATGTTGCCACTACTGGGTATGGGAGAAGCTGTTCCTTCTGACAAAAAAGGTTCAGAAGAGTTTACAAACTCAGTGTCCCCAGCTTCATCAGTGGCCTTCCACATGTCCCCATTCCAAGTTTCAGGGTCCCATTCTTTTCCAATCAATGCCCTCATTTTAACAGTAGACATCTGGTGAAGCTGTGCATGCACTTTTCATTGGAGTTCAGTCACCCGCATGATAAGAGCTTTTGTTTATTTTTCCACAATTTCAGCTCTTTCTCTACAGGAGATAAGAGTCTCGCTCAGAGTAATCATAGCAGAGTTGAGGTTCAATATCTGCTTCTTATTTTAACTCCCTATTCTAACTCAGGGAGTAGGAATCCCTGAGTTCACCATTTTCTTTCATCACTTTGTCCACTGAACTTAGGAGCAATCAGCCAGCTTCATTATGTTCCTTGGTTCTCCACATATGGTCAAAGGTATTATGTATAGAGTCACTAAACACCTTGCCTCTCACAAGTAGTGAATCAGGAGTGTCAAATACATGTATTTTGCATGACTTTCTAAACAGTACATGCCAAGGACAATCAATGTTCTCCATACTATTAGAAGTAGAGTCCTTAGCATTTTGGGTTCTAATTGTATTAAGCAGCCAACTCCAGAAACCCCAAAACCAACAAAAGAAGTCTATCCTTAATATTCTGTTCCTCTAGAACCACTCCTAGTATCAAAATCTATACTAGTCAGTGTTCTCTAGAAAGACAGAACTAATAGGACAGATAGATATATAAAGGGGAGTTTATTAAGTATTAACTCACATGATACCAAGGTCCCACAATAGGCCATCTGCAAGCTGAGGAGAAAGGAGAGCCAGTCCAAGTCCCAAAACTGAAGAACTTGGAGTCTGATGTTCAAGGGCAGGAAGCTTCCAGCATAGGAGAAAGATGTAGGCTTGAAGGCTAGGCTGGTCTAGTCTTTTCACGTTTTTCTGCCTGCTTTATATTCTAGCCATGTTGACAGCCAATTAGATGGTGCTCACTCAGATTAAGGGTGGGTCTGCCTTCAGCTCACTGACTTAAATGTTAATCTCCTTTGGCAGCACCCTCACAGACACATCCAGGATCAATACTTTGCATCCTTCAATCCAATCAAGTTGACACTCACTATTAACCATCACACCTTACCAAGACTAAACTAGGAAGAAGTTGAATCCCTGAATAGACCAATAACAAGTTCTGAAGTTAAGGCAATAATAAATAGCCTACAACCAAAAAAAGCCCAGGACCAGATGGATTTACAGCTGAATTCTACCAGAAATACCAAGAGGAGCTGATACCATTTCTTCTGAAACTATGCCAAACAATTGAAAAGTAGGGACTCCTCTCTAACTCATTCTATGAGGCCAGCATCATCCTGATACCAAAACCTGGCAGAGATACAACAAAAAAAGAAAACTTCCCTGATGAACATCAGTGCAAAAATTCTCAATAAAATACTGGCAAACCAAATACAGCAGCACATCAAAAAGCTTATCCACCACGATCAAGTTGGCTTCATTCCCGGGATGCAAGGCTGTTTCAACATATGCAAATCAATAAACATAATTCATCACATAAACAGATCTAAAGACAAAAACCACTTGATTATCTCAATAGATGCATAAAAGGCCTTTGATAAAATTCAACATGGCTTCATGTTAAAAACTCTTAATAAACTAGGTATTGAAGGAATATACCTCAAAATAATAAGAGCCATTTATGACAAACCCACAGCCAATATCATACTGAGTGGGCAAAAGCTGGAAGTATTCCTTGAAAACTGGCACAAGACAAGGTTGCGCTCTCTCACCACTCCTATTCAACACAGTATTGGAAGTTCTGGCCAGGGCAATCAGGCAAGAGAAAGAAATAAAGTGTATTCAAATAGGAAGAGGGGAAGTCAAATTGTCTTTGTTTGCAGATGACATGGTCCTATATCTAGAAAATCCCATTATCTCAGCCCCAAACTCCTTAAGCTGATAAGCAACTTCAGCAAAGTCTCAGGATACAAAATCAATGTGCAGAAGTCACAAGCATTCCTATACACCAACAACAGGCAAGCAGAAAGCCAAATCATGAGTGAACTCCCATTCACAATTGCTACAAAGAGAATAAAATACCTAGGAATACAGCTAACAAGGGAAGTTAAGGACTTCTTCAAGGAGAACTACAAACCGCTGCTCAAGGAAACCAAAGAGGACACAAACAAATGGAAAAATGTTTCATGCTTACGGATAGGAAAAAATCAATATTGTGAAAATGGCCATACCGCCCAAAGTAATTTATAGATTCAATGCTATTCCCATTAAACTACCAATGACATTCATCACAGAATTAGAAAAAAAATTTTAAAATTCATATGGAACCACATGGAAATTCACATGGAAAAAAGGGCTCATAGAGCCAAGACAATCCTAAGCAAAAAGAACAAAGCTGGAGGCATCATGCTACTCGGACTTCAAACTGTACTGTAAGACTACAATAACCAAAATAGCATGGTACTTATACAAAAACAGACACATAGACCAATGGAACAGAATAGAGAGCTCAGAAATAAGACCACACATCTACAACCATCTGATCTTTGACAAACCTGATAAAAACAAGCAATGGGGAAAGGATTCCCTATTTAATAAATGGTGCTGGGAAACCTGGCTATCCATATGCAGAAAATTGAAACTAGATCCCTTCCTCACATCTTATACAAAAATTCACTCAAGATGGATTAAAGGCTTAAATGTAAAACCCCAAACTATAAAAACCCTAGAAGAAAATCTAGGTAATACCATTTAGGACATAGGCATGGGCAAAGATTTCATGATGAAATGGCCAAAAGCAATTGCAACAAAAGCAAAAATTTACAAACGGGATCTAATTAAACTAAAGAGCTTCTGCACAGCAAAAGGAACTATTATCAGAATGAACAGACAACCTACAGAGTGGGAGAAAATTTTTGTAATGTATCCATCCAACAAAGGTCTAATATCCAGAATCTACAAGGAACTCAAACAAATTTACAAGAATAAAACAGAGAATGCCATTTAAAATTAGGCAAAAGACATGACCAGACACTTCTCAAAATAAGACATTCATGCAGCCAACAAACATATGAAAAAAAGCTCAACATCACTAATCATTAGAGAAATGCAAATCAAAACCACAATGAGATACCATCTCACACCAGTGAGGATGGAGATTAAAAGATCAAGAAACAACAGTTGCTGGTGAGGTTGCAGAGAAATAGCAACACTTTTACACTGTTGGTGGGAACATAAATTAATTAGCTCAACGATTGTGTAGACAGTGTGGCGATTCCTCAAAGATCTAGAACCAGAAATGCCATTTGGTCTAGCAATCCTATTACTGAGTATACACCAAAAGGAATATAAATCATTCTATTACAAAGATACACGCAGGCATATGTTCATTGCAGCACTATTCACAATAGCAACGACATGGAATCAACCCAAATGCTCATCAATGATAGACTAGAGAATGTGCCACATATACACCATGGAATACTATGCAGCCATAAAAAGGAATGAGATCATGTCCTTTGCAGGGACGTAGATGAAGCTGGAAGCCATTATCCTCAGCAAACTAACACAGAACAGAAAACCAAAAAACCAAACACCGCATGTTCTCACAAGTGGGAGCTGAACAATGAGAACACATGGACACAGGAAAGAGAACAACACCACTGGGGCCTGTCAGGGGGTGGGGTGGGGGAAGGGAGAGCATTAGGAAAAATAGCTAATGCATGCTTAGCTTAATACCTAGGTGACGGGTTGATAGGCACAGCAAACCACCATGGCACACATTTACCTATGCAACAAACCTGCACATCCTGCACATGTATCCCAGAACTAAAAATAACAATTAAAAGAAAAAAAAAGAAAATGAAAAGGTAAGCCACAGACTGAACAAAAATATTTGCAATACATATATCTGATGAAGGTTTTGTATCCAGACTACACAAATAACTTTTACAACCTAATGAGATGATTTTAAAATGGGCTAAATATTTGAAGACACTTCACAAAATAAGATTTACTGATTGCCAAAGCTACATGAAAAGATCCTCAACATTTAGTCATCAGGAAATACAAATATAAACCATAATGAAGTATCACTATATATCCAAAACAATGGCTTAAAAAAATACTGGCAATACCAATATTGACAAGGATGTGAAGCAACTAGAGACCACATCCACATAGAGATCTGTATGTGAATGTTCATAGCAACTTTATTCAGAAGAGTTAAACACTAGAAATAACTTGAATTCCCATCAATAGGTAAAATAAACCAATTGTATTTTTGCATACAATGGAATATTGCTCCACAATAGAAATCAAGGAATTATTGATCACACAACAACATGGATGGATCTCGAAAAACATTGTGCTACATGAAAATAAAAGCCAGGCACAAAAGAGTATATGGTGTATAATTCCATTTATGTTAAATTCTAAGAAAGACAAAACTAATCTATAACAATAAAAAACAGACCCATGGTTGCTTGGGCTGGTTGATGGCTGGGGATACTGACTTGCCAAGTGGCATAAAGGCATTTTGGAGGGGTGGTGATTATGGCAGTGGTTACTTGAATATATGCATTTGTCAAACCTTACCAAACTATACACTTAAAATAAGTGCCTTTTATATGTAGGTTATATATTGATAAAGCTGATTTTTAAAAAGAATATATATATATATATATATATATATATATACACACACATATATATATATATATACACACACATATATATATATACACACACATATATATATATATACACATATATATATGCATATATATTTATGCAGTATACACTTAAAGGTCCAGAAAGATATATTCAAAAGTATGGGACAGTAATATTTCAAAGTGATATTAAAAATATTTAATGATGGGAAGCACAAGCATTGACCAATCAGAAGAAATGGTAGGTTTGAACCATTAGTACAGCCAACCCATGTGAATGAGATGAGTGTTAGCCCAGAAAAGCAATAGTTATCAATGAGTGGTAGGATTATAGACATCCTTTTTCTTCCTTTTGCTTATCTACATTTGTTAATATTCTGTAACAATCACATACTTTAAAATAAGAACAAAATCTATTTTTAATTATAAAGAAGAAAAATGGTACCCTGTTGATAATCAAATTTTATATTGTTATAAAATTCTAATGAATCTAAAAACCCTAATGGAACTTTTAAATAATAGATATGAGAAATGGTATACTAAAACAGCATTGAATTAGAAGGTAAAAATGGATAATGCTGTAAAAATATTTTCTGTCTACTACAAAGAAAATAGTGAGGCATATTTTTAAATTATTTTACCATTTTAATATTTTAAAATGCCCTCCCTTTGCTCCTGTCCCAACAAGATGTCCATATAATTGGTTATGTTTTAAAAGAGAGATAATTTCCTCAAATTGTCTAGGCTCTGAAATGCCATACTGCTCAAAATGCATTATACAGTATGTTCCTATGGGTGTCTTGGTCTAGGTGAAACTTCAGAATCTATCTGAGCAAGTCAGGAAATCAAATGGTAATTATCAGCCCTGGATAAATTTTGATAGCAAAATTATAGCCCATGATAAGCAGAGTTGTCGCTATCTCTTCCTAGCAAGACTACTACCGTCTGTATGGCTCATCACAGCAACAAACCTTTGCCCTGAGCAATTCTTCAGAGGTAAGCACAATAAAAACCTAGCTATAAGAATAGCCGCTGAAAAGCTATGATCAGCAAATAATGACCAGGGAGTCCCCTTCATCATGTCTCTCTCTATTAACAGAGAAACTGCACCAGCTCCCCATCAGCCCAGCTGGGAGTCAACGGATGGTTTCAGGAGTCAACGGATGGTTTAGCAACAGGACTCTTTTCTGAAACTCTGAAAACCCCAGGGTAAAATTATGCTACTGTACAGTCTCCTAATGTTGCTTTACAATGCAGCTCAAATTTGTGATTTTAAAAGCACCTCAGCCCACTGTGAGTTCACAGTTATCTTTAATGATTTGCAAATCTCAGTGTTTTTTAACAGCTCATTTTTGTGCTGCGGCTACTGTAGTAACACCTGCGCCTAAATAGTTATTGCTTATAATACCCTGGGCTGTCAGGACGTGCAGTAAATGAGAGGCAGTACAGTATCTTTCACCTTTTCTAGCCTAATTCACTCCTCCATCTGAACACAAGCATACTGAGTCTGATGGAGCTGCTATGTCAGCTCCCAAGGCCCTCTTCCCCCTCGGCTCATGGGACGTCTGTCATCAGCAGCTGCTGATCACCCTGCTCTGTTACATGGAGAGACACAGGAAGGAGACGGCAGCCAGAAACCACCAGGGTCTTTCCCTCCTGTGAACAGAGGAAGGCTGAAAGCTCTGACTTTGAAGATGGAGGATCAACTTGTTCCCAGATGGCAACTATAAAAAAAAAATACAGAAGTTTTCATGAGGCATGCAATGTGGCATTTCTACAAGATATTCTATTTATATCACATTACTAAATCCAGCTTCATTTTAGTGTCATTCACCCTTTAAATGATTAGAGTCACCTTTACAGTTAACAAATATTATGTAACAACTTTTCTTCTCTAATTCTAAAATATTTGTTATCTCTTACGTAATAGTAATAATGGCACATGTTTACTGAACAATACTATGTGCCTGACATTGTCCTAAGCTTACATGCATTAACTCATTCAATCCTCAAAACAACCTGTTGTTATGATGAGCCAGGATTTGAACCCAGAATCTGTCTCCACAGTCTTTGCCATACTGGGATAGATCAAAGATCAGACTCCGTTCCCCTATAGAAGTGAACCTCTTATGAAGCCACCCAAGGACTCAGAATAAAGTGGGCTATGACTATGCTTCGAAATGTCTCAGGATAGATGGGAAAATCTCCAGGGTTGTATATGTGTCATAACTGCTTTACCTTACCTGCAAAAGTCTTTTGTCTAACCAAAGTATGGTTGGCTCTGAGGGAAGATATCATCAGTGATTTTCAAAAACAGAAATGGCCCCATTGTGATTTTTTTAGGTTTAAAATGCTCTTGGTAAATTCTCTAGGGTACAGTCCCATCCTCTATATCCCTGTATGGTGCCCAAAGAGCTGATGATCACCCTCTTCAAAACGTTATCAGCTACACTGGAGGTTGCTTTCCATCTGTAAGTGTTCTCTCACTGGGCCCATTTGGGAGAAGCAGAGGATGACACTGCCCAACTCATTTCCCCCTGAGCCCTTAACCACTTTCACCTCCAAGAGTCAGCACCTGTGGTCTCTGTCTGAGGGCTGCCACCAAGCTGCCAAAGCCTGCTTTGCCTACAAGCAGAGAACCAGAGTGGTCCCTCCAGAGCAGTCTTTGGCCAATGACAGACAGCATAGGAGATATATCCCAGCCCCTCACTCCTCCTGGAGACAACTCTGAGATGTGATTACATTGTCTCCAGAGCTCTCCTCCAAGATGGAGCCAAAGTCTCCCATCATGGAACTGGACATAATATTGCACCCTTCTCAGCCTCCTTCCCTTCCCTGTCTTACTTCACCATCCTCTTACTGGTTTTCCTCGGATCACTTCATAATAAATCACTTTCATTGACACCAATGTCTTTGTTTTGCTTCTGGAGAACCTCATTTAAGAGTGGAGACTGGCATGTAGTGAACTGAAGGTGACGCAGGACATCCAGAATGTCCCTCTGAAGTCCCACCTCCTTGTGTGGTCTAAACAAACATCTCAGGTCATTAACACTCCTGCTCTGCACAAGGGAAATCTTGGTCCCTTGGCACAAAGGGAATGTTATGATCCATTAACACTGTGATTGTCATCCCTGAGCTACTCCTCAAAAATTTTTTAAAAATACAGAGGTCAAGTTATTGTGAGAGAGATGGCCAGAGTGTCCTCACACAATATAACTGAATGAAACCTCTTAATGAGAAAACTCTGAATGGATGCCCCAATAATTGTGGCTTCAACAACAAAAAATCACAATGGATTCAATGGCTCAAAACGCTGGCAGCCTGGGAACCAAACAGATGCCTATGCTAAATAACTGTGTTCTCAAGTCTAGGAGGAGGACAGAGGCCTAGAACGGATAGGAGACCAGCCGAAGTCTCTCATTTCATGGTCTTGGTTCCTGTGAGTAAAATGCTCTTGTTAAACATTTCTCACAGTAGCTTTAAACTTTAATTACATACTCTACCAAAACAAGTATCAAAATCTCTACAAAGATTCTTTTTTATTTTTTATAATGAAGTATTTATTAGTGTGTCTCTTTGGAATAGATTTTCCCATTCCGGGCCTGAAAAGAAATTCCATATAGAAATCATTCTCAAAACACTTTTTAAATTCTTAAGAGTTTGTCCTTCTTTCTCATCTCATGCAATGACTTGTTAATGAGGAATAATTAAAATAGATTATTGTTAATAAGGTGAGAGGGGACACATTGCATTTCAAAAATACTTTTAAATATAAAACCTTCAAGTACACCAATGTCTGTAATAAAGAAATTAAGGTCTAGTACATTTCAATCAATGGGGTAGCAACAAAAGATTTGCTTCATGCAATAGGTCAGCCTAACTGAACAGAGAGAATTATGATCTGTTAATATCAACGTGAACCAGACAAAACACCATCCCTCTTATATGTATGTGACTATGATAGTTCTGCATTTCTTTCCATCCTGGATTCTCAGCACTCAGTTCTATGATCCAAGGACTTTGAGATTCCCCCAAAATGTCCCAGAGCAGATTTCATGAGTTGTTCAACTGGAAACAGCCAGCAGCTTCAGGTTAGAACGTCATTTTGGTTGACCTGAGAGGAAATCCGCCCCCAGTAAAACCAGGACCATTTGGTTTGACCATTAAGAAGGTGTTATCCATGGGTGCTGTGTCCTTGTTTCTGTAAGAGAGGAGGTGAAAGTTAGCTTCCTTAACATCCTTTTTGTCTAAGTTTGACATTTGATAATCCTAGGGTGTGTTAGCCACTGAAAACTACTTTGATTACAGCTTCTAGTTTTAGACAAGGTAGTTGTTTAAATCTAATTAGGTGTTCACTGAAAAAAACATAAAATTAGGGCAAGACAATTAAATGCAAAATATGCTCTCCTAATGTTTATTTAAATATGAACAGAAGACCTCATTATAACTCAAGCACTATGTATTTGGTGACTTCTGACTTGGAATCATCTTCCTGTTTTATAAAACATTTGTTTAGCTCCAAAGATCAGTCAGAAGAATCTTTTTCTTGGCTCAATTATAATGACTAATTCATCATTTATCAACTTTTATATTGCAAAGTTCTGGTAGAAACTTATAAATATTTACTACACAGAAGGTATCTTCATCAAACTTGGACATTTATAAAACACAAATTTTCCTGT
The DNA here is from genome assembly GCF_000001405.40 of Homo sapiens. Taxonomy (NCBI): domain Eukaryota; kingdom Metazoa; phylum Chordata; class Mammalia; order Primates; family Hominidae; genus Homo; species Homo sapiens. The sequence goes on along the minus strand of NC_000010.11, from coordinate 104,453,940 downwards.
AACCCTAGACAAGCAACCATTATTACTAGAAATAGTTGAAGATACAAGAAAAGCTGGGGAAGATAAATAGTATTTTTGGCAATGGATGAGGGAATTCTGCCCTAAAATCAACAATGTAACTTCTATATAGATGTCCTTTAAATACACACACACACACACACACACACACACACACACACTCATATTCATGTTTCCTGCAGAAGTAACCTAGATCTACACAAGTTATCATACAGTTGGGGTCTTAAAGAAAACACCTTTGGAAACCCTGTTAAACAATAAAAATTAAGCAAACTGCTAAGACCAAAACCAATTAGATTGGACAATTATGAATGACTCACCCTAGGGGAACAAACTGTCTTTTGGAAAAGAATCTGGTACTGCAGACTGTAGATCAGCCTGGGGATGTGGAGTAGGGTAGACAGGGGAAGTGGCAGATGCAGTTTGGGATCACAGTGTGAGCAGAGGGGTGATTAAGAAAAACAAAAGAAGGTAAAAGGTACAAAATGATAAGAGTTGCTATTTTGTTAAGGGCATATGTGGAGAGAACATCCACAGAGATTATTCTAAATTATTCCATTGGGAGAGAACCTGTAGAGGATTGGTAACCAACCCATCTGTCTCTCAGCAGAATTGATTTCATTATGGTGAAAAACCATTCTCCATAAATAGGACAAAAGCTTTAGCCTTGAGTGGATCCAGCAAAACAAATTCTTTCTTGTACTTTGGCAACTCGTCTGGCTCTTGACTGGTGTTAGAGGCGGCATCACTCCCCCTCCCCCTGCCCTCTCTCACCTTAAATAACCTGAATTTTCTTTTCCTGAAGGAGCTTACGCTTAATGCTTCTGGCTTGGTCTAAGCTGACTAATGGGAATACTGTCTCCTTTATATTATCTTTTTAATGTATTTATAGACCATTATAATGACTCCCTCAGCCTTCTTCTTTCCAGTCTATACCATCTCAGCACTTTTGTTCTTGCCTCTTCATATTTTTTTCTTCAGCATCTTTTTTGCTATTCTCCTATGAACTAATCTCTGTCTACCAGTTTATGGATCCCCACGTAGATGGAACCACCAAAGGAACCCTAACTAGGTCAGAGTGGCTACTAGTAATAAGCGTGTAAGGACAAGAAGAGGACAGGTAAAGGCAAAGATTCTAGAGCTTTCTAGAACTTTCTAGGACTGCCCAATTGAACTTTCTGTTATACCCAGCCACTAGCCACATGTGGCTGTTAAAGCACTTGAAATGTGACTAGTGAGACTGAGGAACTGATTTCACAGTAATTTGTTTAAATCTCATTGGCCACAAGTGGCACACTGCTGAGCAGCACAGTGCTAGTGGATGGACCCATCAAGAAGGGCTGAGCCAATATCTGGACAGCTCATGCTCTCTGTGTCCATCAAACTTTGGGGCAGGAGAGGGAGCAAGATTAGCAGTCAGTAATGTCAAAGAAGACTAGGCCAAACCCCAGGGTCAAGGCAAGAAAATTAATCAGCTCTAGAAAGATAATAAACAGCCAAGCTAGCTGTTTATAACAGTGTAAACTAGACCATCAGTCTCCAAATGGAGTGTACGAACTTTAAAAAATGAATGAGATGATCCATTGTGGGTAGAAAGAAGATATTATTCTATTAATTTTATTAATTGATTATTTTCTTTCATTTCTATTCTATTAATTTATTATTTCTTACTATTTTATGTATCTATTAATAAATCTATTAATACTTTTATCTTTAAAATTTAAAAATTATGCCTAAGAGTTACAAACTGGCAATGGTATCTGCATATAATTTATAAATTAAAATACATTGCAGGTAAATCTAAAACTATTCTGAAATTTTTAAATTATTTAAAAGATATATGCATATGCATGAGGGGATCTGCAAGTTCAAAAACGTTTTACTGGCAGGGCACAGTGGCTCATGCCTGTAATCCCAGCACTTTGGGAGGCCAAGGCCAGCAGATCACTTGGGGCCAGGAATTCGAGACCAGCCTGGCCAACATGACAAAACACTGTCTCTACTAAAAATACAAAAAAAAAAAAAAATTAGCTGGGCATGTTGGTGCATGCTTGTCATCCCAGCTATTTGGGAGGCTGAGACATGAGAATGGCTTCAACCCCGGAGACAGAGTGAGCCAAGATGGTGCCACTGCACTCCAGCCTGGGTGACACAGTAAGACTCTGTCTCAAAAAAAGAGTTTTACTGATAAGGGTGCACAATCAAAGAGCTTGAAGACCATTGAGTTAGACACCTGCTTCATGTGGAAATTAACCATGTTGACATTTTATGAGCACAACCTTGATATCCTAAAAGAAAAATACAGTGTTTCCACTCCAGCATTCATTTAATTTACATTGTTAATATTAGTGGTTCTGAAGCTTCACTGTGCATGAAAATCACCTGAGAAGCTTATTAAATTGCAGGTTTCCAGAGCCTGCTGAATCCAAGTATCTGGAAATATGGCCTGGGAACCTGTATGTTTAATAAATCTCACTAGTGATTCCGAACCAGACAGATAGCTGGTAGACCTACACATTAAGATGGACTTATCTAAATTATAGCAGTATTTTACTCTACCATGGAACTGGCATCTAAATGTGGAACGGGGGAGTATTCTGATTTACAAGAAGGGCAGACTTTTACTGGCAAATGAATTTGCATCCAGTTACCTTATATAACTTTGCTACTAACAAATCATAGGCAAATGCACTCAAGCCATATTTCACCATGTCCCTGAAATGTCCATGTGGATAAGTACCAAGCATGAATTTCAGCCCATAACGTGAGTCACTACAAGATTAACTGGATGATTTTGGCAATGTCACGCAGCCAAACCAAGTTTCAAAACTAGTTCGTTTCAAACCTGATTCATTTGGGCCCCGATTTTCACCCTGGGATCAGGCAAATAATACTAACAATGTGAAGAGAAATTTTGTTTTTCAACATGGGAGCATCCTGAAACCAAAATGTTAACCTCACCTCTTCATTATCATCTCCTAGAAGAATAGGTCACATCAACCCTCCACAGCAGATGCTGAAGTCAGTCACTAGACATAGAAGATGGTTCAGAGATAATAACTATCTAAAAACCTAGGCAGGCAGGACACCATGGCTCACCCTGTAATCTCAACATTTTGGGAGGCTGAGGCAGGAGGACTGTTTGAGGCCAGGAGTTCAAGACCAGCCTGGGCAACATACCAAGACCCTGTTGCTACAAAAAAAAATCAAAAATAAATAAATAAATAAATAAATAAATAAATAAATAAATAAAACATAGGTGAACTGCTAGTAGTTATAGTGGTACAGGGGCATCATTAGAAAGAACAGCTTTACTAAGCCCTGGTCCCTTAGCAAAAGCACATGTGGTTTTAAATGTGAATATGCTGTACAAGGCTGATTTTGAAACTCATTTGCAAACATAGTTATGACATTATTATCTCCAAACCATAGACTAGTGTGGGGAGAAAAGTCATATTACATTTCCTCTGCTCCATGGTAGATCCACCAATGAGCAGATATTAATGGATCCCTGTTAGAATCCCAAGGAGGGGACTCAGTATCAGATGAGACACTGATCTTGCTCTGATACAAACTTAGTGACCTGTAGAATGTCATTTGTTTACCCTGTGATTTAGTTTACCCCAGTGAAACTTGCAACTCTGTGACTGTTCACCAAATATTTTCTTATGTGCAGATAATAGGCACAACAAAATTAGGACGTTTGACTAATTCTTACTTTTGAAGTTGTTCTTTACGTTTCTGAGCGAGGTATTTCTTCTTTAAATTCTGGAGCTCATTGGTAAGTTTCTCTACCTCATATTTATATTCTTTGCTCTGTACTTCATACATATTCAATTCTGAAGACAAAACCTAACATGGCAAATAAAGCAGCATTAACAAAAGATACAATATCCTTTTCTGAGAAATCTTTTAATCTGCTACCATTTACCGCAGTGGAGCTAGAGGTGCAAAACAATGCCCAAGTTTCACAATTAATCTGCATGCTTCCACCAGCTCAGGGTCCACATCTGAGTAGAAACCTGGCTGAGGGCTGAAGATGCATCACTAGGTTGCAACTTTAAACAAAATATCATTCCCCCACTTAAAACAAGAACTATTAGACAACATTCGAACAGGCTCACAGATGAATGGTCTAATGTGCTTCAAGGAATATCATGAATAGAGACAGAAAACTCCCAGACACACAGTCTAAAATTGCTTTTAAAGCCTTAAAAAAAAAGAAAATATTCAAGAAAAACATCACCAGAGTGTGTGATTCATCTGAGGATTATGAAAAAAATTATTCTGAAGTCATCCTGCCATCACTGCTAACTAAGCATTCAATTTATGTGTTTTCCAGGGTTGTGATGCTGCTGAATGCCTATCCCCTCTTTACTGTGTTCTTCGGGACTCTTCAAAGCCTGACTATCTGCTTCCTTCCATTGCTGTGTTCGGTAGCTGCTGCTGGGCTTGGGCTGGACAAGAAGAGTGGGAATTCACTCATCTGCATAGGACATAGCGCATGCCAAAGCTGGGGTGTGCTCCCCACCAAAACCAAAAAGAGAAAAGGAAGGGTATTGTTCTAACAGGCATGCAATAGGCTGGATTTATTTTTCCTCTTGCTTGTTGTTTTAAATATTTGCATAAAAGGGAGATCTTAGCCTTCTTAGTGTTCATCTGCTTCTGAACTCTTTCTTCTTCACTGCTGTGAAAATGATTTTGATTAGGTTATCATGGGCTAAAGAACGTAATTTTCATGCTGGAAAAAAAAAAAAAAAACCTGTCTCAGTAGTTAAACTTTTAGAAACAAAGACCCTCCTTCTAAACAATGAATGTGGAATTTCCTATAAGAGTAGGTAAGTATCAAGGACAAACTGGCAGACATGCTCAGTACCACCCACCTCTAAACCTCTTCATGAGGGGTCACATTTCATTTGAGCAAAAAATCTGGATTTCCTGAGATAAAGGGTTAAATTCACAAAAGGCTCCTGTGAGCCTTTGAAGGCAACCCGGAGCTCTGTGTGAATAAGACAGCTCTGTGCTTTTCTAATCTATATCTACCTCTGAGAAAACAAGAAAATAATTTGTTTTGTTCAAAATATTCAATTGTTTAAAGGAACAAAATAATCAAAAGATTACGTCCTATGCAAAATTCAAATTATGTCTCAAGATACTCAAGTGAAATGAACATTCAGAGTGACAAATTGAAAATTAATGCTCTAATTAGACTTGTTTCATTTGCCCTTTTAAAATAAAAGGATGCAGTTTTACAATGTCCTATTTTTGAAGGGGTTAGGGCTATACTAGTAGGGTGGCATATATTTTACCCCAGGCAGAAAGTCAACGATTATTACCCTCATTGGGCAGGAAGTGCCAGAATTCAACTGGCACATGCTTCATCCTGTGGCTGTGTGTGTAAAACTTCCCTGATATGCCAAGAATAGCTAAGTACTTGCTTAGAAGGTGAAGCTCAAAATATAGTGTGAACATGCACAACTTTTGAGAAAACTTTCAAAAGGCACATAGAAAAGTAAAACACTCCATATCTCTGCAACTGAGGGTCTTATGTGACTTAGAAGGGAATCACACTATCAAAAAATCTTGCCTGATTTTATTTCCCTTTCATGGTTACATATTTGACAGCTGGTCAGGAAGCAAGGCCCTCAGGGCTGGGCAGTGGCTGGACTTCTTCTGTGTATGTTTATTTCAGATGGGATGGAATACCAGGGACCCACTGTGGCACGGCAGTCTGCTTCAGTTGGTCAATGGTGTTAAAATATTTCCTTTGCTCCTCCCTGCCCTTCAAGTACTCTAATAAATCATCTCAAGATCATTCATCCAAACCCTGTCCGCACATCTCCATTCTGTTGTCATCATCTTTTCCTCCCTTGCTCACCTGCCTCTTTCTGGAAATGGAGAATGGTGCTGTCTAATAGTCCAGGAAGAGAAGGATAGCTCTGAGGTCTGCTGGCTCATCCTAGACTAGAGCTCTAAGGGAGCTGACCTCAGAGGATCGTGGCATTGAGAGACTGGCTCATTGTGTGGAGTCAGTGGACTTGTCCAGGTGTGCTCCCCAGAGTGTGGCTGCCCTGGAACCCGGAAGGAACAGGGGCTACCACTTACTTTCAGCTGCTGCTTCTTGTCATGCAGCGTGCGTCGGTACAGCTTCAGCTGTTCCGCAGCCTCAGGTCCAGGCTGGCGGGCCAAGACGTGCTTTAGTTCCATGTAGAGTTTCTCCTTTTCCTAGTGGAGAGCAGAACCAGGAGCAGAGATAAACAGCCCCGTCAAAACAGGGAAAATGCCTTTCACTGCATGGCCAGCACAATTTGGGAGTGGCCCAAGCTACTTCACAGCTCCACAGTGATCACATTCACTCACAGATTCATTCAGTCATGCATTGAAACAATCCTTATGAAGGGCTGGGAATGTCCCCAACATTTGGATACAAGTAATAAGACAATGAGTAAGAGAAAGTTCCTCTCTACCTGAACATAAGATCACAAGGACTGGGAGACAAGGGCAGGATACAAGATCTTGCCAAGAAAAGGAGGGAGTGACTGACTCTGGTTGGAGGAGTTGGTTGCAGGAGGAAGTAAAAAAGAGAGTTTTTCAAGAAATATAATAGCCTGGTGCAGTAGCTCGTGCCTGTGATTCCAGCACATTGGGAGGCTGAGGCAGGAGGGTCGCTTGAGGCCAGGAGTTCAAGATGAACATGGGCAACATAGTGAGACCCCGGTTCTATTTAAAAAAAAAAAGAGAGAGGAAAAAAAGAAAAATACAAAAATTAGCCAGACATTTTGGTGCATGCCTGTAGTCCCAGCTACTTAGGAGGCTGAGGTGAGAAGATCATTTGAGCCCAGGAGATCGAGGGAGCAATGAGCTGTGCACCACTGCACTCCAGGCCCCATCTGAAAAAAAAAAGAAAAGAAATATGATGGCATGGGAAGAAAAGAAATCTGAAAATGTCTTGAGGGAAGAGGTAAATATCCAAGGAAACTTGGGTATGCATATTTGTAGACCTAAAAGAAAGGATTTTCTAGAAACCCTAAGCAAATGATAATTCTGTAACTTTATTTAAACAATAAACAATATGAAATCCTCATTTGAATCCTAGAGTTTAATTGCTTGTAAAGTGTTTTCCGACCCTTGAACTAAAGAAATTACATATAAGCAAAGATTTATTTCTAAAGCATCTCAATTCTAGATTTCCAAATCACTAAACTGCAATAATTTGAATAAACATTGATAAAGTCTAGTGTGTCTACTCATCAGTCTCTGTACACATTTATTTCCTTAAGATAATTGTGGTAAGCACAAGCCCTGTCATTAAATGAAACATTCAGTCAAATGGATATTAATTTTTACCTACAGCTAAGTATTCTTAGTATTGTTATCAAATAATCTGCTTTTAGCAGAAAATATAAAAGTCATAAAAAATCAGGTGAAAGAAAAATCATTAACTAGTCATTGTTACCATTTGTTTCAGTTTTTCCTTTTCCCTGGCCAAATTATTGAAACTCCATTACAAAAACATAGCTCTATTTATAGAAGAGTGTATGCAACTTAAAAAGTATTTGGATGGAATAAGCTCTGGGAAAAACACATATGAAAAAAATACTCACCATTTAAGAAATAATTCCAGAAATGACAAGGAAATCCAAAAGCCCGTGCCAAAGAAGAGAACTTGAACAAATCAAATTACAAAGTGATGATCTTCCCTTGCTGTACAACACCTCCTGTCACACCTTACAATATAATCTTGAGAAAGATATCAGGAGGTGAGTTTATTTTCTAGAGACACTTAACACCTACTCTGTTGGGAAAATAACACTTCTGACAAGGCTTCAAGATTCAATTTGGAGAGGGTAATAAATATGTGGAGAAGTCCATGAAACAGTTTTGTCCATTTCTTTCAGCTCACCTTTCTCTATACCAGAGTACAGATAGACTTGCAAAGGAAAGAACCTCACAATGACAGAGAGAAAGCAATCTGGTTTGGAATATAATAATGTCTTAAACTGAAAAGACCATCTTACTCCAAGCATCTTGAAATGTTTCACAGGTGTAATTCTCTTCAATTACTCTTGGTAGGTTGAGAGGAGAAAGACACAGAGAAGAAAGTTTGAAAGAAACAAAATATTGTCACCTCACCACATAGGTGAGGATCTCAGCATCAGCAGGAATTAATGGTGCCTCCACAGTCCATTGGCAAGTCAAAAACCTAGTGATGATATACCCCAAGAATCACCTTTCCTGTGCAAAACTTCCCCTGGGGCTCAAAGACATGGTATCACCCTGAAAATATTTGGGCAAAATTGAGCTACAAAATTCCATCTACATGATATCATGGATAGAAGAATCAAGCCAGAAAGTGGAATCAGGTTCAAAGCCACATTAGAGAGTAATGATGGTAAGAGCATGACTCACCTCCTCCATCTCCCCATCTACACCATCTGAATAAGCCCTGCCATGTCCTCTAATAGAAAGTACAGTGTTCTGACACAGAGTGAATGATGTTGTCATTTATCCTGTCTTCTTCGTCACTTCCAATATTTTGTTTCTTTCCTTTTTGTTCTTTTGGTTTGTTTTTTGTTGTTGTTGTTGTTTTTTTTTTTTTTGAGACCGGGTCTCACTCTGTCACGCAGGCTGGAGTACAGTGGCACAATCATATCTCACTGCAGCCTCAACCTCCTGGACTCAAGCAATCTTCTCACCTCAGCCTCCCAAGTAGCTGGGACTATAGGCATGCACCACCATGCTTGGCTAATTTTTGTACTTTCTGTAGAGGCGGGGTCTCGCTATGTTGCCCAGGCTGGTCTCCAACTCCTGGGCTCATTTTATCCACTCACCTCAGCCTCCCAAAGTGCTGTGATTACAGGCCTGAGCCACCACATCCAGCCTAGTATTTCTTTCTAGGCTTTAACCTTAATTGAAATGGATTTATTATAAAGAATAGCTGAGCAACTGAACTGTGAGGGCCCACAAGTATGGAGAAAAGTGAAGAAACTGAATTACCACTAAAGCTGTCTGGGTAGTCAAAGTCAAAAAGTTCTGAGAATTAAATAACCCAGGGCAAGTGAGCCCTGTGTGTTCATGGTGGGTAGAAGAAATAACAAATGAAACTTCAGGGACTAAGATAGTGGAATACATGAAGAGCAGAGGCAAATGGAATGGGGGCAGTTGTTGGAATGTGTATTGCCCGGCTTCACTGTGCGTGAATTTTGGTCAATGCTTACAGTGGAAAACCTGTCTGATAAAGCAAAGTCTGGTCAGCATTAACATTCTAGCCTTGTGTATCATACAGACTCATATTTTTGGAGAATGTGCTAGTAATTTAGATAAATATGAAATGTTTGATGGATTGAAGGTCTTCAGTACATTGTCTTCCAATTTATTTCTCTCGTAATCCTCTACAAGGGCCAACCAAGCTCTTCAAACATTGTGCAATGGTGTGTATAATAACCCCATTTAGAGACAAAGCGTGCAATTCTATTATAAAGAGAATCTATCTTATGCAACAGAGACTCATTAGCTGTCCAATGTATATTGTCTCCATAAGCCAGCAGTGGCAGAACCAGCTGCCTTATAATACATATCCTGTCCTTCTTTACTAAGCCACATCCATTTCTCTTTAGTCAATTAATTTGTCACTTGGTTAGAAGCACCATATGTCAATGAAACATCATAAGAATATCATAAAGAGGATATTATTTCCCCACCAACAAAAGATTGCATCTTCAGTTTGGCATTTCTTTTATTCCGAGTTTTCTGGTGATGCACAGCAATATCGCTTTGTAGCATGCCTCACTATTTTATGAACAGCTGTACTGGAATCAAGCTCAACTACTAATACCAAAATACTAGCTTTCTCTTTGGCTAAGCATGTCTTGAGAGCACTAACCATACTATGTCCATCCTTGAAATGATAGCCTCTTCCTAGACATCCTGTTCTCTCCGTTGGACAGGCCATCAGATGTGATTATGAATTCTTTTGCTGTGAAGAATCTGCCAAGTTATGCTGGGTAATCACACATCTCATTGTCAATATCAGCTAAGTATGGTAGTAAGAAATTAATTACAGTATTAGCTTCCAGTAATGCTGTTATTACATGGTGGCAGTCTGTAACCTCACAATGGAAATTCCAGACATATTCTGAACAGCCTATGCAAATAAGAGTCAGTGCTACTCCAGGTACAATTCAGAGGGAGAAATTGAGTTTCTCACAGAACTCCTTTCCCCACCAAGCTACAGTTTTATAATCACTGTCTGTTTATATCTTCAGCTGAAAACAGAAGGTAGTTCACATTCAACATGCACCTCAGCACCCCTTCTTCCTCAGCTCGCATACACGAAGCAATAACTGACTGAGAGGAACTAATTTATTCCATTTTCATCTGAATCTGTATTTGGCAAATGCCAGTGCATTGATTCTGCTCACCCTGGAGTCATCAATTTGCTTGGGTGAGAGTTGGGAAGAATCACCTCACTCTGTGAACAAGCTGACTCAAGCGAAACAGGCAGCTTTCCTCCAGACCAAAGACACATGCTTATCTACACCTACCAGGGCAAAAGCTACCCACTCAGATGCTTGAGTGCCAAGAACTCCAAGGAAAGAGATTCCATCTTGCCTTCACTCCAGCCTTACCCAATGGGTTCAAGATAATGTTGATTTTTTTTATTCAATAACCACTGCTTCTGAGAGAAGCTACTTCACAGAATACACAGAAAATCTCTTTCTCAAAATGTCAACAGATATCATGTTACTACCAACAATATTTTATCTTTATAAACCCATTATTTCTCTCCAACTGAATTTTGAGCCTTTAAGGCCAGAACCATGGTGAATCTCTCTCTATATAACTCGCACCTGCTGTTGTGCTCTCCTCATTCTATTGAGGAAGCTTAATAATTTCATTGACTGCAATTACACGGTCAGGTCAGCAAACTATGCCCATCGTATTTTACCAACATACATCAATACAGGTACAGATATATTTGTGTTGAGAACTTTTACTTGAATTAAACCATTCAATAACATCTTCCAGTTAGCAGAGCTTGCATAATTCACTTTATTGAGCTGGTCCTATGAGTTCCATCACTTCGAGCAATATTTTTTTATTATGTATGTTGTGTATAACTCAGAAAATCACTTGAGGTACAACTTTGCCTTGATCTCTTCAATATTTGTAGAGGTTTTCTGATAGTTCAAGTAGTTTCAAACATTTTTTTAATTCATAAGACTTGCAAATGTATTCAAATTAATTGGCTCTGAAAAGACTACTTGTATGTGCATGTACATACTGATACACATAAATATAAAAATGTAAGCATAACTTTTTTTTTTTTTTTTTTGAAATGGAGTCTCACTCTCTCACCTAGCCTGGAGTGCAATGGCACCATCTCGGCTCACTGCAACCTCCACCTCGCGGGTTCAAGAGATTATCCTGCCTCAGCCTCCTGAGTAGCTGGGATTACAGAGGCATGCCACCACGCCCAGCTAATTTTTGTATTTTCAGTAGAGATGGGGTTTCACCATGTTGGTCAGGCTGGTCTCGAACTCCTGACCTCGTGATCTGCCCTCCTTAGCCTCCCAAAGTGCTGGGATTACAGGCATGAGCCACTGCACCCAGCCGTAAGCATAATTCTTAAACTACATTCCTCAACTAAATAATGTGTTGACTTTTTAAACAGCCTCCTTAAACACAGAAATCCTAATTGCACACATAACTCTTTTCCAGAATTGAAAAAAAAAGGCAATACATTTTTGCCTCTGTGCTTGGTTTCAGTCCTTTTTCCATCCCCCCACTACCATCCATAATTCTTAACAAAAGACAAAAGTTACATTTAAAATTCTAAGCAAAATTACTTCCCTCTGTATATAAAAGCAACTCTAGAACACGGCCTAATTTATCTGGAAATGCCTGTTTTCATTAACAGAAAAATAAATTAGAAACTCTGTAAACATATTACATTTCTATCTAGCTTCAGAAAAGAAAAAATAATGCCTAATACCCTGGGGCTTTCTTGTTTATTGGTTTTATAACGAAGATGTCAGCTAAACTGAACTCTGGGCCTATCTTGTTTATGATGTCATGAAGTAGTAAAGCCCCCTAGAGAGGACAGGAAATGCTGGCATTTGGTGATGAAACAGAATTACACAGCCGAGTTCCTTACGAGCAGGGAACTAGTCGGTTACACAGTGGTTCTTGGCTTTAGATGTAGATGAGTAAGTGTTTTATGAGGCATATGAGAAATTTGCATGCACTAACCTTCACCATTTTTGTAACAATAGGAAAAATGCTTCTGGTGCTTTCTGATGTAAGCAACACAAGCTTTCTTGAGAGATGTTTTTGCAAGGGACTTTATTTCCAAAATGCAAATATATGTATGTAAAATCTGGTACAAAGTATGTAATTCTCTAGGCTAGCCTGAACATTGTTACCAAGGCTGTTTGCTTGCTTTCCTAGCAATTTAATCCATGTGAAGAATTTGCACATATTAAAAATCATGATAGTGTTGACTTTTCTTAAAGCCAGTAATGAAACACGTCCAGAGAAATTCAAGTCAACTAAGTATTTATTTAGCAATAACTCTATGTGTGTGACTGTTCTAGGTTCACACAAAGATCAGTAAGGTCGGCTGGGTACGGTGGCTCACGCCTGTAATCCCAGCACTTTGGGAGGCCGATGCAGGCAAATCACTCGAGATCAGGAGTTTGAGACCAGCCTGGCCAACATGGCAAAATCTCATCTCTACAAAAAATACAAAAATTAGCTGGGCATGGTGGCAGGCGCCTGTAATCCCAGCTACTTGGGAGGCTGAGGCAGGAGAATCACTTGAACCTGGGAGGCAGAGGCTGCAGTGAGCCAAGATTGCTCCACTGCACTCCAGCCTGGGTGACAGAATGAGACTCTGTCCACTCCCCACCAAAAAATAATCAGTAAGGTCTAGAGTTTAGTATCCAGTTATGGAAAAACAAATAACTAAGTCATTATAAAACAAAACAGTCATGCCAGGTTCCCAAAGAGGTGCTAGGAGTACTATGCATGTGTAGGTAAGTTCAAAAGTGGAGATGATATCAATTTGGTGGGCCACGGAAAGGGAAATATTTCAGATGCATCTTGGTGGGAGAAGAAGTAGCAGTAATATTTGTATTTGTGGATCTGAAAAGGTCTTCACTATCAAAGGACAAATTGAATAGATAAAGCCACTTGAAGTTAATCCATTTTAAATAGTATCCATTGTCTCTATGACGATTAAATTTCTTAAATTTATCTGAATACCGTGGAGAAATTTGTTTGAGGGAATTTGATAGTTATTGATGTACCTCTGTTAAGCGCATAACAGACATAACTCCTCATTCCCTAGAAACATTTTCTGATTACATTTTGCCTCCTTTCCTTTGGTTTTGCTGGTTATAAATGTTTGGACTGGAGAGGGCTCAATCCTTGAAGCTAGATCATTGGATTCAAATCATAACTTGGCAAGGATAGGGAGGATGAATTACAAGGATTCAAGGATGGGTATCAGATTACCGGGAACACAGGAATGGATTCCTGACCCAACCAAATCACATTCATGTGGTTTTTTTAAAATTCAACTTAATTGGCTATTCCAAAGAATTTTTTTTTCCTATTCTTGGTGAATAGAGCCCTTCAGATGCAAAAAATAGAATTGTGTTTGGTATTTTTTGATAAAAGGAGCTAAACAAGGACCTATAGATGCATGCTAGAGCAGTCATCTCTGGAGACGTTAGCATGCGTAGACGGTAAATGTTTAAAGGGGAAGAAGAGGAGTTGTTTAAAATAGTAAATCAGTGGCCGGGCGCGGTGGCTCACGCCTGTAATCCCAGCACTTTGGGAGGCCCAGGCGGGTGGATCACGAGGTCAGGAGATCGAGGCCATCCTGGCTAACACGGTGAAACCCCGTCTCTACTAAAAAAGATACAAAAAATTAGCCGGGCCTGGTGGCGGGCGCCTGTAGTCCCAGCTACTCAGGAGGCTGAAGCAGGAGAATGGCGTGAACCCGGAAGGCGGAGCTTGCAGTGAGCCGAGATCGCGCCACTGCACTCCAGCCTGGGCCACAGAGCGAGACTCCGTCTCAAAAAAAAAATAGTAAATCAGTAAGTCACTTCCAAATTTAAAGAAAATTGGAGTTGAAGAATAAGTAGGTTTCCAATTAGCTTTTGCTATTTTTCTTTGAAAATATGTTGTTGTTGTTGTTGTTGTTGTTGTTAAGACAGAGTCTCACTCTGTTATCCAGGCTGGATTGCAGTCGCACAATCACAACTCATTGCAGCCCTGACCTCCTGGGCTCAAGCAATCCTCCTACTTCAGCCTCCCAAAATGAAATGAAATAAAATGCTGTCCAATTTTCAAAATAAACAATAAAATAAAAGTTTCAGTGAGATTTTTTCCTTGAAAAACTGATCTAATACTCATAAGTTTTTTGTCTTATAATTAACAAATTTTACATTTTAATTGTAATAATGTGCTACTTATTAGAACAAATAACCAGTAAACCCCAATTAAAATGACTGGGGTTTTTTGACATAACTGACAACATTATATTATAGTATAATTTGATTTCATATATCTGACTACTATAGTGCACATTTTCTTAAATTTTTATTATGTAAAAATCATACAAAAGAAAATACATAGCATATATAGCTATAAAGCATGATAATAAATGCTCAGGGTAAACCCATCACCCAACTTATGAAATAGAATATTCTCATTACCAGGAAGCTACTGCGTACTCCCTTCCCCAACCCACCCCTGTGCTTACAACCATCATCCAAGGTAAGCACCATTCTGAAACCCATTATCATAATTGCCTTGATTTTTCCATATAGTTTTATCACATATCTGTTACTTAGTTTTGCTTTGAGCTTTATGAAAATATATCTGAGTGTATCTAGTTTTCTTTGGCTTGCTTGTTTTCCTCAATAATATGGTTCTAAGATTTATTGAACCATAAATCTTATGGTTATTGTGTGTTTCTGTTCATGTAGTTGATTTGATATTCCACTGGGTAAGAATTCCCAATCTCTGCATTCACCTGTCAGTGGGTATTTGGGTTATTTCCCAGGTTTTGTTTTTATGAACATTCTTGTGCATGTTCCCAAGTTCACAAGTCCAAGTCTTTCTAGGATATAGACCTATGAGTGGAAGTGCTGCATCTTAAAGCTATATGAACATTCAACTTTTTAAGGTAATAGAAAATTATTTTCCAAAGTGCTTTATAAAAATTCCCATTGATGGGCCGGGCGCGGTGGCTCACGCCTGTAATCCCAGCACTTTGGGAGGCCGAGGTGGGTGGATCATGAGGTCAGGGGATCGAGACCATCCTGGCTAACAAGGTGAAACCCCGTCTCTACTAAAAATACAAAAAATTAGCCGGGCGCTGTGGCGGGCGCCTGTAGTCCCAGCTACTCGGGAGGCTGAGGCAGGAGAATGGCGTGAACCCGGGAAGCGGAGCTGGCAGTGAGCCGAGATTGCGCCACTGCAGTCCGCAGTCTGGCCTGGGCGACAGAGCGAGACTCCGTCTCAAAAAAAAAAAACAAAAAAAAAAAACAAAAAAAAAAAACAAAAAACAAAAAACAAAAAAACAATAAAAATTCCCATTGATTTGCATACTTGCCATTGCTGAGTGTTGTTAGGCATTCCTAAGCAAAGGACCCAGTTAAGCCATACCCAGACTCCCAACCCACTGAAGTTATGAGATAATGTGTGTTGTTTTAAGCTGTGAAATTCATGGTCATTTGTAATGGAGCAATAGATAACTAATACAGACATGTTAACTTTTGTCCTTCTAGAAACAGTAAAATGGCATCTCAATGTTATCATATGTCCCATCAAATGTTCCATTTCCCTCCTTATAAAATAAGGTTGAGTTATTTTCTCCCCAAGTTTATCCATTTGTGTTTCCTCCTCTGAGAAATGCCTGTTCACATATAGTATTTTTTTTTACTGATTTGTAATTATTTATATATTCTGGATATAGAAAGATATATAAAGTTTGTGCTCTTATGATTTCTCTTGGGGAGCAGATACTCTTAATTTTAACGTAGCAAGATTTATACATATTTCTTTTATGGTTAATGTTTTTTGTATTTTATTTAAATACTCTGACCAAGTATTTTTAAAATATTTCTGTTAGCAGTAATATTTAAAAGCTTCATTAATTTCTTCCAAATTCCCTCTTAATCCTTTGATATTTAAAACATTCTTTTTTGAAGTGCCTATACTTATACTTGTTCAATTTTCTCTTTTTCCACTAGATCCTAATTTAGATCATTGCCTTTGTACATGATTCCAGCATTTTTCTATTATCATTTTTCTAATATCATGAAGTTGCATTGACTTCATGGTATCTAACATCTTTTGCAAAGTTTAGTTTTATTTTACAGTTACCTTGCATCATATTTGCATTGTGCTGTTGGGTATTAAAAATATTAAACAATTCTACTGAAACGGACCAATGATGTCAGAATGGGCAGGGGTTAGTCATATGATGCTGGAGGGATGTCTGAGTAAGGAATAGTCACATAAATGGCAAGCTCGTTTGTTAATATTTTTATGTTACAACAACCTTTACTTTCCTGCACAATCTCACATTTGAGAGAATTGGACTAAAAATACTAGAAAGGAGTAATAGAAGCAGTAGCAGCAGCTCTCACTTTTAGATCAGGTATTAAGAATATGCCAGACATGGTGCTAAGCTCAGCACATGTGTTACTTAATAAATCCACACAACAAACCTGTGAGCTGATTGTTGTTATCCCTATTTTCCAGATGAGGAAGTTGAGGTTCAGAAGTGTCAGTGACTTGCCCAAATAAAACAACTAGAAAGTGTTAGAGCCAAGATTTGAACTTATATGAAATAGAACATTTCAATGACTGAGATAGAAATGGATATATATAATCTCCTTGCTCTTAACCACTATGCATATTATTTATAGCAAATGGAGAGTAAGAGAAGAGAACAATACAATCAAAGTCATAAAGGTGAAGAAGTGAGAGCTTAAAAGCATCCAGTAAGTAGTTCAATTTGGCTAGAGCCTGCAGCGTGTGCAAGGGACTCTACGCCAGGGACTGCCTTACCAGCCTAGAAAGGAGGTACTATATATGCCTTCAATGACAGGCAGGTGAGTTTGTTTTCAATATGATAGGCAGTTAGAAGCTGATATAGTTTCGATATTTGTCCCTGACCCAATCTCACATTGAAATGTAATCCCCAATACTGGAGGTGGGTCCTGGTGGGAGGTGCTTGGGTCCTGGTGGTGGATCCCTCATGGCTTGGTGCTGTCCTTGCAAGAATGAGTACTAGTGAGATCTGGTTGTTTAGGTGTGTGGCACCTTCCCTCCCACTCTCTCCTGTTCCTGCTTTCATTATGTGCGGTGCCTACTCCCGCTTCACCTTCCACCATAAGAAAAAGCTCGCTGAGGCCTCCCCAGAAGCTGAGCAGATGCCAGCGCCATGCTTCCTGGACAGTCTACAGAACGATGAGCCACTTAAAACTCTTGTCTTTATAAATTACCGAGTCTTGGGTATTTCTTCATAGCAATGCAAGAACAGCCTAACACAGAAGCTACTGAGGGCTTCTTGGTGTATAACAGATTATTGTTCTACTAATAAAAATGTTATTCTATTGTATCGTATATACATACACTACTCTAATAAATTATTTACATTATAAAACATATATAAAACAGAACATTTCAAAGATTGAGATTAAAATGTACATATGTGCAGAAATTCTAATATTTCTTACAGCACTCAGTGTTTAAGTGTTCCACTTCAGAGAACTGGCTTAAGATCATAGAGAGGACCTGAATCAGAATAGTGCCTGGGGGGAAAAAAGAGGTTGGAAGCAGATGCAAGAGCATATGGAGATGGAATTACATGATCAGTGACTGCCTGGAACATGGGTGGGAGGAGTCGGAAATGACTCTGGCACGTCAAGCCTCTGGGAGCCTGGAAAAGCTGCCACACCATGAATGTGCATACCCATGCCAGGGAAGGAGCAGGCTTCAGGCAGAAGATGGTAAGTTCAATTTTAAAGAGTCAACAGGGCATCCTTTTGACAAATAAGTTTTAAGAAATATAAGCCCAGAATGCAGAAGAATCTATATAAGACATCTCGACTTTATCTACATACCAGTGATAATTGAAGCCTTAATAAAGAATGAAATCCTTGAGAGTGAAAGCAGTAAAAGCAATGTTCAAGAATATGCTCTGGAGAATGGTTAACATTCTAGGGAACAGGAGAAATGAAAAAAGACCAAGAAAGAAGAGTCAACAAGGGAGGAGAATCTGCAAACTTCTGAGCCCGAAAAGATGAGAGAGGAGGCAAATGTGAGTGTGTTTGATGCCATCAAATGTGGTTGAGGCTAAAAAGGACAAGGGTTGCAGTCTGTTGGAATTGTTAACTCATCTGTTTATTTATGTCAGAGACAGGGTCTCACTCTGTCACCCAGGCTGGAGTGCTGTGGCACAATCTTGGCTCACTACAACCTCCACCTCCCGGGTTCAAGAGATTCTCCTGCCTCAGCCTCCCAAGTAGCTGAATACAGGCACACACCACCATGCCCGGCTAATATTTTTGTATTTTTGGTAGAGATGGGGTTTTGCCATGCTGGCCAGGCTGGTCTTGAACTCCTGACCTCAAATGATCTGCCCGCCTCGGCCTCCCAAAGTGCTGGGATTACAGCCTTGAGCCAACATGTCCGGCCTGTTTACTTATCTATTTAAACATGAATTTATTTGACCATTCATTCATCCAACCATCTATCCACAAAACACGTGCTGATGGACAGACACATCAGGCACAGTGCTACTCTGGCATTATCATTGCTGATATCGTGGTTGTTCTCATAGTCACCAGCTACCATTTACTAACCAACTATTATATGCCAGTCACTTTTCATAAATTATATCTGATCCTTATAATAAGTCTATAAATCAGTAAGTATCTTCATTTTACAGATGAGGAAACAAGTAACCTGACCAAGGTCACAAGTCCTAGAGCTGTGTAGAAGACTCAATTCCAAAAGACCATGCTCCTTCCTAGAGACTGTGTGGGTCTCAAGGAATTTAGAGTCTAATGGGAGAGGCAGACAAGTGACTCAACAGGATGTTGTGATAAGAGCAATTCTTGACAGTTACAAGTGATATCACAAGAATCAGAGAAGGGACACTTCTGAAAAGAAAAGTCCACTGAGATTTCATCACCAGTAATGGTCTATCACTTCCCAAATGCTTGGAGGCTTCAACTCCAAAGGTCACCTGGCTGAATCCATGAGTTTCTCGCCCTGACTCTCTCTCTCTAGAATCTCTGCTTCTTGGTGATTTGTTCAAGGGTGGGATGAACCAGGCTGCATGAATGTTGGGATTCCACAGATAGATAACCTAATGGCATGTGCCATTCGAACCCACAGTCTGTGGTCCCAAAAGGGCTCATTCCTCACACCCTGTATAAACTGGCTAACTTAGGAGACCTGAGGCCTCCTACACTATGCTCATTGAAGCCTGGGATCAAGAGTCAGCCTAGACAATGAATTCTCAGCTTCCTCTCAACAACATGCCACTGAGGTAGGAAACACAAGAGAAGTTCTAGAACCATAAATAGCTAATTAGGCCTATATTATAAACAATCCCCTGGGGATTAATAAGAGAAGGCAGAAGGAATCCAGTTACCCATAAAATAGTAATTATAATAATAGCTAACATTTATTTAGCACATACTACAAGCTCTGAAAACCACTTTATAGACATTATCCATGTGGTCCTCACACATCAACTCCATTTCACAGCAGAGGAAACAGAGGCTGAGTGAGGCTAAGTAATTTGCCCAGGATCACACACTTAAAATGGCCAGGATTCCTACCCAGGCCAGTGTGACTCTAAGCCTAGAGCCACACACTCTTGGCTTCTTCCAATAGTTTGCAAAGCAAAGTATTTGAAGTCACCTGCCAAACCAGAGGGACAGCCAAGGGAGTGAGGGTTCTGGAGAGACCAGAGCAGCCGTGTAACTGTACATTGACAATGACAGCTGCATAAGGAAAGGATCTTAAGCAAATAACTTGTTAAAAAATGCAATGTAGCAATGAAAGCCCACTCAGCAAAATCTCGCTTACTTGGAACATTCTTTGGAAGAGTATGCTAAATTAAAATTTGAAAACAAGAAATATTCTGATGGAATTAAATACTCAAGTTGAAATAACCCCAAGTAATTCGAACTTTGTGATGAAATCCTAAAAAGCCTCCCAGCAATAGCTGGATCATGACATCATGGGATGGGCTCAGAGCAGAGAGGGCTCCATCCTGGCTCTGCTCCTCTTCATGTTCCCTATATGCCATCACACAAAATCACTGTCACTCCCTGATCTGAGCAGGTTCTCCTGAGGCTTCTTGCCTTGGTACTGGCCACTTATTTTTGCAGAATGCCCTTCCCCTATTTCCACCTCCACCCCTTGGCAAACAAATTCCCATCCTTCAAGACCCTGACGATCAAAGTAACTTCTCTTGGGAGGTCTTTCTAATTTCTTCAAATTAACTGCATCTTGCCTGTAATGCCGGTGCTCTGGGAGGCTAAGGTGGAAGGATCTCTTAAGGCCAGGAATTCAAGACCAGCCTGGACAACATAGCAAGATTCTACAAAAAATTCAAAAATTAGGCACATGCTGTGGCACATGCCTACAATCGTAGCTACTCAGGAGGCTGAGGCAGGTGGATGGCTTGATCCCAGAAGTTTGGAGCTGCAGTGAGCTATGATTTTACCACTGCACTCCAATCTGGGTGATGGAACGAGACCCTGTCTCAAAAAGAAAATTAACTGCATCTTTAGTGTTAAAGTTAGGTTTTTTTAACCTTGGGTTGATTTAGTCATATTCTTCATTGGTTTAGGCAAAGCCATCTTTAACCTTATAGCATAAATAACACTACAAGAAACATCCTCATCACAGACATATTGACACAAAATTCTGATTTATGTTCTCTGGATTAATCCTTCAAGTAGAATTTCTGAGTCAGAGTTTTTATATTATAAAGCCTTTAATACATACTACCATATTCTCTTCTAGAAAGTTTACATCCATTTAAACTCTACCCACAGTATATAAAAGTGCCTACTGGCCGGGCGCGGTGGCTCACGCCTGTAATCCCAACAGTTTTGGAGGCCAAGGCAGGCAGATCACAAGGTCAGGAGATAGAGACCATCCTGGCCAACATGGTAAAACCCCATCTCTACTAAAAATACAAAAATTAGCTAGGCATGGTGGCGTGTGCCTGTAGTCCCAGCTACTCAGGAGGCTGAGGCAGGAGAATTGTTTGAACCCATGAGGCGGAGAATGTAGTGGGCCAAGATCGCACCATGGCACTCTAGCCTGGTGACAGAGCGAGACTCCGTCTCAAAAAAAAAAAAAAGTGCCTATTACACCCACATTTTAACACTGAATATCATCATTCTTTTCTTGTCTTTGCTGGTCTGATAGGCCAAAAGGAAAGATAATTATTCTTTTAATTTTCACTCTTTTGATTACTAATAAGGTTACCTTATTTTCACATGTTCACTACTGATTCATATTTCTTCCTTTGTGAACTGTTTGCTTATTATCTCTACCAATTTATTCACTGATATCTTTTTCAAATTGATTTGTGAAAACTTTTTATATATTAAGGATAGTGAACTTTCTCTGCCATATTTGTTACAAATGTTATTCCTATTTTTTTTCTTTCCACCTTTGAAATGCTTTTTACTATTCTGATGATGTTTTAAACTTTTTGTGTAGACAAAGTTATCACTCTTTTCCTTTATGATTTCTGCCTTTGGTATTATACTTCCTCTACTTGTAGATACATACCCTAGAGAGATGCTCATGTATGTGTACAGGAAACTTGTACAGGGATGCCCCTGAAACACTTTTGCAATAGTGAAAATTTGAAAGAAAAAAACCTAAATGTTCATCATCTTTAAAAAAATGGCTATAGAATAGATATACAATGGAATTATTTTTATCTTTGATGTGTATCAAGGATAGGTCTCAAAAATATAACGTTGAGTGTGGAAAAAAGAAGAAAATGAATAATAATGCATTCAGTATAATACCATGTATATAAATCTAAAATGTACCAAGTAATTTTACACATTGTAAACGCATCTATTTGCAGTAAAAGCACAAAAATATACTGAAGGAATACACATCAAATTAATGACAGTAGTTGCCTCTGGAAAAGGCAGAAAAGAAATGGGACTTTGAAGGGACACGAAGTTTTCATCTAATCTGAAAATCTATTCACTTCATTTTTTAAAAAATCTGAAACAAATGTGACAAAACATTAATATTTACTATTTTGGGTGAATAGAGACTGGTTGTGTTCTATTATACTCGACTTTTCTGCATTAACATTTTATCTAAAACTTGGGGAAAAAAGGGGGGGATTTTTCCCACCCTCAAGAATATGTAGAAATATATTTATAGTTTATTCTAGAACTTTTAGGAAGTTTTTAAAATTTAGTGTATGATAAGAAATAGAACTCTAATTTTTCCAAATATAAATCCCATAACACTATGTCTATGTTTCTTGTATGTACTTTATTATACTGTGCTGTAGTTATAGTTACTTGTTTACATGCTTGTCTCTTCCACTAGACATTGCCTTTGTCACATATAAGAACTGTTCCTGTGTCTTTCTGTATCCCTAGAATAAGCATAAGACCTGGTACTCAGTGTTTGTTGAATGAGTGTGTGAATGAAAAGAAGAACGAATGAATGATTAATGTAACTGACTAAACAACTCTCTGCCACTCCCAGTAGTGCCCTCATTCAGATTACATCAAATACACTCAGTAAATCAGAAAGAACCTAGTAGCCAAACTGGTACCCAACTAATCATGACCATAAAACAGAACTGTGCTCATCAGTGTGGTAGCCACTAGCCACCCGTGGCTATCAAGCACTTGAAATGTAGTCTGAATTGATATTTGCTTTAAATGTTAATACATGGCAGATAGTGTAAACTTAGTACAAAAAATATAAAATATCACATTAATAAATTCATTTCATGTTGAAGTGATATAATTTTGCATAAACTGTGCTAAACAATGTTATTAAAATTAATTTTACCTGATTATTTTTACATTTTCTTATTGTGGCTACTAGAAAATTTAAAATCACACACATGGCTCACATTATTTTTTAGTGGACAGCACTGAAATAGAGCAACAATGGTGTTTTTTAGATGCAAAAATGTGTCCAGTTTCACATATGCCTAATTTGAATGCAAACCAATCACCTCTTTATATAAATAATAGCATGAAACTAGATGAAAAAGTATGAGGTCATTACGCTGCACAGCCAACAACTTGGAAAATCAGACCTCATGCAAATTGTTCCATAAAGCACTTAATAAAATTTTAGGGAAGTGGAAAATTGTGTATTAAGCTCTGTAATAGAAAGAAGATTCGTTTCCAAAAGAAGACTGTAAGTGAGAAGGTAATGTGAAAAGCAAAATCATAAGAAAACAACCTTTTGTTGTCAGGCTCCTAGTGTTTCTGTTGCCCCGTGGACTATCACTGGATCAGCCTGTGTGATTTTAGTGGTCCTGGGGCTGCTCCCTTTTTAATGCTGTCTACTCTTGACTGGAAAGTGACGATTCTAGTATAGCCCCATTGACACTAAGACCCATGTGGTCCAGTCACAGAGAGCTATCATGGGCAAAGAAAGCGACCAACAAGTAACTTCAGGCTAACTTAAGTACATCATTCGTGTCTTTTAACTATTGTGAAGGGGATACATTATCCACATCAGTACTTAAAACCCCCCTTCCCTCACCATGTGCAGCCACCCTCACATTCTTGACTTCAAAAGCTCTAGAATAGCTCCTTTCATGTGCTGCCCATCTATCCACCCCTCACTGCTATCCTGATTATGTACCTGAAAAGCCAAGGGAATGACTCTGCAGGTGCAGACCCCTCCCCGAGTGGGAGGAGGGGCTGTCAGTGAGAGAGCCAGAACCCTCAGAGCAGGCAAAAGAGGAGAGGCTGTGGGAAAAAAAAAAAATGAGTTTATATTTGTGTCCTGTCCAAGCCAGCCAAGGCCTGGAGCCTCAAATGCAAAAGTGTAGTGATTCTATGCCTAGCCCAAGAGTCAACCCGGGTAGGTAGTAGCTCAACAGATGAAAAGATCAGTTTTTATAAAAATAAAAGTGAGGGATGGTATAAACGTGTACCTTGAGTTGTTTTTTACTTAAGAGAAAGCGAATTTGGGTGAGACCTAGCAGAATGAAAGAATTCACACATCAGAGAGCCACAGTAATATTCAATATCAAAGAGGAATTGAGGCTTCTCCAAATACACATCAATTTCAGAAGTGACGCTTACTAACGGATCCTTAACAAGGAAATTTTAATAAACAAATTTGGGGGACAGGAGCTGATATGCCACAGTAGACACTGGCATGCTTTTTTGCCTTTATCTGGCTGACATATTACCCCTGAAATTCCACAGCTAGTTGAATATGAATGTCATTAATTCAAGAGCTGGCTTTGAAATGCTCAAGCTCCATGGTCTCCCTGTCTGAATGCAGGCTCGCTCACTCCTTTGCTCTCTGCCCTCGCCACCAGGACCCTACTCAACACTCCCACTCCACCAGCACATTAGCCTCTGCCTGATTTCATTGCTCTCCTTCTTCTTCCTCAACTGCAGAGTCAAATGCTTCTGAGTGACCCCCACAGCACCTGCCACCCCCTCATCACCAGCCTCTGTGACAACTGCCATGCACACTCCCAGCACTACCAATCTCCTACTGTGGGGCCAATCACTCAGCTCCCTGGCCACACGGTGCTGCTGGAGGGCAATGCAGAACTGTACAGAATGGAGCTGCTACGAATTCAACAAAATCAATGGATCCTCTGTGCCTTGATCCTTTCCTTTTCTCTGCTCAGCAATTCCCACGTCCATTTCTTGTGAACACCTGGACAGTGTCTCCTCCAGCAGCCTCTTCAGAACTGTCTTTGGGATCCCAGTCTCACCTCCAACATACTTGCTCGGCAGATGGCCTGATCTAAGCAGACAGAAGATACCTTAAGTGACCCCAACCTCCATCGCAAGTCATCAGTGCTACCTAAACTCTCTCCGCCTTCCTGTCCATCTCACATGAAGAGCTGGTAGCCTTCATCCTCTTGCCTGGTGTGTGCATGTGAATCAACATACGCAGACACACACCCATGCACATGAAACCACACATACTATCCCCAGGCATATCCACAAACATGCATTCCTATCTTCACCCTTGTCTCTCTTTCCTGGGCTTGCAACTTGCACTCATGCCTGTCATCCCATCCCTCTCTTTAAAATGTTTACCAGTGACGAGAAGAGCACGCATCACTCCATTAGACTCAGGGAGTAGGGCTGAGACAAAAAGGAACAGAGGTCTTGCATGGCTTATTCTGTGTTTCTAAATTGGTTGAATCTTTTACAAGAATGTATTTGTGTTTTACATGTGTGTTTTTACATTTTTTTCCCTCCAATGTTTCATAGTCAAATGTCTCCTACAAGTAACCCAAGTCTGCTGTCCCCATTGTCTCACATCTCTTCCCTTTGGGGCCCTTGGCTGCCAGACTTCCATCCCCAACAACTTCCCAGAACAGGACTCTCACAGGGCACCGGTGAGCGACTTCCCTGTGGGCATGCTTCCCTCGGTTATGCTTCTCCTGGCGGATGCTGACAGTGATGACCTACTCCCTCCTGGAAGTTCACTCCTCCCTTGGCCTGTGTGATACCACCCTTTGAGTTACATTGCAAAATCAGACACAGTCCACTGCCAGATCCTACAAACAACCAAATGAGCTTTGCCCTTCCTTCTCCTAAAATCCAGAAAGGTAATTTTATCTAAGCAAGGAATACAGAGCCTCTCCATGTGCTTACGTGTGTTTGCATAGGAAATGTCATCCCCTCAACAGCACACTACCCACTCTCACACAACAGCCAGTTTCTCTACGATCCCCACTTCAGGAAAAAGCCAAAGACGATAAGGTCACGCCAAAATTTCCATAACCCTCGATGTTGCTGAGGGAGCTTCTTCACACCCCACCTCCATATACACCAGCCAAGGGCCACCTGGCTGGGTCCTCCCTCCTCAGCCTCTCCCTACTCCACCTCTGTGCTTCTGGGGAAGGGGCAAAGATAATGTTCTAGCTGAACAGAATTTTGAAAAATGAAGAGAGGTTTAGAGCACAGACAAGGCATGGGTGCACATTCTCTGTAGGGAATTTCATTTTCAGAGACAGAAAAGAAAATCTATATTAGAAAACCACAGTCAGGTAAATGTTGTGAGTGTGTGTTAGAGATTAATCGGTGTGAGCACTAAATGAGGTGCTGTGGGTAGGAGTGCTTTGCGAAATATAACTTATCAGACAAATGTTAGATCCTTCCATCAACATCCATCTCACAGAGTTGTTGGAAGACCGAATGAGACAATATATATAAAATTGCTTTGTCAACTAGAAAAAAAAATTTATAAATTGTCATTATTCTGTGATATTTTTGCCTCTCACTAGATTAAGAGTCAGACCATGGCAATATTGAAGAAAATTAATATACCTGCTAATTTATTTTGAATCCACATTCTTGGAACTGGTTTTATAAACTGAGAATTCTAATTAATTTCCATCCTCTCACCTTTTTTCAGATGAATAGATTGAAATAAACTTCAAATTCTATTAATAACCCAGCCAAGTTCCTAATGACTGTCAATTAGACCACCGACTTTGGACTTAAGGCCTCAAAGTCATCTTTTGTACCTGTCTACAATAACAAAGCCAGTCAATTTTCTCTTGTGACTATTTTAATTTCCTTCATTTCAATCTCCTTGGGCATTGTAACAGCAAGCTTCCTCTGCAGTGGCTTCTTGGCCATTCACTCTGCTGTTAACCTCTCAAGTTTCTAAAAACCCAACATCATTTCCATTGTTCCAACTAATTTTTTAAAATAACTGATACTGTAAACAAAGCAATAAGTGAGGAAATAAAAACAAATTGAATGATTATTGGAAAGGAAGAGGAAAATAATCACTTCTTAAACAAGGTATGATTACATACCTAGAAACCCCAGAAAATTAACTGAGAAGCTATTTAGTATGATAGGTTGGATACAAACAAGTATGCAAAAATCAATAGCTCTCAACATGCCGGCAATAACCAACTGGAACATGTAATGGGGTGAAAATGTCTTTCTTCATAACTGCCAATCTCTATCAGAGGCACAATCTGGAAGAGTGAAATGGAACGAAAGGATTACTGGAGTCTCTAGTTTTCCTGTGATTTAAAAAATAAAAAAAATTTGCAGCCTTTTGTAACATGGATTTTCTTTCCCTGTTTTGTTTTTTGTTTTGTTTTGTTTTCAGCCTGGGTTAATCAAAGTTTAAACAGTCTTAAGGTCCAAGCTTCAGCCTGGATAGCTGGGGGGAGTGGGGAGGGAGAGAGGATGATGGAAGGCGGCGGGGGGAAGGAGGTGTGGGAGGAGGGGTGTGGTATGGTGAATGGTCCCCAAGGCAGCGAATTGGTTTTGTCAAACTTGGAGTTATCACTGACCAGGAGGAAAGACCGAAAGCCACCTTTGACTCTCCTCCCTTGACCTTCACAGGGATTCAATTTCTAAGTCCCCTATGCTGGTCTTGTTTGTTTTGTTTTGTTTTTCAGATGGGTCTCACTCTGTTGCCCAGACCGGAGTGCACTGAAACCATCACAGCTCACTGCAGCCTCGACCTCTGGTCAAGGGTGATCAGGTGATCCTCCCATCTCAGCCTCCCAAGTAGCTGGGACTACAGGTGAGCACTGCCACATCCAGCCAATTTTTGTATTTTTTATAGAAACAGGTTTTTGCCATGTTGCCCAGGCTGGTGTCAAACTCCTGAGCTCAAGCAATCCACCACCTCGGCCTCCCAAAGTGCTGGGATTATAGGCATGAGCCAGCACCCAGTCTATGTTGGTCTTTTTAAGATCTCATGGATTTGCTCCTTTCTCCTCCCCAGAGCCTGTCCCTTACCAACATCCTCAGTACCTCGGGCCCAAATCACAGCTACTCCTTATCTGGTCCTTTAGCCTCAGTCTCTGGCCTCAGTCTTCTTCCTTGTCACTTTTACCAAGTCACACTCTTGAACGGCTAATGTCCTGCAGAATGTAGGCCTGGACAGCCAACCAACCTCAGCTAGGACACAGGAGTCACTTCTCACCACAGACTGCACGGGTTTGGGCCCCGACTCTGCCACGGGATACTATGTGACCTTAGCCATGTTACTTGATCACTCTGAGCATCAGCTTCCTCATTTGTAAAACTGGTCTAATACTTAAAAATTCTTATGAGGATAACATACATAACATAAAGGATTGGACACATGGTAAAATAATAGGCAGTTAAGACCTGTTAGCTGCGGCTATGGGAGTTACGGTCATTGTCACTGTTAGAGTGCATAGTTGTCTCCTGGAGCTAGTGTAATGCCTATGCTTGGTCTCTAAGACATATAATTGGTCCCACCAAATATATCTAAAGGTACACTCCAAAACAAAATAGCCAGCTATATCTTCCTGCTACTCAACCACATCCCCACACTCCAGTTGTGCTCACCTCTGCCTCAGAACATTGACTCTTCATCTGTCCTCAGCCTGAAATGCCCTTTTCATTTGTTTCCAAATGTACCTTCTTCAAAAGCATTCTATTATTCTGCCCATGTGCTTCCATGGGCCTTTTCTACACCAACACCACCACCATCATATGTAGTTACTCTTCTTCTTACCCTGTGTGTCTAGCTCTATCCTAGGCAGTTTAAATCAGTTAGCTCATCTGATGAGCACAGCAACCCTGTGAATCAGGTGCTGTTCCTCTCACTGCCTTACAGCTGGAGTCACTGGGGCTTTGAGACGGTTAGTTACTTGCCCAAGGTCAGAGGTAGTCATTGGTAAGACCAGGACTCAAAATAGGTCTCAGCTCTCAGCCACTGTGCCATCCTGCCTTAATGTATGTTTTTAGGCAATAACTTGATGAGTCATTTTAACACCTCAAGGCCCAGTCCAAACATGTCCTCTTTGTCCTTGAGGAAGCCAGTTCTTACTCATCTCCCCTGCTCTTATTCTTTTGGTATGCACAGCAGTTTTAAACAACAACATCTCATTATATACCATCCCAGACAGTGGCTCTACTGCATAATTAGGCACTCCCTATTGTCAGTATCCAGAATGTCGTGTTTAGGTGTCATTGTGTATTGTTTACTGAATGGAACCGTAAAGTAATGGTCTGGATTTTCACACACTGCTCACGGAGATCAGTCTCATTTCTTCCCAAAAATACCCAGAAATCTTCTCAAATAGATCATAAATTTCTTGCAGGTAAGGACCATGTCCTATTCCTTTGTGTCTTACAAACTTCTATAGATATTATAGATACCCCAAAATGCTTTTTGGTTCATAGTCTTCCAAGCAGGCTGTCTTAATTTAGGGGAAGGCAGTTCTCTGGAGGTGTGCAGGACAAAAGGATGTAAGAGGAAATGATCTATTATCATCTCAGAACAGACAGTATACTGGCCCCTACACACATTGGAGGAAAGTGTTCCAAACTGTCAGAAGCCAAAAGCAAACTGAGTCTGATGATATCAACATAACACTTAATATGCTACAGATTTGGCACCGGCTCCAGAGAAGACTGTGTGTCAAGAACTCAGAAAAGGACTCCCAGGCATATAGGCAGCTCCCAGGCTGTTTCCTACACATTAAATACATGCAGAGTAGGGAATATACATTTTTTAATGCATGAAACATGAGCCAGACTTGACACCCATCTATCAGAGCTGCTTTAAGATAATAAAATCAGCACTGCCATTATAAGGAGAGGGAACTTGATGACCCACCAGAGATTTCTTCCAATCTAAACGATTCTATAAATTCCCCTAAAATCATAAAAAAGCAGATTAAGGATTCATGTAGGTGTTTGGACTATAAATACAAATTAATTTCTGCTCCACCTGCAATTTTTCTCATCCTTGTAAGAAGCACCTCTGTTTCTAAGATATTTCTGGGTAAAACACCAACAGAGGAGATAAAAATAGATAGGACTCCCCCGGGTCCTTGTTGGCAACTATTTTCTTCTAATTTCACAAATAAATCCTCATCTTGAAATAAACTGAATTGAATCTTGCTGCTGTCCAAAAACATTTATCACTGAAAATCTCTTTTGTTTGGGGAGTAAGATATAATTGTATACAGATTCAATAACAACCTAAATGTTCCACTGAGAAATTCTTTATTGAAAATGTTTCCTTTGGACTCTAAGTAATCTACTTATTTCCTTTTTCAGTTATTGGCCATGTTATTGTTATTTGTTTCTAAAAAAAAAAAAACTCCTGTTTAAGCACCACTCTCATAAAAAGCTTGAATTGTTTCTAATACTAGAAACATATTATTCTGCATCTCACTTGGTTTTATGCAACTTAATTCAAACTGATCCTTATAGAAGAAAAAAATATTTTAAAACACTCCCTTACCTCTTACAGCTCAATAACTATAAATATCAAAAGAAAATAGTAAATGTTACATTTTTAAAAGACTAATTTATCAACTAATATATTTTTGGTTCACATATTTGCTCTGATTCAATGTGAAATCAGAGACCAAAATAAAAATGAACAAATGGATGGTGGATCATGTTTCCAAATGCATGGGAATAAATGCATATCACTAAGGAAATGTACTCAGTTATGACATCACAGCTGTTTCTCCTATAAAAATAACTATGTCCTACAGCAAACCATAATTTCCTAAATAAAGGGAATAAAAAATTAAACGAAAGAAAAACATGTCAGCAATAAAATCCAAGGGTAGCGACAAGATGCCAGCATATTAAAGTACCATATCCAACAAAGGATTAAAAAAAGAAATCTTAGTACAATTATTATGTGTCAATTAAAATAAAACTTAAGAAATCTTGTACCACTTGATGATTAAATGCAAAGTATCTCCACTCAATCTCCCCAAAGAAAGGAGACTGTGGTACAGTGTTGAACAAGAGCCACTTGTAACTATGACCCTAGATAGTCCTCTCCCACATTTACTCTGGGCTTGGCCATGTGACTTGCTTTGGCTAATGGGACATTGGTAAGTATGACACAAATGGAGACCCAAAAAGTACTTGCATATTGAGGATTGCCCTTTCTTGCTGCCTTGGAGACTCTAAGGCTGTTACCATGAGAGTAAGCCTGGGCTAGGCTGGTGGAGACAGGTAGTTCAGACACTACTTCCCTCTCGCCAACTGCCAGCACCAACCACTGTACATGTGAATGATCCCACCCAAATGAACCAGCTTTGGGCCAATCCACCAGCTGGTTGAAAAAGCACATGTCAGCCCAGGAGAACCCAACAGAAAAACAAGCCAGCTGAGCCCAGCTCAAATTGCCAACTGACAGAATCAACACCTAATAAATGATTATTGTTCTAAGCCACGAAGTTGTGGAGTGCTTTATTATACAGAAAAAGCTAACAGATACTCAGGCTATCACAGAGGCCTAACTCATGGGCACAGTAACTAAAGGGTCAGACACCATGGAAGGAAAGTGAGAGACTGCTCTAAGAATGGATGGGTCTATGCAATTACTCCTGAAAGGGAGTTCACATATGAAATGCTGAGTCAAGCTATGTCATTTATAAGCTACTATGTACTTTAGAGGCTCTTCTAAAATTTTTATTTTATTTTATTTTATCCTATTTTATGTTTTGAGATGGAGTCTCACTCTGTCGCCCAGGCTGGAGTGCAGTGGAGTGATCTCAACTCACTGCAACCTTCGAGCGATTCTCTTGCCTCAGCCTCCCAAGTAGCTGGGACTACAGGTGTGTGCCACCGCACCTGGCTCATTTTTTGTATTTTTAGTAGAGACAGGGTTTCATCACATTGGCCAGGCTGGTCTCAAACTCCTGACCTCAGGTGATCCACCCACCTCGGCCTCCCGAAGTGCTAGGATTATAGGTGTGAGCCACCACACCTGGCCTAAAATTTAAGTCTAAAGTAAAATACCATGGTAACAACAGCTAACATTTATTAAGTGCAATCCTTGAGCTATGTGCTTGATAAAGATGATCTTGTTTAATTTACACTGAAATCTTATGTGATAGGCACTACTATTACCTATACCTTCCTAATCAAAACCTGAGGCTTAGAGAAGTTAAGTAAGTTCCTCTGGGTCACACAGCAATATGAGTGAGCTTGGACTCATGAACCTGATTTGTTCAAGAGTCGTATCCACTAATCACTATGGATACCACCTTGTGTAAGCCTTCTTTAGTCTATTGAGCTGGGAATTTTCTGTACCAAGAGACCTATTCTCTCTTCCTTGAATCTTAGATGACCAGAAAGAGCAGACCCAATAAGGTTTACCCACCCAGTCAAAGATTTAGAGGAGTTAGAATGGACAGTGGACATAGTGGGTCTTGCCCAGGCTAGGAGAGCAAGAGAACTTCAGCACATAGGCAGGGGATATATAGCACATAATGGCCTGGGCCATCAGCAGTATGTGACTCAAGTCTCAGGCTGCGACCAACCAGATGAGCAATGCCTCCTTTTCCATTCATGGGTGTGGAGAGGTGGAAGGGAAAAGGAGTCTTAGAAGGGGGCTAGTAAAACAGGTGGAAAGTTGGACAGAAATTCATTTCTTGTCATAGGTGTAGAAGGTGTATGCTTCTACATGATGAGTGCTGAGGTTCCATATCTACTACTCACTTAATATACATCACCCCTTTATTAATTGAACCTCTGTAGTCAGATCTGCTATTTCGTGGACTTCTGACGTTTAAGATGTCTCAATCCTAAATCTTAAAATTGAGATGAAAATGGAAGGGAGGAGGCCAGGTGCGGTGGCTCATGCGTGTAATTCCAGCACTTTGGCAGGCCAAGGTTGGTGGATCACTTGAGCCCAGGAGTTCAAGACCAGCCTGAGCAACATAGCAAAAACCCATCTCTACTAAATACAAAAAAATTAGCCGGGTGTGGGGGCACAAGACTGTAGTCCCAGCTACTCAGGAGGCTGAGGTGGGAGGATCACCTGAGCCCAGGAACTTGAGGCTGCAGTGAGCTGTGATCATGCCACTGCACTCCAGCCTGAACACCAGAGTGAGACGCTGTCTCAAAAAAAAAAAAAAAAAAATCAAATATAAAAAAATGTTTAAAAAGAGAAAAAGAAAATGGAAGGGTAGAGAAAGAAGTCAATCAAGATACCCCTTTTGAAAACCACTCTTTTTTTCTTTTTTTAACTTTTATTTTAGTTGTAGGAGTACATGAGCACATTTGTTATATAGGTAAATTGTATGTCATAGAAGTTTGATATACAGATTGTTTCATCTCCCAAGTAATAAGCATAGTATCTGATAGGTAGAAAAACCACTTGTTTCAAAACACATAACACAAAAAAGACCCTTGCTAACCAAATTGAAGATCTGGACTCCAGAAGTCATCTGTGTCTCTCCTCAGGTTGGCTGAAATTACAAGTGTTTAAGGTACTTACAGTTTAAGGTATAAACCGGTTTTTAAACTCTATCTGCCTAATCGAGCTTACCAGCGCCAATCTCTTTTAAGAAACTCCTAATGCTTGCAGTACTCTAATGCTATGGAAGTTATTCCTGGCACATTTAGAGAGAACTACTGAGAGGGAATATGAGAAGGCATTTGATAATTGAGTACATTAAGTACACTCAGGCAAGTTTGAAAGGACACACGTTGAGAAACTTGTTCACCTTAATGAAGCTGAACACAATCGTAAAAAAAAAAAAAAGGCCCCAAACATCTGCATATTAAAAGTCTGCTCCCTTAAGGGAGACCAGAGTCCTAGACAATCCTGCACTATTATCCTTTTTCTTACACTTTCTGAGGGCCCATAAACCTATCTGAGCTTTAGTTTCCTGATCTGCAAAACAGGGTTATTGCAAAGATTAAGACAGAAAGTACCAGTTCCTAGATTTTGGATTTCTTTGACCTATATATTTCCTCCAAAATCTTGAAGGTACCATCATAGTCTTGCCAACTTCTTCTTATGCTAAATTTTTAACACGAAAACCAAAAAGGAAGAATCTTAGGTAACAATGTAGTGTTTGCTATGTGCCAGGGACTATTCTAAATGTTTTATATATGTTAATATAATCTCCCCAATAACTCTAGGAGATAGGCATGATTATCCCTGTCTAACAAAGCAACGAAGTCACCACATACACAGGATCCATGCTCTTGACTAACAGAAAATCATCATGCCTCTTACCATCATCTCATAAAGGAGAGGAACACACAAACAATAAGAGAATGTCATCTCAAAAAAGGAATTTTCAAAAGTAAAAAAAAAAAAAGGACACAGATAAAAGAACAGTCCCTAAAATAGAGAAGTAAAATTAGCTTTATGCTACACAGTTCTTACTGTGCTCATTTTCTTACACACCAATGAATATTGCGTTTGGGACCGTATCATTTCTCCTGGCCCTCAGATCAGCATTTGGGAACCACTAAGATACAATGCCTGAAAAGCACTTTGAAAATGTGCCCATCAGAGGTTAAGTGTTGCTGGAGTGTTACAGGATCATGAGTAGTGTGACCTGAACCCACCCTCTGAGAATGTTCATACTCAGGCTGTCTTGGGCAAACCAAGTAGGTAGAAGCATATGGTGCCCCGCAGACAGCTACAGGGAGGACATCTATGCTAGCATTGGCATTCTGTTTTCTGAACAGCCTGCCTCCAATTGCTCCTTCCAACCTCCCTGGCAGGCAGAAGCATGTGCAGGAAAGCAGGCATTCCCAGAAACCCCAGAAAGAAGTGGCAGCCAAGAAACAGGCCCCAGGAGCACGACGGGGACACAGCCTCCTCAACCATTCCCAGCACTTTAAATGTCCTTCAATGAGAGCATCAAGGCTCTGCAGAAGCTATTTTCCCCCTCGCATCTCATTCTTCTACCCCTTGATTTTAGAACAGAGCAAAAACCCACAGACAGGCTTCTGTTCAGTGGTTTCATCTTACACTGTACCTCTCAGTCCCACATCATCGTCTAGTGAGGGAGCATCTTCAACTATTTCAGCCCAGCTTTGGGGAGGATGACCACTGAGTTATCCACTAATAAAGCAGGCAAGAATTACCTTTAGTGTAGGCTACACTACCAGCAACTGGGCCATGCTATTAGAATTCTGCCTTCCAGATCTTAAAGCAGTTCCTTAATAACTGAATAATTACTTTGGTATCTGAAGTGGGGGAACAAAGAAGTCATGGTAATGGAATGTTCAGTGGCTCTATTGGGAGGCACTAAAGAATAGTGGTGAGGGGCTCTGTTCTCGATTCCAATGACTAAGGTTTGTTTTTGATTTTGTTTTTGTTTTGAGGCGGAGTCTCGCTCTTTCACCCAGGCCGGACTGCAGTGGCTCTATCTTGGCTCACTGCAAGCTCCGCCTCCTGGGTTCACTCCATTCTCCTGCCTCAGCCTCCTGAGTAGCTGGGACTACAGGCACCTGCCAACATGCCCGGCTAATTTTTTGTATTTTTAGTAGAGATGGGGTTTCACCATGTTAGCCAGGATGGTCTCGATCTCCTGACCTCGTGATCCACCTGCCTCGGCCTCCCAAAGTGCTGGGATTACAGGCGTGAGCCACCGCACCCAGCCTCCAATGACTAAGGTTTCTAAGAGGGGTCAGCAAATGCTTTCTGTAAAGGGCCTGGCAGTAACCAACGCCAGCTTTGTGAGCTATTCAGTACCTTCACAACAATTCAACTGTGCTGCTGTAGCACAGAAGCAACTGTGATGTTCCGTGAATGAATGAGCCTGGCTGTGTGCCAATAAAACTTTATTCATGGACACTGAAATTCAAACTTCATCACAATTTTATATGTCTTGAGATATTATTCTTGTGATTTTTTTCTAATCACTTAAGTATATAAACACCATTCTTGGTGCAGGCCATATAAAAACAGGTGGTAGGCCAGATACAGCCCACTGTGGGCCATAGTTTACCCAAACCTGGTTTATCATTGCAGCTCTGATATTTCTTAACCACAAGCTCTTGGGCAAGCTTTGTTTTCCTTCCTCTGTGAACTCTTGAACAAGTTCAGTTCCCTTCTCTGTGAAATGAAACAACAGCAGCATTAGCCTCATCTGGGCTTCCAGTGGCTGCAGTGAAAGCAGATGCTCAGCACAGGGCAGCGCAGAGTACATTGAGTATTGAATGTACTCAGCATTCAATCGATGTGAGCTGTGACTGCCATTTCCCTCTACTCTTCAACATTCTCTGTAGCTTCCACCAAATCTATCTGTGCTACCATCAAACAGGACCAAGGATTGTCATGTCTCTTGTCAACAAAGAAACACTCTAGACTTTCATACGAATGTCAATAGCCTTCAAGAGTTTGTGGGATGCTAAAACATCCCTCAAATTCTGGTTGCATTCAGTTGTCTGATTACTCCTAGATATTATCAGTCCCTGCAGTTTAAGAGCCAGGGCCAGAGGGTGAAGTTATCATCCTCCAAACTACAAATAATGGTATTTCTTGAGCACTGGCCAAATCTCAAGCATTGTGCTAAGTGCTTTATGTCATTCTTTCCCTTAATCTTTACAGTAACCAAAGGATGCTAATAAAATGATGAGCTCCATATTTCAGAGGAGAGCAAAGCATAGGAAGGTTAAGCAACAAGGCCAGGCCCATGCCTGGTCACCAGGAGGTGTGGGGTTCCATCCTGGGCCCACCAGCACCACAGCTGTTGCTCTGAAGCATGAAGATCTACCACGAAAGAAACCAACTTCTAGAGCATGAGTGTTTCTCAGACTGAACCAGTAATCTGAATCCCTGGGGATCTGCTTAAAATGCAGATTCTTATTCATTAAGCCTCAGGGGGTCCAGGGATCCTGCATTTCTAAAGAGCTCTCAGAGATGCCAGTGCCACTGGAGTCCATGCTTGGAGTAGCAAGGCTCAAGATGCAGTGAGAAAGGTGAAGTTTCTCCATGAATGACCAAGGCAATCTATACATGATAAATTCAATGACCACAGTGTTCTTACACCACATGCTGTGGAAGAGCCTTTGGAAGCAGAGTTCTAAGATAAGACTCAATGCTCCACCAGGTACCCATTATGTGGCCCTAGTAGAAAGACTCAGCTTTCCTGGCCTACGTGTTCCCTTGTCTGTAAAGGGGACTGGTGTGCTCTTCTGGGGTTGTTGTGACAATTAAATGAGATAATACCTATACAAGCATTTAGAGCAATGTTTAACACAGTGTAAATATTAAACAAATGTAAGATAATCAGGAGATCAAGAAAATTGAAAGCCCTTATGAAAGAATTATCTAAAAATGAGCTATATGAGGTTTGTTCCCTCTGCACAGCTAATAACTCGTGCAGATCCATTCAAACCCTCCTATCATTCAAGCCATTTTACAGTTAAATAAACCAGACTTCCATCCAGTCAGTCATAAAATTAAATTATAGAGAAAGTTCACCTTGAAAGGGCAGGGCTCAGATGCCAGCAAAGAAGCAGTGATTTCCAGTTCAGTTCATGATTTATTTATCTGAGGGATATGCCCCTTACCTAGGCCTCTAGGTGAATGTAAAAGAATGCATGTGACAATTTCCTAAAGCAACACGAACTTGAACTCCACCAAGGCAGTTTTCTCACCTGAACCATTTCCGTGTCACTGTTCATTAGGTAGTGTGCTTCCACTCATCAAAACCCCCCGAACGTAATTAACCCTTCTAGTAATACATCACTACTTCCACACATGAAGGGAAAATGCCTCAGTATTCTCATCGTTTTAATAAAATTTTCTGGGCAGGATGATCCAGTTCTATCAGTCTAGGAGGTCAAGTTTGTTTCCTTTCCCCAAAATGAGTCCCAGGTACAGCACGCATCATTTCACCCCCACCATCTGGCAAGCTAACAGTCATTGTGTACTCACCACCATACGCTGCTGCCTGTGCATAGGGAAAGCACAGTGCCTAGCATACAGTAAGCACTCAAAGGATGGCTGTCATTAGAACACACTCAGGGTGTGAACTACATACAGTATCATCATGTCATCTGGTTCCTGGCAGGTAACTGAAATGGCAGCGGGCAGATAGAATAGAGGAAGGCCTAATGGGAACTTGGTTGGGAAAATGCCCCTCCTTTTCTAAAGTCAGATTGGCAATGCATACCTTAGGTGAATCACTGAGTGAGTAAAGGGATCTACCTGGTTGGTAGTCCCCAGGACCTGCCAGGAGACCTGATCTCACGTAACAGGTATTTTTGGTGCCCTGAGCCTCCTCCTCACAGCCCATCCTAAATTTCATGATTTTGAGCTGACATGCCTGGTACACTGCGAGGGCCCACAGTTCCCAGAATGCTCTAGCAGCTTACACCTCAGGCGCATGGGTGTCAGCGTTTCCGCCTCAGGCCAGGGATCCCCCTCAGTCTGCCTTTGGAAGCAGCTCAATGTCCCCAGGGCAACAATCAACCAGTGGGGAATGGGAGTCATTGAACAAATGCCCAGTCCTCTTTCCTCTGATGGACAATTTTACCCGCTTTCCTGTGTGATTCCTCAGAGGAATCCCAGCGGTACTAGAGCTCAAACGCCCATGGGATGACCCGCTCCCTCCCCCTCCACCCACTGGCTTTTCCTCCCTCCCCATCTCACTTTCCTGCTCCCCGACTCCAGCTTCCTGCAACTGCCTCCCAAATGCCCAGACCCCAAATCTCTGTCTCAGTGTCTGATTTGAAGAGACCCAAACTGAGACACCTGCCCACTCCAGAGCCTTGCTTAGAGTCCCATAGCATCCTGTACAGTATCACAGCCCTTGGTACACTGCCCTGTGGTTGCAGAGCTAAGAGGTCCTTCAAGGCTGGGACGAGGTCTGTGTCATTGACCCCGGAATTCCGGGCGCTCAGTGACTGCGGTGGGCAGGCCGGCAACACAAGGTATTCCTGCTGCCCATTCACGGGCGTGGGGAGTGTTCAGAGACAACCCTTGGTCTTTTTAACAATTCAGAGAAGACCTTTTCTGTTTTCGAAGAGTTTATAAAATAAAATTCGGTGAAACCCCGTCTCTACCAAAAAATACAAAAAAAATTAGCCGGGCGCGGTGGCAGGCGCCTGTAGTCCCAGCTACTCGGGAGGCTGAGGCAGGAGAATGGCGTGAACCCGGGAGGCGGAGCTTGCAGTGAGCCGAGATTGCGCCACTGCACTCCAGCCTGGGTGACAGAGCAAGAATCCGTCTCAAAAAAATAAAAATAAAAATAAAAATTAAATTAAGAGTTATTAGCGGCAAGACAAAAGGCATCTTAAGAAAGCCCATCTTCCCTGAAGCCCACCCACCCTGCCCCACAGAACACAGCCCCTGCTTCTCTGCCTCTCTGTTCACAACCTTAGAAGAACACAGCCTTGCTCACCTCTGATTGCTGCTGCATAGCACCTACAGCCTGAACCTTCTCCTCCCTCCCTCTTTCCCTTTTGATTCTTGGGCTCTGCACATCTATCAAGGAATCACAACAAAGAACAAGATTAAAGAAATCAAAACTAGTAAAGCCGACTGTGTGGCTGCTGTTTCTTTACGTCTCCTTCTCCCCCAAGCCTTGAAGCTAGAGGTTGTAAACTATCCACTTGTGGGCCAAGGATGGTTGGCAAACTTGTTTCTGGGAGTCCCATACAGTGTGTTTAAGACTGTCAATGTTTAAAATTCAGTATATTGAACATAAAAATCTGCATTTCCAGCTCTTTAAAAATTAAAGATTTGACAAATCAGCCTGCCATTAGCTGGGGTGGGATTAGCTGCTTCCTAGGGATACTTCCTAGGACTGGGGCCCATAGCCCACCACGTGCTGCAATCCCCACCACTCCCTTTGGCCTCTGACTATGAGGCGCCTACCAGTTGCTGTTTCTGATCATGGCATGCAAAATCCACCTCACTCTTTTCTTGTTACATGCCTGGCCATGAGGTTAAGTGCATTTGAACTTGTTACCCCATATTTAAGCATTTGGAAGAAACCATTTGAGTAGCTCTGAGTGTTCATCATGTTTTAAATGCCTCTAGCAAGAGGTTAGAGCTTCCTACTCCAATGCTATCATGCCTTATGCCCATTATTAGAAATGCCATCTTGATGATGATGATGATGCCAATGCTATCATGCCTTATGCCCATTATTAGAAATGCCATCTTGATGATGATGATGATGATGATGATGATGATGATGATGATGATGTAATGATACCCAGGTAATGGATAGCAGTTACTCAAGGCATATAGACCTGCCTCATCCCACAGATGCCTTTAAAGAAAAAAGAAGTCATTAATCCTGAAGGATTCAGATGAGAGGAGGAACAAATGAAGCAACAACAGCAAGGAGAGGCCACCAGGAGGTACACTTCAGGTACGTTTCCATTGCCCCTGCTTCTCTGAAGGGGAGAGTAGCTTGGTGAGCAGAAGAAAAGAAATCCTTCCTGTTCATACCTTAGATTCCAATTCTGGCAAGAATACAGACTTCTCCATCTTACCACTGAAGCTATAAAGTTAGTCTCAAGAACCATTTTCACGTTAATCCCAAGCAAGGGAAGAACTTTGACAGACCCGCATGAATCAGCCTGCCTCCACAAACAAAAAGGACACTGACAGGTTGCATCAAGTTTACAGATCCATAAACCCACAGTAAATTCCAGACTCCTGAAAAGTCAGAAGTCAATAAAAAAACGCAAAGGCCACCTCTCAGAGCTCGAAGACGAACTTAAATGACTGTGCAACATACCACTTTCTGAAGGACCACAAATCTTTCAACCTTTAATAAGTTGCTAGACAAATATTTGTGGATGAGAAATTAGGGATGTGATGATCAACAAGACAGACACCAGAACTCCTTTGCGAAGCTTATAGTCTAACAGGAAAGAGCCATTACATATTAATTACAACTATTTCATTAATTACAAGTGTGATGAGTGGTATAAGGAAGAAGTTAAGTTACGGGAACGTGTACCAAGACACCTAACCTAGGAAAAGGGGCTTTCCTAAGGAAAAAATATTTAAGCTAAGACCTAAAGGGTAGGCAGGAGTTGCCCAGGCAGAGAGCCAGTCCGTCTATAATGAGCATCTGTGTGCCCAGTACTGTATCAGGCACTGGGATTAGAGAGGAGAACTGGGAAGCGCCCCTCCTCAAAGAGTTCACAGGCGAGTGGGGCTTGAACATAGGCTTCCATCGTACCTGCTGCTTGGAAATGATGGGGTCTGTCTATCACCACATAACAGATTAAACAGTTATTTAAAAATTGCTGTGATACTCAGAAGAATTCAACCCAAAGTCTTCCTAATTGCAAAATATTCTATTGTGAGTACAGAGAACTTCTCTAATATTTTAGTTTTAAAAGATGAAATTGAGAAACTGTCAAATCCTATGGAACACTTGGGGCTTCAGCAAGATAACAAGGCTTGTTGTCTGGGGTTATACAAGCTGCTGAGAAAAATCACAGCAGGCACAGGAGAGCCCAACCATTCCAAACGCTAAATAAGGAATTGATTAAAAGGGATTGAGACAGGACATTAAACTTTGGAGGCCTGGAAAAACTGTGCTGGTAATTAATGATATTAATAATAATACTATTATTAATAACATTGTTAATGAGAACTAAGAATTCTATTAAACTTTTATGTGAACTAACACAATTCTATGGGTACTATTATTGTCCCCAACTTATGGATGAAGAAACTAGTGAGTCAAGCAAATAAGAGATTTCTGTTTATGGCAATATGTCAGACTAAATAACATGAAAACTAATGTCCACAAAGCATTAGACATGCTGAGTAAAACAATTCAGCATGAGTTTTAATCACAAAACAGAATTTTCAATTAGTTTGCTCAAGTGTCAAAATCAAAGCCTGAACTGCATGTTAGAACAGTGAATAGATATATATTGCAGCTCTCCCCTGAGGGATAGCTGAACAAAGGGCCTGGATTTTAGTGGCCACAAGAAGGCAAAGGATAAGGTGCTGGGCCTGTGTGAAGTGGGTGTTAGTACTAAGATTCCTCAGCATAAAGTTAGTGACTTTTAAAAGTTTCACCCTTGGCAAAAAGATACAATAGAAATCTACCCACTGGGACAGGAAGACCACAAGGAAACCTAACTATCTCTCCTGGGCTCTGGGTGGGGGAAAAAAAAAAAAGTTGCTTCCCTAAGAATTTGTATCCATTCATCTTCTGTCACAAGAGTTTGAGGTTCTAGTATATGTTAGCCAAGTAGTCCAAGAAACCCAAAGTGAGAATTTAACATTAAAAAAAAATTATTCTAAGCAAATGATACCTTCTAAGGCACCTGGCAGAAACAAATGAATGGACATACCCTTAACCTGAACCATTCCCAAGTCCCCAAATAAAGGCTTTCTGAAAATGAGTTCACAATCCAAAATCACAAAACACAAAAAGAAAAATCCACCATGAGTGAAAGTCAGCAGTCACAACAAACAGGAAAACCCCTCGAGAACTTCAATAATAGAACACTCAGATTAAGACTATAAAATAAATTTTTGAATTAATTGGGGACATAAAGGAAGGATGTAAAACATGAGAAAAGATCAAGAAACTATCAACAAAAACCAGGCATATGTGAAAAAGAGTCTCTATAAAATAAAAATAAAATAATTGAAAATAAAATCTCAGTGGATTGACTATTAGCAGATAAGCACACTGAAAGAACTGGTGAACAAGAAGATTAAGATTAACACTTTGGGAGGCCAAGGCCAGCAGATCACTTGAGGTCAGGAGTTCGAGACCAGCCTGGCCAACAGGATGAAACCCCGTCTCTACTAAAAATACAAAAATTAGCTGGGCGTTGTGGTGGATGCCTGTAATCCCAGCTACTCAGGAGGCTGAGGCAGGAGAATCGCTTGAACCTGGGAAGCGGAGGTTGCAGTGCGCCAAGATTGCACCACTGCATTCCAGCCTGGGTGACACAGTGAGACTCCATCTCAAAAAATAAATAAATGAATAAATAAATAAATAGAGATAAAGCTAAGAAAATGTAACAAAGAGTTAAAGAGAAGAAAAACATCAACTAGGTCAGTAAATAGGAAAAAAGAATAAGAAAACCCAACGTACTTCTAATAAGAGTTCCAGGAGGAGTGAATAAAGACACTAAAGAAGAGACTATTCGAAGACACAGGAACCCTCAGATTCAGGAAATGGAGTGTGTTC
The DNA here is from genome assembly GCF_000001405.40 of Homo sapiens. NCBI lineage: Eukaryota > Metazoa > Chordata > Mammalia > Primates > Hominidae > Homo > Homo sapiens. The sequence goes on along the minus strand of NC_000010.11, from coordinate 104,410,733 downwards.
TGAACATAGTAAGCAAAACTAAATTAATACCCAAATGCGTTGTGCTGAAACTCTGAAACATCAAAGGCAAAGAGAAGATCTAACTATCAAACAGAAGAAAAGGCAGGTCACCTAAAAAGGAGCAGAAACAATTAGACGTACAGCAGACTTCTCAGTCACATCACTGGAAGCTGGGGACACAAAGGACCAACATCTTCAAAGTGCTAATAGAAATAACATTTCAAGTTAATCATTTACAAATAAGGCCAAATTAAAAACATTTTTAGACAAGCAAAGGAGAGTGTTAACCATTGAAAAATCTATTGGTTAAAGAACTATGAAAGGATATACTTCAAAAAGGAAGAGACAGAACCCAGAAGTAAGGAATTGGAGATATGTAGAAATAGAAAACAAAAGAACTGGTAAACATGTTGGTAAATCTTAACAAATTGACTCTATAACATAATAGTGGTGATGGCTGATTTTGGAAACAGCAGGGTAGCTGCAGTTAAAGCATTCCAAATCCTTACACTGTTTGTAAGAAGGAGAAAGATATTGATCAACTTTAGACTTTAGATTTGATGTCAACTATGCATGGTGAATTTTTAAGGGAATCTATGAAAGAGAAAAACAAAGAATTAAGATAATGTATTTAAGGGAATCAGAGACAGAGAGAGAATATTATACTGAGTGGTGGTAACTGTTGAGTAAAAGAAAAACTGTAAAAAGGGAATAGGTAGTAATGGTTAGTGGGAAGACTGGTAAACAGGAAAACAGAACATAAAGAAAACTCAGTCTGATAGAATTTTTTTGAGCATTACAAAAAATCAGGGAAAATAAGAAGGTAGAAATAAACCTAAAATTATCAATAAACAAACTAAACACAAAGATAAGATTTTTTTTTAATTACAAGAGATATTCCTAAAGTACAAAGACACCAAAAGTTTAAAAGTAAAAATATAGGAAAACTACTTTTCAAAATCCAGCTGATTGAGCTATGTTAATACTAGGCAAATTTGTAAGTAAAAATATTATTACGAGAGTTCTTACATAATACGAAAGGAGCAATTCAAGCAGGAAGAAATAAAAATTATAATCTTATACTCACCTTATCATGATCTAAAATGTTCTTAAAGCGAAAAATGTCAGAGAGAAGGAGAAATAAGACAAATCTCCAAACTTTTTTCAGTGATTAAGCAGACAGAAAATTAGGAAAAGTACAGATGTGGACAATACAATTAACAAGGTTGATCTAACGAACAAACAGAGAACACTGAACCCAGAGCATTTAGAGAGTATGTATGTTTTTCAAACAGCAGGCGTCAGGTATAAAAACTGACCACTTAGTTGGTCACAAATCAAGTTCAACAAATTCCAAAGAATCTGTATAATACAGACAACAATGCAGAAAAGTGACCAATCAGTAAGTAAAAGATAACTTAAATACATATATATTTGGAAAATTTAAAATACACTTTTAATTATCCTAAAATATTATAAAATATCTCCTAATTATGATTAGGAGAAATAGTGAATATTTATTAAGACTTACTGTCAAAGGAGAAATAATTCTGAAAATATACAACATTTAGGACTAAATGAAAATTCCCCATATCAAAACCTGTGGAAAGGAACTAAATAATTTTTTTTTTTATGAGACGGGGTCTCACACTGTCACCTAGGCTGAAGTGCAGTGGCACAATCACAGCTCACCACAGCCTCGAATTCATGGGCTCAAGCAATTCTCCCACCTCAGCCTCCTGAGTAGTGGGGACTAAACGTGCACGCCCCCACGCCTGGCTAATATTTGTATTCTTTGTAGAGATAAGGTTTTGCCATGTTATCTAGGCTGGTCTCAAACTCCTGAGCTCAAGCAATCCACCCCCACTTGGCCTCCCAACGCGCTGGGATTATAGGCATGATCCACTGCACCCAACCCTAAATAAATTATTTAAAAGACATTTTATAACTGAAATATTTATATTAGAAGAGAAGACTGAACATTGATGAGCTGAGCATTAACCTTAAAAAGGTAGAAGAACCCAGTAAACCCAGAGTATATAGAGGGAAGGAAATAATAAAGTTAGAGCAGTCCATGAAATATAAAACAAACTTATAATACAGATGCTTGGCAAACATAAGATTTGGTTCTTTTTAAAACTAACAAAGTGGTGATAACAGAACACACAAGGAAGTAGAAAGCATGAGCTCTGGAGTGACTGCCGGGACCAAGTCCCACCCTAGCACTTAACCAGCTGCACAGACTTGGGAAATGACTTGTGGCCAGCATCAGTGGAACAGCAAACTCTGGACTGTCAAAGCCCAGTGCCACGTACTAATTGGTTATCCTTACAAGACATCCAAACTATGTACTCTGATTAGAGTATCCTCCTCCCATTATAAAAAACACGTATTATTATCCCCATTTTACAGATGGGAAAACTGAGATTTGTACAATGTATGTAATTCTCTTAAAGTCACGAAATGATCAAGGATTGAAACTGATTTAAGACCAGATCTTTCTGGACTCCAAAGTCTACTCCCTCAACCACACAGTAATCTACAAGAGAAGAGGAAAATCCCTGTTGGCCATTCAGTGTCATGATATTCTGGAAGGCTATTTACTGTATACCCAACTTTAGGGTAAATATCTTTCTTAAGGTAGACTGTAAAACAGAAGGAGCAAATGTCCCTTACTCATATATAGAAGTTCCTACTCCTACTAATATTAACCTAGTGATTAAAATTATGGGCTTTGGGGCTGGGCACAGTGGCTCACGCCTGTAATCCCAGCACTTTGGGAGGCCAAGGCAGGCAGATACTTGGGGTCAGGAGTTTGAGACCAACCTGGCCAACATGGTGAAACCCCATCTCTACTAAAAATACAAAAATTAGCCAGGCATGGTGGCACACACCTGTAACCCCAGCTACTTGGGAGGCTGAGGCAGGAGAATCACTTGAACCTGGGAGGCAGAGGCTGCAGTGAACCGAGATGGCGCCACTGCACTCCAGCCTGGGCAACAGAGCAAGACTGTCTCAAAAAATTAATTAATTAATTAATTATGGGTTTTGGAATCCAAAGTAACATGAATAATTGCTAATATTTATTAGACACCATGTTACCATGGATAATACTAAACCCTTTCCATCCTCACAATATCCATTTTCACAGGTTCTGTTATTGTCCCATAATACAGACTAAGAACATCAGGTGCAATGAAGTTAAACTGACATAGCAACTGGCAGTATTCCAAACCAAGCCATCTAACTTCAAGAGCTGACATTCTCATCCACACTAAACTCGTGGGCGCTGACTTCCTCGGTCATCAGCTGGGGATGACCACACCTGCTTCCTGAACTGCAAAGAGGAAATGGGACCAAGTAGGTAAAGCCACCAGCATATCTGGCATGCAGTAAGTGATGATGATGATGATGATGATGGCAGTGAGGAAGATGGTGATGATGATGACAGCTGGCCCTTGCAAAGATATAGGCCTAATTGCTACAGAACAATTTACTGCATAAAATCCTCAAAAAGAAATCTCTTCTTCCATTTCACTCACATAAATCTTCATGTGAACAGATCATTTGTGCTCTATGAGAAAGCTTATTTTCAAAATCAAAATCACAGCATTTTGCATTATATGAAGATATGAAGAAAAATGTTTAAAAGAATCTGATAAATAAAACTGTAGAGAAGTGGGATGGGGGTTGCTCACATTACCCATTGCAGTAAGTCTAGCCTTGAACTTAATTTTCCAGAATTCTTGAAATATCAGTGATCGCAACGTAAAAGACCAATTAATCAGGCTGTGCTTGTTCTTTATGTGTAAGTCACTGTTGCCATCTACAGTTAAATACAGGACATGCAATGCTGCCAAATAACTAATTCTAAGAACGTAGTCCTGGAGATGGTGGTGCTAAGGACTTGTACAATGAGTACAGAAAACAAAAATGCTACCTGGAGGAGCAGCTCTTTTTCAACCACCTCTTCAGTCTTGCTGATGAGACGCTTCTGCAGGGTGTGAATTTTCTGTATCAGCTCATATGCATTGGGGTCGCTGGCCTGTCCAAGGGGAACAACAATAGCAGCTGAGATATCATCAGCTTCAAAGCACTGAGGCCTCTATGTAAAATGCACATTGTCTTATTAAAATCTGTTGCAAACCTGCAGACCTAATACAGAGAGAATTAGAACCAAAAATAAAGTATAATAGATGAGAAAATCATAAATTCCTGTCCCCAAAAAGGCAGACTGCAGTTTTCCTAGTGTTTTTTCTATGGCATTAGTTATTCTATGAATACAAAGTAAATATGTTTATTCCACCAGTGGTAATAACAATAATGGTAGCTACTATGCTTGATATATGATTCTTTGCCACCATCCAGATACTATGCTAAGTGCTTTTTATACAACATTATACTTTAGCTGCAGGACAGCCCTAGGAGACAGTATGTCTTCTCCTTTTATACTGATAGGACAACTGAGGCTGAGAGAAACTAAGTCATTTACCCAGACTGGCAAGGCTCAGAGCCGGAATCACGCCCAAATATGCCAAGCTCCAAAGGCATAGTTCTCAATTCCTATGCTCTGAGGCTTACCCTACCATCTCCTCTGTTTACTTAATTTTCCAGAATTCTTTTTGTTGTTGTTGTTTGAGACAGGGTCTCACTCTGTTGCCCAGGCTGGAGTGCAGTGGTGCGATCATGGCTCACTGCAGCCTTGAACTCTGGGGGATCGAGCAATCCTCCTGCCTCAGTCTCCAAGCAGCTGGGACCACAGGCACATGCCACCACACCTGGTTAATTTTTTTGTGAAGACAGGGTCTCACTAGACTGCCCAGGTTTACTCCTGGGCTCAGGCAATCCTCCCACCTTGGCCTCCCAAAGTGCTGGGATTACAGGTGTGAGCCACTGTGCCCAGCCCCTAGAATTCTTGAATGGAATGAAGCAGGGCTCCCTAATTCACTCAGCCTTAGGATTCTCCTTTGGTAATTGTCAACAGGAAGATTCACTGCAGTCTATGATGGGGACCGCTTCCAGGATGTGGACTTCTGCTAATTATTGGCAGCAGAACACTACCATGGCATTTAGCTCTGAAATGGAATTATCAATCCACAAAGCTTTGATGTTCCTTCACTAGTTGTGTACAATTCAAACAAGATATACAGTTATAAATTGGTAATGTGTCCTCTACACTTTCAGCCAAGGCTTCACTTTCAACTGTACTGACATTTTGAATTAATCTAACAGCTAAATATTTTCAACTGCCTCCCAGAGTCTCTATTTTCTAATTTTTCTAACAGAAATTGATGTGGAATTGGAAACTTTAAAGATCTGCATGAAAACACATGGAATAAACTAATGTGACAGTAAATGAATTTAAAATCTTCATCTCCACTTCTGCAGACATATCCATATTACTATTGGGTTAGTAAACTACACCACTCTTGGCATTTGAAGAGGAAGGAATGAGGGTCCAAAAGAGAAAAGAAAAAGAGAGATGCTATTGACTCTGACTTTGCTTAAGAAATACTAAGCAGTGCCAACTGATATCCATCTATTGGGACTAGATTTGGCACACATTCACCCGGCAGGGTTGGACGCTGTTAAAATTCAGGCCTCATGTTTACATAACAATTTATAATGCATTATCCTTAATGCTTTCTTCATTAAAAGGAAAAAATAAAAATGGAAAACAAGAATCTACCTGGCTGATTTTCTTTCTTATAAGGAAAAAATAAAAAGTAAAAACAAAAATAAAGGAATTTTTGTTTTTTCCTCTCTTACAGGTCCCTATGTAAAATACATATTGTCTTTTCCATTCTTAAAGAAAAAAAATTAAAATGAAAAACAAAGCCTGGGCGTGGTGGCTCACGCCTGTAATCCCAGCACTTTGGGAGGCTGAGGTGGGCGGATCACGAGGTCAGGAGATTGAGACCACGGTGAAACCGTGTCTCTGCTAAAAATACAAAAAATTAGCCGGGCATGGTGGTGGACGCCTGTAGTCCCAGCTACTTGGGAGGCTGAGGCAGGAGAATGGCGTGAACCCGGGAGGCAGAGCTTGCAGTGAGCCGAGATCACGCCACTGCACTCCAGCCTGGGTGACAGAGCGAGACTCCATCTCAAAAAAAAAAGAAAAACAAAAACAAAAATCTCCCTGGCTGATTTTCTTTCTTATACCTGCCCTGCTTTATCTTATATGACATACTTACATCTCCCAATACCCTGATCATTCATTTAGTCGAAGGCCCTTTTAGCATCCACATTGCTAGTTACAACTAAAGAGATGGCTTTTTCTTGAATAAGCAAGAGTTTGTCTTTAACTGTCATTTTCAGTGCTGGTGGTAATGACTATCAGAAAGTCATAGAATTAAATTAAATATGAAGTTGATTATCCATCCCCTACCAATGGGACTTTAGCTGTGTCCCCAGATTCTAAGAGAAAGGGCTTGGCTAACGCAATGCTTTCAAAAAGAGGGCAGTTCACAAAACCGTATTTTCTGTAAGTAATAAAAGGATGCAAAGATCAATTGAAAGATGGTGGAGATGCTGGTGACCAATATCATTAAAGGCCACGAACATCCAAGACTAACAGGCAGCCTTAGGATAACTGGTTAACCAAAACCTACCCAAGCCAGAAAAATAAATGTCAATTGGTGAGGCAGGTTCACAGCTTTCACTGGGCTTTCTTTAGGTAGAAAGAATTTTGTGCAAGACTTTTAAAACAAAACCCAAATGAACCATCTGGTTCTGAGAAAACTCAATTTACATCAGATACAGCCTTACATTTTAGGTGACAATTTGCATAGCATTAAATAAAACCTCGCTTCTCATTGTGCTTTAGGTTAGAAGCTTCGCGTGGGATAGGAGGAGAGATTTGGGGATGGGGAGAACACGCTGCCAGATGTTACCTCGAGCTTCCTCCATCTGTGCACATTCAGGGGATTCTCCAGCTCCTCCTCCAGGGCTCGGCAGCGTGTCCTCTCCTTCAACAATTCTCTTTGCATGTGAAAAAACTCCTGTCTGAATAAGACAAACTTGATTTTGCAAAGAATTATCCACCCGTTTGAATATCCTATCTATCTTTAATTAGTTGCATACACACTATGTCTTATATAAAAAGTTGGAGTTAGGGAGAATATTGTGAACACAGGGACCAGCCTCCTAATTCTGGGCAAGATGATATTAATTCTTGCAGAGCTCAAGAATTGGCTTAGCTTTCAAAAAAAAAAAAAAAAAAGTGCCAGGGCTTCAGAGTCAGAGTCATGGTTCTGGATACTCAATAAATTTATAAGTATACGAAAAGAACAAAGGGCAGGGGGATTGTATTAGTCTTTTCTCACACTGCTAATAAAGACATACCCAAGACTGGGTAATTTATAAAGGAAAGAGGTTTAATGGACTCACAGTTCCACATGGCTGGAGAGGCCTCACAATCATGGAGGAAGACAAAGGGAGAGCAAAGGAACATCTTACATCGTGGCAGGCAAGAGAGCTTCTCTAGGGGAACTCCCAGTTATAAAAACCATCAGATCTCGTGAGACTTATTCACTACATCACTACAATGAGAACAGCATGGGGGAAACTACCCCTATGGTTCAATTATCTCCACCTGGACCCCACCCATGACACGTGGGGATTATTACAATTCAAGGTGAGATGTGGGTGGGGACACAGAGTCAGACCATTTCAGCAGTGAATTATGACAGTTTCAATATACTGTTTAATGTTTCTGAATGTCTCTATAGTGGTAATAAGTGAACAGGCTACAGTCCACAAACTCAGCACCTGACAGCAATATATTGAGGCTCAGGTGATAACCTAACACTAGTTAGGGCATACGTCTCTACCCTCACTACACATTGAAATCCCCTGGGGAGCTTTGAAAAATACCTCTTCTCCTGGACCCAATCCTTACAGGGATTCTGTTTAATAGTCTAGCATGGGTCCCCGGCTTCAGAGGTCTTGGCAATTCTCACATGCAGTCCGGATTGAGAAATCCAAGTTAGAAGTTGTAATGAGATTTTATCCTGAGTTCCACAACCACACAGATGGCTAAAAAAGTCCTGAATAACTAGCTCTGGCTGAAACACACCGCTAAAATCTTCAGAAATCTGTAGTTGATAGGTAATATGTGACAGCCATCCTCAGTGTTGCGAGCTGGCTGTCGCCCTATCGAATGAGACATTGGGAGGCAGAGAAGAAGCAAGCACTTGCATTGACATGGGCAATAAGGATATTATTACCTGTCCTCGCCTGCTGCAGGGGTGCAGATTACTAATACTAAGCCATCTCTTTTACTTAATCGATTCATTTAAACCAATAATACAACTTCCCCTCATTAGCAAGACAAACCATTAGAATTAACTGCATGATGTTCACTCAACAGGGCGCTCAGAGCAAGCTGCTTAGAATTAAAAGCATATTTTTAACACTTCAATTTTCTAGAATGTCATCAGAAGGGGAGGGCAGAAATATTAGCTACCGTATTTGACGGCCTGCTTTGTACTAGACTCTATACTAGGCACATTGATTTGTTTTCCTGTTTAATTGTGACACCAAGTCCAAAGCTCAGGGAAGGTCAGTGACTTGCCCAAGGTCACACAGCTTGTAGGTAGCCAGACAGATTGGAATTCATACTAGCTTACCTCCAACATTTATTAAGTTGTCTTCCCATTGAAAAGAAAAATAAAATATATTAACAACAAACTAGCAATACTGAATGGGAATGGATAAAATGTGGTCCTTTGTGTATGTAATAAAAATAACTCATGGCTGACAAGTTTAGTGATGGTTTGGAGACTATTCGATAGCTACTTAGAATGAATCCATTTGTCTCCAAAATGTCAGTGGTGGTATCTCTGGGTAGTAAAGTTATGAGTGATTTTCTAATCCCTTCTTTATATTTTTTCTGCATTTCTCACATTTTCTACAATGAATTTGTACTGCTTTCGTCATCTGAAATACAAGCAACTCCAAAAGAAAAAAAAAAAGAAAAAGTATTGATTTATCCTTGATAGTGGCAACCTCGCTATTCCTGCATATATTCATTGCATTTAAATATCCAAACTATCTTCTAACCCAATTGATTTGAGAAGCAGATCCAAACCATGTCCTTATTCCAAGATGGTCAAGGATACTGTTCATCTACAAGTCTGTGGGGAATAAGGATAGCTACTGAGAAAATACCAGAACTCTTATTTGGTTTCCTGCAATTGCCTATATAAAACATGGTGACGTTTTCCCAAAGGGAAAGTAGATCTTGTGTAATGCAAGATTTAAAGAAAGAAGAAGGCGCACTAAGCTAAAGTGAAAGCTGCAGAAGATAAATCAAAAGTGAGATACAAAATTTGGCCGCCTTCTAAGGAAACGAAGTTTTCAAGTAGTGGTAAAATTATATTTTCCACCTCTTTTCTTCCTGTATATAATTCCAAGAAAAAGATGTGCAAATGTTACCAGATTAAATTTCAATATTGATGCTCCCTCTCTTGCATACTGACTTATTAAAGAAATTCAAGAAAGCTCATTGGGGGAAAAAATTTCTGAATTGTAACTAATTTCCTTGAAAATTCTTTTGTAAAATGCAGAATGCGGTTTTTTAAAAACCTTTTTGCACTCGCCCTTACCCCCCCGAAAGGAAGCTGGTTCATTATTGTGACACAGCATGGGCACAATGGAGATGTTATGGAAAAGCTGCTCTTATTATTTGTTAATAATTTCATCCTGTAAACTTCATTTTGTACAACTCGATAAAGACCTTCAATGAGCAACAAGCATGACTACGAAGTGATTTTAGGAGCTCCCCACGTTGCACTGTGCCTTCAGCCCTGAGTTCTATAATCTATTACCTGAGTTCTTCAACATTAGCCATACTCCTGGCAAGAATCCCCTTTTCCCGGCGAAGCTTCTTGATCTCAAGTCTGAGGATTCTCATGTCCTCCAACCTCTGGTTGTACTGGCTCTCCCCTTTATTCAGCACAGACTGTTGGATCTTGATCTTCTCATAGAGCAAAGCTAACTCATCATTGCGCCGAACAAGCTGAGACCCCAGGATATCTCTCTCACTGATGACCTAGGAAGGTAGGGAGGGGCATAGTCACCAGGGAAGGAGGAGCCTTAGCTTTTCACTGTGACAGCACCATTCATTCAATGAGTATCTATTGAACGCCCACATGTACTGGGCACCACATGGGCTGGGCACTGGAAAGAGCTGGCTAGACAATCAACACTGGACCCCTCCCATTAGAGTTTTTGAAAACACCACACAACAGATAATCCTTAATAATATTAATAATAGTAGTCCAAGGCTGGGTACAGTGGCTCATGCATGTAATCCCAGCACTTTGGGAGGCCAAGGCAGGCAGATCACTTGAGGCCAGGAGTTCGCGAGCAGCCTGGCCAACATGATGAAACCCCATCTCTACTAAAAATATAAAAATTAGCCAGGTGCAGTGGCACATGTCTGTAGTCCCAGCTACTTGGGAAGCTGAGGTGGGAGGATCACTGGAGCCTGGGAGGAGAAGGTTGTAGTGAGCCAAGATGGTACCACCACACTCCAGCCTGGGTGACAGAGAGAGACTCTGTCTCAAAAATAATAATAATAGTCCAATCATCTAATAATCTGTAGCCCATGTGTGTATCGTTTTGTTTATTTCCAAACCCATTATATTTATAAATGTTCAAATCTGAATGACTTCATGGTGGGCTAGCTCTTGCCAAGTTCCACTACTTCCTTCTGTCTTGCACTGACCAACTTCTCTCTGCCAGGTCCCTCAGAGCAGTTAAATTTCTAACCCCCAAATTATGCATTTGGGTTTCTATCTCCCAAATTGTTTTTTATTTTTTTCATGTTGGATGGGTAATGTGCCGACATCGTGATAAGGTTTGAGGGAGGCATATCTTACACATACATGTGAACACCCAGTCAAGATCAAATCATGTAATTATTAATTGCAATTATATGTGAGCAACTGTATTATACTAGAATGCAAGCTCCTTGAGGATGAACCTTATTGTCTTGGTGGCCAACGTGTCCCTAGTGCCTAGAGGAGTGACTAAGGCGTGGGAAGTGCTCATAAGTCAAATAAAGGAGTGAATATTTCATAATTAATCAACACAAGATGGGTCTCTGCTGCTGTTCTTCCAATAGGGCTGGTTGGAAGAGCTTAGAGAGGAAGGAAGTTTCGAAGGGTGGAATTAAATACCCGTGTCTGTTGACAAGGTCTGCAAGTCTGACAAGGAGATGCTCTACCTGGTCTAATTCCTTCTTCTGTCTCAACCTCTCCCCGTCAGCCTCAGCAATTATTCGCAGGAGTTTTCTCTCTTCAGCTTCTTGCTTTTCAATAAAGTGTTTTGTCTCCAGGGCTTGTTGTCTCAGCTTCTGCAGCTCAGCCTGACAAAGAGTGGAAGATACAGGCAAATTTCAATTCGTTACAGCACAAACCAGGACGACAGGGCCCGGATTCAGATGTACAGTTGTGCTTCTTACTCTTTCCTCTGATGTTTCATTTAACACAGTTTGATCACTCTCACAAGCAAAACAAGCTTACAACACACACACACACACACACACACACTCATAAAGAAATAGCAATGCACATTACAGTCATCATGTTTATTCTGAGTTGTGCCCTTGAGGGATTTCTATCATTTTTCTATATATGTGTAGCAGGGGCTTCATTGGTATTCAGCAGCACTTCATCTCTTACCAGCTAAACACCAGGAGAATTCACAAAGAATAGTGCAGAGCAGGATGTGGGGGTGAGGACAGGGGAGGCCTCTGTGTGTACCAGCTCCTGTAATGGCCCTACCACCACCAGCACACGAACTGCAAAGGTAAAGCCCTTTGTAAGCAAAATTAAACTAGTCAAAGATAATAACTGTCTATCTTGTAAAACATCCTGATGAAACAGAAGGGATGTCATTTATAAAAAGATATATAGATCCTACTTCTATGGCACTTCCAACCCAGATGAGAGGATAAGATAGACAAATATTATGCAAATATTAAGAAGTCCAGGCAATAATTTTTCAGCGTCTTGATTATCACACAGACAGTGAATCGATATTATGGGAGGTCAAAGAAAAAATCATCATTAGACTGGGGGTAGCAGGACTGCTTTCTCAGAGAGCTCAGACCTGAATCTGGCCCCTAAGTTTATATGAAAATCACAGGAATTATGGAGAAAGGGTGCTATGGACTGTTAAGTTTCAGCAGGACAATTTTTGTCTCATCAAAGTGCATGTTCATTTCTATTCCACAAGTTTGTTTGTGACCTACCATATCCCAGGCATGATACTAGGCATTTGCGTAACTACTCCTGTCTCCATTTAATGCAATTACAGAGACAAAAGCAAGCAACTTGCCCAAGGTCATGGAGCTATTAAATAGCAGATTGAGATTCCAACCCAGATCTTTTGATTCCAAAGCCTGTGCTCCTTCTATTGTCACCACCCAAGAGTTCCAAATTAAATATAGAAGATAAGCAAGACTTGAGGGATTCGCCATCCATTGAAGATGATGGATAACCAACAAGTGTGAAAATGCTATCTACCTATGTGAAAAGGACATGTGTGTACACATAAAGGAGTTTATATTTCTGCCTGGGGTTTAGAGGGAAGAACCAGTCAGGTCACTGGCAGTTGACAGATATTGCCAACATGGAAGGGTATGTGTTAGAGCAGGGCATTCAACAGTCAGGCTTTTGGGAACAAAGGCATGCAAACTATAAAGTACCTGGTGTGTTCACCAGACAGTGGAACAGCCAGTATGGCTGAATTAGAGAGTTAGGTAGGGAATAGCTGGAGGTAAGGCTCACAAACAGCTAAGCCAGACAGGGAAAGGCCTTGTGTGCCATGCACTATATAGGGCATGCAGTGGGGGAACCAAAGTTACATACGTTACAGGAAAGAAGAATATGCCTTTGAGAGGTTCCATGCCCAACTGGGATGCATGATGGATATCACAGACCAGGTCAGAACAAAAAGAAGCAAATGTGGAGGAAGAGCTCTGCTTTCCCCCATGCTGGAATCACAACGGAGATGACAAGATAATATTAAGGTTTCAACTTGTCAGTGGCTTGCAAGTTGGCAAATGTCAGTAAAAGAGTAATAATTTTTTCCTTCAAGTCAATATTTGGACCCCCGCCTACCCAGAAATGACACCAAGATGATGGAAACCTCATACTTTTAAGTGCCTTTGAACCAACCCAACTTTAGTTACGGTCTGTCTCTGCCCCATGAAAACCAAAAGTCATTAATTCTACACCTCAGACTTATCCAAACAGTAAAAGATACTGTGTACCTTGTAACAGATGTGTAACATCACAAACTGAATGCAACCAGGTACTATAAAACAAAGGGTTTCTTTTATGACATTTTGTTTGTTCATTCATGAAATATGTTTTGGTCTAGGGATAAGCAAAAGGAAATACTTATTGAGAAAAGATCTCATCTAGTATTTACCACTTGGGGGGATTGTCTGTTAGGAAAGAGAACAAAGAACCAGCCTTTCTGTTTCTATAATCATTTAAGGTGACAGCAAAGACAGCAATAAAATACCTGTTTGGCTCATGCTTTCTTTAATAAAACTTTTATTTTCCCAGATGTGCAACATTCACTTCCCTGTTCTTAAGTGCCAAGAGCTGATCAGAATCCATCAGCAGAACAAAATGAAACCCCTGTTATATTCAAATGCAATCAACAGTGTGTAAAAGTATCTGTCTGAAATGTAAAACCACTCGTGCATTTGGCATTGCTGGGTACTTTTTTCATAATATATCAAAATTCTGAGTGGTCTCCTTATGTCATAAATTTATGGGCTGTAAACAAGATGTGGCATTAGACATTGGCAGAAAATGTTAACATCAACAAAATACCTTGGGTCTAATGCATTTAGCAGTTATAAAACTGAGCCATCTCACCCAGGAAGGATGGCAACAACCACTATGCATTCAAAAGCTCATCAAGCAACGCCCTAGGTGGGACCTGAGGTTTCTGCACCTATCCAAGTGTTACTGGTGGTAAAAAGTTATAATGAGATGGCGGGACACAGCCTTTACTCACTGCTTCCACAATTATACAATTTTGCAAAAGGCATTATGGATTATCTGTAACCAGATTTGGCTATGGGCATAAATCATATCTCAAGAGTCATACTTGTAGAATTTCTCCCATTCATACATGATCTCAACACGAGTTTCATAGAAATCATCTGTTTAAATCTAGCAAAACAAATAGTACCACCTGAAGTCTTCTAGCCATGAGAATAATTAGGCTCTCTCTCTCTTTCTCTTTCTTTCTCTCTCTCTCTTTCTCTCTCTCTCTCTCTCTCTCTCTCTCTCTCTCTCTCTCTCTCTCTCTCTCTCTCTCTCTCTCTCTCTCATGGATAACAGCTCCCTATCCATGGCAGGCTACAGAGTCCACTGAGTAAAAGAATATGGTGCCCTGAAGCCAGGCTCTAATGTGGTGCTGAGCTCTAGACACAGAGAATTTGCTGCTGAATTATTCACCAAGAATCAAAGTGCTATCAGATACATGTAGGATGATTGGAAAGAGACAAGATAGAAGCAGGGGCTTGTTAGGACTGGAAGGCAGTAACTCCAAATGAGATGGTTCCTTCAGTGCTGATGAAACAAGCCTGGGACACAATGGGCAGATGAATGCAGACACAGCAACATCTGCAGAGAACTACTGACATCCTGTCACAACCATAATGTGCTGACAGTGTACAGGATCCTCAGGCATCAGTGGAGCCTGGTAGCAACAGAAAAAGTAAAAGAAACATGGAAGGACAAGATTTGTCTGCTGAAGGGGATGAATGAAGATGAGGATGACCTACTAAAGACAGTCGTTTGCCTATCGGCTTGGAAAAGTCATAAATTGAATTGTCCTGTCCAAGGGTATCTTACAGGCTACCTAGCAGGCAAAGGCTTGCCCCTCCAAGAGGGATTATGTACCCGCGTAGCTTCGTACAACTCGCAATAATGAGATAAATGTCTCTTGGAGCAAAGTTACTAGAAAATCTGCCCTTTCCCTCAGGGTTTTGGTTGGCAGACTTCAGATGCATGAAATCCAGGGACCTGTGTGAAATGTGATTCATTCTTAGGCTAAAAAAGTCAAGAGGCTAAAACTCAACATTTGAGCTGTCATATTTTTCTAGAGAATGTCAAACGAGCTTAATGATAGGCCAAAATTATCCAGTCGGAGCACCATTGCAAGTCACCCTTGGATAGACTCAAATAATAAATCAGGCAGGCCTCTCTCTCTGCTTCTCATTCTTGCCTTCATTGGAAATGCAGGGAGAAAGGGCATCCCAGTTCAACAGTAAGTCCAAAGCAATCATCTTCCTATAATCGATGACCTAAAGCCATCCAGACCTGGGATTCTCCATTTGGAGCAGTCTCTGGAGCAGAAGCCTTTTAATCATCCTTCATGTTCACCAGCTGCCAAATCTGCTGGCCCAGGTCCAAATGATACAGGACTTTATTGCCCTGTATTTTATTGTATTATGATGCTTCTTTTGAGCTTTATGTAGACACCTGATGGCAGAGGCCATAAATGAAACAAATATTAGCTAAAGTCAAACTCTGAGGAATTAGGAATAATTGATATTTTGTATAGGACACTTGTTCTAAAGCAGGATTTTGTAGAACGACATTAGTTCCAACTTGGACCCCATTATGGAGTAATAATTAATCTTTTGAATAGAGCATTACTAGGGAAAGTAAGAGATGAGACCCAACACCATCCTTTAAAGGGAAAGAGATGATGCACCAAATGGATTACATTGAGCCTTGCTAACATGGTCCATACCACTCATGGGTGAAGCAATGTTTAAAATAAGTTTCTTCCGATTCATTCAGCAATAAATAAACCCTATCCCACTACAAGCTCCACAGTGGAACAAACTGTTTTCTATAAAACTCTGGTTTCAAACAGGGAGTACAAGGGCAAAGATGCAGAACATTTTCCAGTTTTAGAAAATATATGTATATTTCTTTATATATAAAAAACAATGCAGAATCTTCTATTCTTTTTCTGTCATAAGCTAGAGTGGGGGAGATGAATGTCTGAGACAGGTAAATATATCAGTTACAATATCTTTTTTGTACATGCACTTTTGTTACAGTTTCTCAAATAAAATGAGCTTTAAGTTAATTTAATGTAGTAATTTTATTTCCATGAAAACCTATCATTAACTTGACAAAACTCATTATTAAATTGAGAGTGCCTATTTCAATCTATGGTATCTTAGAATCTAGAAAATATGGCATTGAGCCTGCCCAACACTAGATATAAATTTTCAAGACAGTGACTATCTTTGAAAGCTAATATGTGCAGAAAGCAAGGTACCCAGTCTCTAATTTGTTGTAAACAGTTTCTGCAAGTGGCTCTTAAGCACCCATGAGTATTCTGCACATATATTTTCATAACAAAAGTGGCATTATTTTCTTAGAAGTTCCTTTTTTAATCCTTGGTCAATTGGATTGGAAGGGAAATCTATTGGACTGGATAGGAAAAAGAAAAATACATTAGGTTTAGTGGTGTGTATAGTGAAACATATTTGGTTAGAGGATTTAAAATGGCATAATTATTTGCTTTGTATTCTTGGAAAGGGTCCTTATGTTAGTAGACATAGAATATCTAAATTAGTAGATTTTAAAGGGTATGTCTTAGTAAGATATATGAAGACAGAGATGATCCCTGGAAGAGCAGCTGCAAAGTTCTTAGACCTGCAGAGGTAAAGTGAACTACAAACCTGGTCAAGGGTAAACCAAGTGAGAACAGAGCTCTAACACCCAGTTGATAAGACTGCAGATAGAAACGTCACATGCACACAAAGTAAAAAACAGAGGTACAAAGCATCCCAGGGAGGAGTTTGGGAGGGTTGGGTGTGAGCACAATGGTTGTACTTGGTTGTGAATGCAGAGGGATTGTAGCAAGCTTGTAAGTTCAAGGATTTCTTGGCACTGCCAACCTGCTAGGTTCTCTCCCACTGATGTATGATAGCCTGCATAAATGAAAGGGGTGTGTTTGCATCTCCACTGCTCCCTTCCCCCATTCTACCTAGCAGCACTACCTGTAAGGAGCCCTGACCTAGAGATGGTAAAGCTCATCCTCCTGGTGCCTTGTGTGCTTGGTTTGGGTAACTAGCAACTGTGACCACAGGCAGGCGTGGTTGTTCTCCCTGCCCCTGGCTGCCTTCAGTGAGACTGGAGGCCGCCTGAGCGGGCTGATGAACTGTTGGTACTTTGCTTTTACTATGAGGTCAGTACCTTCAATGTTTCCTTTTCCTTTTCTATTCGCTGCTGTTCCAGGTGCAGCTTCACAAGTGCGGACTCTTTGGCAGAGATGTCTTCTTTCAGCTCATCTACCTGATGGATCATAATCTTTAACTTTCTCTTCATATCTGTTATTTCATCCTAACCAAATGAAAGGAGAAATGTTTGAAAGTGAATTAGACATCATCGTCCCTATGGAAGTTCAATATATATTTCAGAGCTTTTAAGGGACGCTCTCTCAAAACAATGGTCTCTTGATCAATTACAACTAGACTATTCCTTTGTCTCTAGTGCCCATCGACCTCAAAGTACTTTATTGTATTAACTCGCAAAATATTCTCATGAGATACACACAAAATATGCATAATGAACATCACACGCACACACCTTATTCCTCCTTTTACAAAAGGAATTGGAAGCACAACAAACATATAACTAAAAGATTTTGAAGTGAAGCTCTGGAATTCAAGAGTATGCTGCTGCCCTCTGAGTCATGGTAGCTATTAGCAGTTTTAAAAATTAGAAAGAGAGCTGGGGACAGTGGCTCATGCCTGTAATCCCAGCACTTTGGGAGGCCAAGGCAGGTGGATCGCTTGAGGTCAGGAGTTCGAGACCAGCCTGGCCAACATGGTGAAAACCCTGTCTCTACTAAGAATACAAAAATTAGCCAGGCATGGTGGCATGCGCCTGTAATCCCAGCTACTCAGGAGACTGAGGCAGGAGAATCACTTGAACCCAGGAGGCAGAGGTTGCAGTGAGCCGAGATCGCGTCACTGCACTCCAGCTGGGTGACAGAGTGAGACTCCATCTCAAAAAAAAAAAAAAAAAAAGTAGAAAGACGAGAATAGTAATTCTACATAATAATTAAAAGTAGGACCATGATCTCCACATCCTATTAAGATGTGTCATTTCCATTTCAAATAACCTGACAGTTTTGCGTAAATTGATCTTTTCAGGTGAATTCCATGAGTTTTTTTTTTAATCTATTCTAAATTCTGCCATTAGGATAACAGAAACTGTTTTAAATGCAGGGTAAAAATAAATCAAAATGTAAGGATATAAATATATTATTTACCTGAGCCTCAACCAGATTTTTGCTATACAGATTTCTGTCTGATCTCACAGCTTCATATAGGTTCTGTTGCTGTTTTAATTTAATCTCTGATTCAGCTATTTTTTTCCTGTAGTCAAAAATCTGTGTTTCACGAACTTTTATGTCTTCCATGTTCATAAGGACCTGGAGGAGAAAGACATATATGAATGTGGTTAAATAGCCCATCTGTGCTTATTGGTTCAGGACAAATGGAGTTTTTTATCTAAGGGTGGCTGGTAGAGATGCCAGTAATCAGAAAATCTGACAGTGGCTATAATCACTGCAGTACAACACAGAAATTCAGCCCAACTGATTAGGGGCAAATACACATTTTATCTATACTAGAGTTCTGCTCAAGTATAAAGCTTAACACAGTTATTTTGTGATCACAAGAAAGAAAAAAAAGAGAAGAAATTCTTTCAATTCTGAAAACCTCTCCCGACCACCCTACCCCCAAAAAAGGGAAAAAAAATAGTCACAGGCTTAAACAGATCTTAACACAAAGCACTAAGAAAGATAAGAGATAACCTAGCTGTTTGGCCACACTGGCTGCTTATAAAGTTAACCACGAGAAAGAAAAATGGTCTTTGAACTTTGATAGCAATCATAACGCTATCTTGCCAATGTCAAACTCACTCCATCAGGGGAACTGAAAAGCACTCCGTAAAAATGCATTCTATTGTGCACAAAGTACTTCCAGGAAAGGCGGGATGCAAGAACTACTGCCTCATTTTTGCAAGCATGAAAAACCAACACCTGAAATTCCACCATGAGTCAATACCTCTCAACAAGCCATGCACACAGTAGCAATGACGTCATCATGACTCTGCTGCAATGTCCACACAAGTTGCTTTTTTAAAGGTAAACTTCTTTAAAAAGTCCTTAAGAAGAAAAATTTTCATGAAGAAATCTGATTAAATCAAGGAAACTACAGTGTAAATAACAGCTAGAGCACATAAGGAGAAAATTCTTAAGAAAGTTTCGCTGTGTTTCTTGGTGTTCCCTTAATTAATGGTTGCAATGGGAGGACACAGAGCAATGTGACAGAGCATGGAGGAAAAGGGGACACATATGAAGAAACAGGTCCATGTATGAAGAAACAGGTCCATGTCTCTGGGCCCACATCTCTGAGGAAGTGACAGTTTACCTAGAACGAAAGGTGGAAAAGGACCTCTTAGACTTCTGCCATCCTGATATTCACCATGACTCAGGTGTGGGCTACTTGTGAGCAACATGTTCCCAAATTATTGCACTTACAAGAATCCGTTTTTTCCACTTGCAGAATTGCCATCCCAGAAAATACATAAATGAGAAGTCTGGTTCTATTCTTTCCCTATCAGAGTTAATGATGGCTATGATTTTAAATATTTATCCTTTATATATTTAAATAAGCACCTTTCAAAATTTTTTTACAGGTGCTTAAGGAGGGATGGGATTGAATTTTAGTAAATGTCTTTCAATGTATATAATTTTGTACTATTCTTTCTTATTGGGTCAATTGATTTGATAAACCTAGTAACAGATTTTTCCTTTTAAAAATATTTTAATTTCTTTATATATAGTTCCATGTGCCACAATTTAAAATAAATTCATAAATGTGAAATATACATTTATTTTCCTTATTTACTTGAACTTTCTCCCTTCAACATCAGCCCCTCTTCTACACAAAACAAAACTAGGTTAACAATCTACTATGTATTCTTCCATATTTTTCATTGGATTCTGCATATTCTATTCAGGTCTACAACCTAATAATAATAGCTAATATTCATCAGTTACCTTCTATGTACCTGACATTTTATATGTATTAGCTCCTTTAATCTCTCAAAAATCCTCTAAGATATGTACTATTATTGCCCCCAATTTTACAAAGAAGGAAACAGATCAAAATAAGTAATATTTACAAAGTTATTCAATGAGTAAATAGACAACTACACAGATTTGTTTGTTTTCTGTTTGGCTTTTTGGGGTTTGTTTTTACTTTTTAGCCAAATGGGATCTTATAATTACTCTTAATGCACTTTCCTTTTTATCATCAAATAATACCTTGTAGAAATCATCACTCTAATTCATTCTCTTTAAAGGTTGCATAATATCCTATAGAGTGGGTGTGCCATCATAATTTAATTCTTCTCCACTGATGGGCATTAACTTTGTTTCCACTTTTTTGCCACTCTGAACCATGCTACAGGAAACATTTTTGTATGTGTATTCTCATGCACTTGTGCATTTATTTCTGTGGGATGGATTCCCAGGAGTAGAATAGCTGGCTCAAAAGACATATATATTTTCAACTTTAATAGATATTGCTAGATTGCTTTCCAAAATGGCTGTAACACTTTACATTTCCACACCACCAGCAATAGCTTTCTTAATAGAAAACTATCCTTGCAGCTTCAGGATAAACCCTCCTTGTTCATACTGGATGATTCTTTTAATGTACTGTTGAATTTGGTTTGCTGGAATTTCATTTAGGATTCTGCATGCATTTTCCCAAGTGAGCTAGGCCTATATCTTTCTTTTTAGTTCTTTTTTAATCTCAAGGTTTCTGTTAGTTTCATAAAGTGAACAGAGTACAGTATTGTTCACTTATTCATTCACTCCCCCATTTATTCATTCACTCCATGAACAGGTACTGAGGACCCATCTATGGCAGGCACTGTAAAAGCACGCATGATAGAAAGAAGAATAAGACACATTCTCTACCCTCAAGTTCACTTGTAGGGTGTGACTTCACCATAGAATGGATAATCAAGGAATGGATATAACCAGTAAACTGAGATATGCACCAAGTGTTATGGGAGAATCTAAGACTGAAAGGTTAATGCTTAATAGATTGAAAATACTTTGAACAGCATCATCAGCATTCAGAATATCAAGCAGCACGTTAGAGAAAGGAAAAAAATTGTTTGTTCAGTCACTTTCAGAGATGTTAGAACAGGAATAATTCTTTGCACAGGCAGAATAATGCCACAGAGAAAGGAGGTAGCCAGGGGCATTTCTTTTTTGAGCATCCAACTAGCATGGTCTGTCTTTCTGCAGACAACATGCACAAAAGTCACAAACTTGCTTCTGGATCCTTGAAGCTGGAGTAATAAGAACCCGTCAGGACACCAAGAAGATAAAAGGAATTAACAAATATTGAAACGAGCAGAAAAGACAATTTACAAGCAATGTATTTCTAAGTGTTGGGACTCGGTTTATTTTTATGGAAATCATTCAGGCCAAAGTCATGCAGAAGTTCAAATCCTGAAAATTCATAAAGTATATGGGTGTTAAGTAGTAGCCAAACCTCTTGTCAGCAAGCTGTCCCCATTAGAAGTGGTATGTCAGAGACACAGGCTGCCAGCTGTGGGGCTGGAGCTTAATTAATATACACTTTGAGATACCTCAAACCAACTCATGAGATAAATCACATCCAAATATAGAAAGTTTTATTACAGCCAGAGAATTGGTGCTCCTGGCACTCCTAGGCTTCAGGGGAGTCCAGAAAATGCTTACAGTGCACGACAGAAGTACAGCCTCAGTTTATAACCTACTCCTACCTTTTCTGTTGCCGTTAAAACAACCTGCCAATAGAAATAAGAGTGAGATAGAAATCAATAACGCATACAGGAAAACTGCAGCATAGCCAAAACATCACATAGACCAAGGTGGGATTAGAAAGTAGGTCATTGCATTTGGAACCCCTTAATGTACATTTGATGAAATATCAGTACAATAAACTTCTCCAATAAGTTTTTCTGACTTGATGTCAATGGTTTGAATGCTGACAATGCTTTTACCTTCATAATGAAACTGAAAAACTCACTCTGCAATAATAGAAAACAACTATGCGCCCTGGCTTGCGAAATGCTGAGTCTTCCCTATTTTTCTTGCCTTGTTATTTTACCCTCTATCTTGAATTTAGAGAGGCATATCTATGGCTTTGATTCAATTGCATAACATATTATATTATGAATGGGGGATATAATAATATCTATCTCACAGGGCTATTATGAGGATTTAAGTGAGAGAATATATGTCTACGCCAGCATATAAGTACTTAGCATATAGTAATTTAATCATTTAATAAATGCTAACAAATTATTATGATAGTTTACACTACGTCACGTTACATAATACTAGTACTTTAAAAAGTTAATTTGATTTTCCTCCGAATCAAATCCTGTTCTGCAGGAAAAGTAATGATATGAAGCATGCTTCTTTTATTATGATAGAAAAAGCTTATAATTTGTGTTCCCTTGATTCCTCTCTCCAGGATTCTACCCAATTACAGAGGCTCTGTATAAAATTCAAATTAACATCAATGAAACAGGAGCTTTATTTCATTATGAAGATATCTATCTAGTGGACAATATTTCTTTAATCAATTTTTGGTTTCTTTGCTTGCATTAAGTCCTTGAAAGCACATTATTATTCATTTCCTGGAATCTCTGTCCTGAAGAGCTTTGCTTGACAGTGTTATAGGCAAATGAGCAAAGAGCTAGGAAATTTGTTGTTAGGGATTTGTTGCAAAAGAATGTTTTCTGGCATATAAAATGTCTGCGAGGTGACTGCCAGAAGTTTAATATTTGAAATGAAAAAAGAGGGAGATCCTAAAATGAGGCAAGTGCATCATGTGAAAAATGTTCAGCAGATTTAATAATTTACTAGGAGTGGTTTTATCTAGAACATGTAAAAGTTCAGAAAGCAGGAAATATGGTAGATCACAACTTACCATGCCATTTCTCATGCCTCTCAATTTATCTGAATAGTGAAATTTAGAGTGCAGCAAAGGAAAATCATGAGGATAAAAACTGCTGTAATCCTGGGGTAGATTATCTTACGGTTTAACAAATGTTCACTCTCTCCCCTTGTCCCACAACCTAAAGAGAGAAGTGCATTTCCCTTGCTGTTGATGTTAGCCTTGGCCATGTGACTCGCTATAGCCAATGGGAGGTCAGAATATCAGACAAGTAGAGAGACATGACATGTGCCTGTATGCGTGGCTTTGTCTCTTGTTCTCCTTCCTTCCCCCATGAGAAGAACATGCACGTGGAGGATAAGAAACATGTGGTCCAGAACTGAGCCCAATCCACATCCCAGAGCCAAGTCCAGGCAAGCCCAGTTTAGGTCAGCTGAACCTCTGTCAACTGCAGGTGTGTGAATAAGAAATAAGTGCTTGTTTTTGTATCCCACGGAGATGTTGTGGCTATTTATCATGCACTATTATTATTGCAAGTGTTGATGGAGACAAACACATAGGAAAAGGTTTGGGATTCTGAGCCATCCAGTTCAGGCACAAAAGGGGATCTTCTTCCTCACTGGCAAATGCCAAGCTAAATGAATACAATATAATGTAGAAGTTTAGCATCTTCAAGTTCACTTTTCTTTCTCTAAGCAAGAAAGAACACGAAGGCAAATGTTGATGCTGTTTTGCAGCTCAGAAGGAAGAAGAGACCAGGTCTGGAAGTCACTCACAGCTAAAAATGCCAATGATAATTCAGATAAAATCATCCATCATGGTAACATGTTTCACATGAATTTAAAGGAAGGGCAGACCCATAGTCACAAGTAAATATATTGTTAGAAAATAACTTGATACAGATACTTAAAAGTGAGCCTCTGACTAGTTAACTCAGATGTCCAATTATGCTTTCCATTCATTCTTAGTTCAAAAAATATTTGAGTATTTACTTAGTAAATAAGCAATATGAAGAACTCAAAATTGAATAAGACTCGCCCCCAAGAAGCCAGTGTGTAGAATGAGGCAGACATACACAAGTAACAGTTACGTGCACACGGGCCTCCTCAACTGCCAGAGGGGAGCCAAGTACAGAGGAATTAGAGATCACTTTTAATAAAGCTTCTTGGGAAAGGTGGAATTTTATTTGGTCCCTGAAAGAAAGGCAAGGTTATTAATAGTGTTTATTTATTTTTTAAATCAGGATACTAAAGTAATACACAACCATTTTACTTTTTCTTATTTTTATTTATTTATTTATTTTTTTTTTTTTGAGATGGTGGTTCACTCTTGTCACCCAGGCTGGAGTGCAATGGCACAATCTCAGCTCACTGCAACCTCACCTCCCAGGTTCAAGCGATTTGCCTGCCTCAGCCTCCCAAGTAGCTGGGATTACAGGTGCCCACCACCACTCCCAGCTAATTTTTGTATTTTTAGTAGAAATGGTGTTTCACCATGTTGGCCAGGCTGGACTTGAACTCCTGACCTCAGGTGATCCACCCACCTTGGCCTCCCAAAGTGCTGGGATTACAGGCATGAGCCACCATGCCCAGCCCATCCATTTTAGAATAGCTAAAAAAAAAAAAAAGCAAAAAAGGAACAAATTTAAACAATTTGTATCCTTATCACCCAAAGATAACCACTATTAATATGTTAATATGGTTCCTTCCACTCATTTTCCTATTAAAACAAAAAAGGGTAACTAGGCATCTATCTGCTTTTTCTTCTTGCCTAAATTCTCAGAGAATTTTTCTTCATTATTGTAGATGAAACACACACACAAAAGGGCTTTCCTCTAGGGCAAGTCTACGGAGAGTCTCCTGTCACTGATTTTGCCTGGAACATGGTCAGCCTGTACAGGTCTTTCTTCATCTCCAGAAAATATTTTCCCACTACATCCTTGACCAGGGGCTCATTTCCATAATCAGAAACCAACTCTCTGTAGGCTGGTTTCTATTCTCTGCCCTCTTCTCTCTTATCTTCTCTATGATCATTTTTGTAGAGACCAGGTCTCCTATGTTGCCCAGTCTGGTCTTGAACTCCTGGCCTCAAGGGATCCTCCTGCCTCAGCCTCCCAAAGTGCTAAGATTACAGGTATGAGCCACCACACCTGGCCTGATTCCATTTTCCACAACAATCAATTCTGTTCTTTACTAACTTTGGTGTGGATTTTAAATCTGCCTTTTTTTTCTTTTTTCTTTTTTAGTTTTTATACAATTGATTCTTATTTTGTCCAACTCTTCCTTTTTATTTCATCTTTGCTTTCTCCTAGCAGTAACGCCATGTTGGATTTATAACTCAGGTGATAGTCCTGTATTCTACTGGGGTCACCTTGTCCTTTACAACAACAATAAGTCTAGACTTTCCATTCTATGTGCTGGGAAGCCCCCAAACCCTCTAATATCTCCAAGAATTCTTGGAAGAATTGCATTTCTTCTACTTGCTGTGGCTCTGGTTTGCTGTTGCCATAGCATTCTAGATTCTCAGGTGCATCTTGTCTCTTGCACATACTGTCCTTTTTCTGGGATGTGTCACCTCACATCCTCACCACCCCATGCCTGTGCCACCAAAGTGCAATCACAACGCAGGGTTGATGTAGCAGATTTGCCACCGGAGGTTTGAGGAACTTAAAATCCAATATTGGACATCACTGTTTTCTGCAATTCCTCCATCATTCCTGTCTTAGGGAACTCCTCACTTCCAGCAGCACCCAGCCTACTGCCTTGATGCTGACATTGTGTGCCCTCCTCTCCCATTCTTCCCTATCTACTCCCTATTTCCTGCTCACCACCCACTCCTCCTTTCCCACTTCCTGTTACTTTTCTCACATGACTGTTTCACTCTGGTTCATGGAGCCTCACCTTTCAAACCAAGGCAAATATCAAGGTATTTTGCTAAACACTGTTCCTCCCACAAGGGGAAACTTGGCACCAGGTTTTATGTACTTACAATCTTTGAAGGAAGCCAAACCTTTTCTCTGCATTTTCTTCTATTAGGTTAAGAACCTTATGAAATCGCTGATAGTCAGTTGTTTCTTACTTACCACAAAAAGGCTATTTCAAAGAGTTCAACCTAAAGTTCTTGCCATAGAAGCATTTTCAGAGCCAGACCTTTACCGTGGGGCTTCTAGAAGCCATTCTCTTTCTTTGGTTCTCAGGCATGTTTTCCCATAGGCTCCATTAGGCTGCTTTTTTCTTTATTCGTTCTTGAGCAAGACAGGATTTACCACAACCTAAGAACAATGCTACTAAGGTGAAGGGGTTTACCTTTGCCCAATTCTTAGTACCCTAGGGTGGTGGCAGATCCACTTTCAAATCTACAGCTGGAAACACAGTGACATGCCAAGTCCCAGTCCACCTCCCAATTTCTAATATTCTTTAGTGATATTGGAGGAGCCAAATTAGGTATGTCTCCAGTCCTTTTTGTATGCATACAGACAAAACTGGAGACAAACTCTACAAATAATTTTGCATTGTCTTTCTCAGATTCATATTAGAAACATGTTCCCATCTTTAAAAATAATTTGCAAACACATGATTTTAACAGCTACATAATACTATGTCAAATAAATGTAACACAATTTATTTAACCTTTCGGGGGGCTGATTCCTAGTTCTCATTATTATAAATTATGTTTTGAAAAAATATTCTTTCATATAAATCTCTCCATTTCTTATTTTTCATTAGATTCAGTTTTTTCTTAAAAAGGAAAATTCTGGGTCAAAAAGATAAACTTGGAACAATGTATACTCACTTTAGAAGTAGAAGAAAATGTCAGTTTCATGACATCTTCCCCAGCCTTTGATATTATTTCTCAATACTCTACAAATAGAATGCACATAAGGGAGCTTTTCGTTTGTGAGAATGAGTGTGTGTGTGTGTGTGTGTGTGTGTGTGTTGGACAGTAAAGAAAGAAAGAAATATGAGAAGAGGACAAAGAGACATACATATCCTTAAGAAGTCCAGAGATGCACAAGTTGCGTAGCAACTGATACATGCTGTCAGGGGTTAAGCAAGACACAGAAAAATTGTAGGTGATAAGTAATATTTTAAGAACTTGTGTTTAAATTATTTAGGTAAGACATTATGTGTGGTTAAATATCAGAACTTGTGAAAAACAGTTAACAAAAAAACTTGGTATCCGAATCTCTCTTTTACAAGGAAGCCAAGAAATATATACAATTGTATATTAAAATCAGTGGCAGCATTCTTTTTACCACTTATCATCTATCCATTTGTTTAACAAATACTTTTTTGGTGTCTCTCATGTGCCAGGATGCTAGAAATAAAGAAATGAATGAAATAAAGTCCTTGCCCCCAAAAGCTCACTATAAAGTGGATAAAACAAATATGCAAATAAATAATTACACTATAGATTGATAATCATCATTCCAGAGACATTAACAAATCCATAAAAGTACGAAGTGACAAGCTCTGCCCATAAGGAACCAGAGGGAGCTTGACCTGAGCATTTGAGTTAGGTCTCGAAGGGTGAATAGGAATGTGCCATGCAGAGAAAGGACAGAACTTTCCACAGAGAACAAAGAGGTTGGACTCTATCCCATTAATGCAGAGTATCCCAACTGCTGTGCCTTTCATGGGTTTCAGATGTGTGCTAAAATACTGATTTTACTATACCCACAGGATGGCCAGGTGGGACCTGGGCAGCTGGCATCCCTGGATTGGTTCCTCCAGCCCCAAACAGCTTCATCTCCTTATTCCCATGTGCCACTGACATGTGCATTAGTCCATTTTCATACTGCTACAAAAAACTTCCCTGTGACTGGGTAATTCATAAAGAAAAGAGGTTTAATTGACTCCCAGTTCCGCTGGCTGGGGAAGCCTCAGGAAACTTACAATCATGGTGGATGGGGAAGCAGGCATCTTCTTCACAAGTCACCAGGAAAGAAAAGAATGAAGGAGGAACTTCTAAACACTTATAAAACCAACAGTTCACATGAGAACTCACTCACCATCATGAGAACAGCTTAGGGAAAACTCCTCCATGATCCAATCACCTCCCTCCCTCGACACATGGGGATTACAATTCAAGATGAGATGTGGGTGGAGACATAGAGCTAAACCGTATCAACATGTAATTTTTTATATATGCTGTGATATGAAAAGTGTTAGGAAGCCCTGCCCCAGGGAGAGGTGACAGAGGTTTATATCCAGAGTAATAATAAAACCACACTGGAATTTTTGAGAGTTAGCTCTGATGGTGGTGTGATGGCACCTCGGAATGGAGAGAAATTGCTTATCAGGAAGAAGAAACTGGAGGCTGCAACAGATGACATTTTATGTTCAAATATATTTGCTGCCTCACCCTACAGGGCCCCTCCCTAAGGAGGACCACACTCCTGCCCAGGATGTCCGGCACAGCCCTGTGACTTGGTTGGCCGGTGGAATATGAGTGGGTAGGATCTGTGCCCTTCCCTTGTCAGCAGAGGCTCAGAAGCTCCCTGAGGGTCCACTGTTTCACCATTTCCCTTTGTCCAGAGGCCAGGGCATCCTGACAGAGTCAGCCTGGAAAGAAGAGGACAAAAAGGAGGGATGCAGCTGACCTGCAAAGGCCAGTTATATGAGCAAAACATAGATCTTTATTGCTGCGAACCACTAAGGTTTGAAGGTTATTTGTGCAGTGTAAACTGATGAATACAGAAGCTAACGTGCGAGTCCAAGCTCGATAATACCAGGGCCTAAATTGACAACGAGTCCTCAGAGTCAGTAAATCAATCACTGGAGCTTCTAAGATGGTTAAGTCAGAAGAGAAATATGCTCTGCTCCAATGGCTCCCAATTAGGGGTGTGAGAATCCATTGGGGATCACTGTCCTGCAGAGTTAGACAAAGCCAAGGCACTGTGCTCCTCCAGTAGCCCTTCCCAAAGCGTCTGCAAGGCATTGATTTAGTCTAAGTGGGAAGAAGCTGACTTCCTATCAGTAAAGTTTGTTTCCCACTTTCTTTATTTCTGTAATACAAATATTGGCTGTCCCTTGTCACCTTCTTTGACATTTCACTCCAAAAAAAAAAAAATTTAAGCATGCAAGAGCATTGGTAAGCACTGCAGAATGTAACCTGAATTTCATTGAGGAGATGGAAGAGAGGGCTTACCTTGCATAACAGATCACATCTTGCTAGGGGGAGAAAAGGTGATTAAATGAGTCTTTTCTCCCAAACTTTGTTATCAGCCTCGTAACTAAAACTTTTCTCCATTTCCCAGCCTCCCACCCCATTCCTAGACCACTGCTCTATGCCATCTATGAATGCATTAAAGAGAGTACTATTTTAACCACTCATGCTTAATGCAGGCAATGCACTAAGACAGCTGGCTAAAATGAAATCCAAATCTCCAAAGCCATTCTTGGAGACATATATCCTCGAGCCTTCTCTCTCCTAAGCAGTTTATAAGAAGCAGAGATCTAGAACTCAGCTCCCCAATGTTTGGATTTCCTCCAGTGGTGTTTGTTTGTTTGTCTGTTTGTTTGTTTGTTTGTTTGTTTTGAGACAGGATCTCACTCTGTTGCCCAGGCTGGAGTGCAGTGCTGCAACCACAGCTCACTGTAGCCTCCACCTCCCGGGCTCAAGCGTTCCTCCTACCGCAGCCCTCCAAGTAGTTGGGATCATAGGAGCACACCACCATGCCCAACTAATTTTTGTATTTTTTGTAGAGACAGGGTTTCACCGTGCTGTCCAGGCTAGTCTCAAACTCCTGGCCTCAAGCTATCCACACCCCCTTGGACTCCCAGAGTGCTGGGATTACAGATGTGAGCCATCGTGCCCAGCTCACAATAGTTTTTTTCCTTTTTAATTTATTTTGGTAGAGACAGGGTCTCGACATGTTGCCTGGGCTGCTTGTAAGCTCCCAGGCTCAAGCAATCATCCTGCCTCAGCTTCCCTAGTGCTGAGATTGCAGGAGTTCATAATCGTTTTAGAATAAAAAATGCTCTTTGAATATTGACACACCTAGCAGATGCAGTAGTCACTCACATCTTAACTTGTGGTCATTTAATTAGATGCTTTTCTCCTAACATCAAGTTGGAGTCCTTTCCCTGAGGGGACAAAAGTTTCAGTGACAGATGCTGGGTGGGTGCGGAGACTGGAGAGTTGAGAGATGATGCTGGCAGCCCTGGTGCCAGCCCAGGGATGCTGCACAGCATGGCAACAGAGAAGAGGGAGAACCCAGAAGTTGGAAGAGGGCCCTGGAAAGTAGAAATGAGAGAGCACCAAGCATAAACATTGTCCTTTTCACAATGTGGCCCAGAATCAGCTCGGAAACAGCTTATATTTTGTCCACATCGTTCCTCCCAAATCTTCACACAAATTACAAACAGAAATCTGAATAAATTCTCTTTGCAACAGTTTGTGACCATCAGAAATGCGGAGGAAGGAATGTGCCTCTGCTCCACCCACAACATCACTGAGCAGCTTACCTTTTGCGTAAGGTCACTGGCTTGGTTGATGTACCGGTCACGCTCCTTTTCCAGATGAAAGATGATCTTTCTCTGCTTCTGAGCCTCATCCTTGTAGTTCTGGATTTCTCCCTCCAGGTTCCTCTTGGCTTGTTCATGGAGCTTTACCAAGTCTGTCTGCTTCTGGGTCGCATTGACCGCCTTAAGCATGTTCTAAAAATAAGGGCACAAAGCAGTCACATTACTCATAATGTTCAAGGATTTGGGGTTAAGTTTACCCTCTGCCTCATCTCTAACATAATTAGATATCTTGTCTTTTGGATGAATAAAAATGATCATATTCTCTACAGCTTATTAAGAGTTTGTTATGCTAATTTTGCACAAGGCACTTTAAACACACATATAAATACACTAAGCAACCACAACGCCCCTAAGAAATGGGCACCATATTGCCCCATTTTAGAGGTAGGAAACTGAGACTGAAGAGTTAAGCTATTTGCCCACAAGTTCATACAATGGGGAAGTGGCAGAGCAAAGATGTGAATCCATGGCTGGCTAACCCCAGAGTCCATGCCTTTAACCTCCAGTCTAGTTCTAGCCTTTATCTTGTGAGGTTAGAACTGAACCTAATCACATAACTTGGGCTTTGATTACAAAGGAAGATAAAAAGCAGCTTAATAAAAATGCAGATACCTAGAATTAACACATGACCCAATAATTTCACTCCTGGATATATACTCAAAACGAAAGCAAAAACTTGTACATGAGTATTCATTGTAAAATAATTCACAAAAGCCAAAAGATAGACACAACCCAAATGTTCATCAACTGATAAACAGATAAGCAAAATATAGTATATCCACACAGTGGAATAGCATTCAGCCGTAAAAAGAAATGAAGTACTGATGCGTGCTACAACGGATGAACTTTGAAAACACTGTTCTGAATGAAACATGCCAGACACTAAAGTTCACATAGTGTATGATCCCATTTATATAAATATCCAGGACAGTCAGATCCATAAAAACTGAAAGAAGATTCGTAGTTGCCAGGGGTGGGAGGAGCGGGGGATAGAGAGTGGCTGCTGAATAGGTACAGGGTTTCTTCTGGGGGGACGAGATTGTCAAACTAGATTGTGGTGACGGTTGCCCAACATTGTGAATGTACTAAATGTCACTAATAGTAAATTTTGTGTTGTGTGTATTTAACCACAACAAAAACAATTAACTCAGTTTTTTAAAAATGCAGATGCTCATGTTCCAACTCCGAAGTTTCTGATTCAGTGGGTCTGGGATAGGACCCAGGCACCTACTTTTTTTTTTTTTTTTAAGCTGCACTGGAGATTTCTGATGCTGAAAAGGAAACATCTTGGGTTGGCTGCCCAAGTTCCCCTGAAACACAGAGTAAGTAGCAGTGCAATCTGGCAGCCATGCTCATGCAAAAGTGTTCACCTCTTTAACTGCAACTGAATGGATCAAATGACCCTTCCCCAGGAGTTTTGAAATAGGGCCTTTAGATTTTTGCAACTCAGTAGAAGATATAACCTTGGGAGCTATTGGTGACAGCCATTTTTTGTCATATGGACTGGAAAACGAGAGAGACAGTGACAATCTTCACTGAAAGAAGAATGGAGCAAAAACTCAGCAGGAAGTCAACTGGCAGAGAGAGATGCTTTCATCCCAAGAATGCCAGGCCAGTTTCCAATGGGTTCCTGAGGCCCAGCTGTATCCTTGAGTTCCATGAGGCACTTTAGAGTTCCTTCTCAAATCTCTAACCAACACAGAACCACAGATAGGTCTGAAAACTGCTGGACAATACTCAGGTAAAAGGCCTATTAAATGTTGGTTGGGTGACAATGTAGAAAACAGAAAAGATCAACTTTTTTTTCAAGTATTGGGTTAAACATTTGTTCTATAAAAGATAAAGCCACTTCCACATGACACTAAAAGAATCAAAATATATTCATGTTGCTACCTGTCAAAACCATTTCACTCATTCTTTGGATGAAGGTGGCATTTCAACTGAGTCAATGGGGAAATAACGTATTATCAATTAAAGTTCATTGCATACCTGCAGAGTTGGGTGCTGTGCTAGGCACTAAGAATACAAAGGCCAGGAAATAAAAAATACAAAAGTATACCCTGCCCTAAAGGAAGAATTGACATTAATCAAATCAACAAATAAATGTAAAATTACTATTGCACTACATGTCTTATCATGGCAGAAAACCTATTGGTTGTTTATTAGTACATATAAAATATAAACAGATTAAATGTGTGTTGAATATAAATTTAAAAATCTAAATCCAACACTATTGTTTATATGTACAAATGTATAGAATAAAAAAGCAATTTCCAAGATTGTCCAAGAAGAAAAAACACTTCAATGATTTTCTTTAAAAGTGCTTAGCATGTGAAGATCTAATCTATAAGTTCCTGAGATTCCCTGAATAGTCTATTTTAGGCTAAAGTATAGTGTATTTTGTTAACATTTGTTCAATTCTGGGAAACCTAAAGAATTAATGAAAGTCAGAATGAACAAATATAGACCGTTTCTGCCTTGATGAGATGAAACTGTCTTGGCCGTGGCTGTTATAGAAGCACCCTGCCACCATCCCCCACAACCACCCAGCCATCCACACCTGGCCTGTGGCTTCTTCCTCCCTGGAAGAAATCCTTGAGCAGGAAAATTTACCCTAATTCCCTGTAACTAAAAGTGACTTTCAATGGAAAAACTCTTCAGGAAGTGGGATAGGAAAAAGGAGGGGTCCTACATTTAATGGAGAATCTTCAGATCTCTGCCTTCAAGCTGCCGTAACCCCTCCCTTAGCTTTGGACCACACTGAGCTGGAAGGTCAGACAAGATAAGGACAGAAAACAAAAACCAAAACCTACAGCAACCCTGAAAAGATGGAGGAAAGCTTAGACCTGCCATTCCTACACCTAACACCTCAGAGCTAAAATTCAATTAGCACTCACTTGTAATTTTTGGATTAGCAAGTTGTCGATTATAGATATTAAATTCAGAAATGTTGATAAACTGCTTAGGATGCCAAATAGCACACCAGCAATGAAAACAGAATCCACAAAACACTCTGAAATCCCCTCCTGGCTTATATGCTAATTCTCCAAAGTCTTTTTGTGTTCTCAGGTGATAACGCAATTGCAATTCATGGCCAGTGAATCATAGACTGTAGGCAGCTGCTTAGAGGAAAATTAAGCACTATTATTTATTCTAATCCACTTTTGTTTGCCTCGGAGTTTTCTTTTCCCATCCAACTGGCTATAGCCAGATATTACAGTGCTGAAGAAAGACATTTATTTACCAGTGTGACTGTAACACACTCACCTTATTTAGTATGTCCCTTTCTCTTAGAAGCTCGTCCATTGCCTTTCTGTCAAGTTCTGCTTGTTTCTTTGAAGCCTCTACCTCTGAATCCCCAGGGAGAAAAAATAATAATAAACGTAGAGTCGACCTAAGAGAATCTACAAAAGCCGAAGTGATACAAAAACTGCTTTACATGTTTGTCTCTAGCTATAAAACTACTATTAACCAAGTGTATGTGACCTTTGGTATAACCAAGTGAGGTAGGTCTCCCTCTCTCACTAAAGAGATGGAAACTGAGGCTTGCAGAGATTAATCCATTTGCCAAAAGTCTGAAGCCAACAGGTGACAGGGCTAAGATTTCTCCAACGCCAAAAATGTCCTTGCTTTTTTTTCTTTTTTTTTTTTTTTTTTTGAGACGGAGTTTTGCTCTGTCGCCCAGGCTGGAGTGCAGTGGCACAATCTCGGCTCTACAACCTCCGCCTCCCAGGTTCAAGGGATTTTCCTGCCTCAACCTCTCGAGCAGCTGGGACTACAGGTGCAGCACCACCATGCCCGGCTAATTATTTTCTGTATTTTTAGTAAAGACAGGTGAGGACTAGCTCTGATTTTTTTTTTTCCTCTTGCCCAAATTCCTATCTAAGAGGTCTGGGGAGTCATGCCCTACAAACCATAAATTCTCATCTGATGGGTTTTATTTAACGCTGTATATCATGACTTACTTTCCAATCTGACTCTGGCATAACAAGGAATAAAATCGAAATATTTAACCCCAAAATGTATTTCCTTGCCATACCTTGAAATTGCCCTGCGAAGTCTCTTGTGGGAAAAATCCACATTCTATAAAGAATCCCCTTTTCCCTTTGTTTTCCTTCCTTCCCTTCCAGATCCAGGAGATAATCAAAAAAGAGCCAGGTACCCTTTTAGGTCCAATAAGAAACATTTTATAACCTGCTGTCCCTGAAGTCTGCTATCTGAAAGCTTCCTCTGCACAATAAAACTTGGTCTCCACAGTCCTTTATCTAAACCTGAGCATTTCCTTTCTATTGATCCCAGGTCTTCAGATAAACTCAACCAATTGTCAATCAGAAAATGTTTAAATTTACCTATAGCATGGAAGCCCCCCCCGACCCCATCCACCCCCGTTTGAATTGTCCTGCTTTTCTGAACCAAACCAATGTATTTCTTAAACGTATTCGATTGATGTCTCATGCCTTTCTAAAATATATGAAACCAAGCTGTACCCCGACCACTTTGGGCACATGTTCTCAGGACCTCCTGAGGTCTGTGTCACGGGCCATGGTCAGTCACATGTGCCTCAGAATTAATCTCTTAAAATATTTTACAGAGTTTGATTATTTCATCAACACTGGGTTTCACCATGTTGGCCAGGCTGGTCTCGAACTCCTGATCTCAGGTGATCTGCCTGTCTCAACCTGCCAAACTGCTGGGATTACAGGCAGGCATGAGCTACTGCACCCGGCCACTTGCTGTTTTTAAATGTTTTTTATTATACAAGTAAATAGAAATACAGAATGAAATTAGAAATTCAGATAAACGGAAGTGAAAAAATTTAAATCAACCAGAATCTACTTAGTATTTTAATATGTCTCTTTCCCAGCTTATTCTTATGTAAATATACGTGTATATAAATATATTTATAAATACATATATTTATATATATATTTGTAAATACACATACACCCCAAAAGGGAATCATAGTACACTAAGTATATAGTACACACTATATTCTGTATAGAGAATACAGAATACAGAAAATTTTTACTTTTAATTTTTATGTTTAATCTCTCAATCTTGGTTTTATGGTTTCAACATTTGGTGTTGAGTTTTTCCCCCAAAACAGAAGCTTATTGTACACATAGTATACTATTTTGTAGCTTGCTTTCATAATTAACAAGCATAGAATAAATACCTTTCCATACTATAAATGTGCATCAGCATCCGAATTTTTAAAAACCCATGGTTTTTCACTGTGTGAAAATACATAATTTATTTAGCCAATCCCTCATTTTAACATTTAAGTTGCTTCTTTTTCTTTTTTTTTTTTTTTGCAGTTATAAGCAATAATCCTGTGAAAGTTCTTATTCATATTTTTCCTGTAGAAGAGGAAGTCCTGGATCAAAGGGGATTTTTAATAGACATTTCTCTCCTACTGCCAAATTTCTCTCTAGAAAATTAATAGCAATTTAAATCCACACCCAAACCACCCCTGGATATCATCATTCTCTTTGATCTTTGACAGTCTGATAGATGTTTAAAAACCAATATGTCAGTATTTAATTTGCATTTCTTTGCTTAGTAGTGAAGTTTACTACTTCTTCATGTTTAATGACCATTTATTTGTATTTCTGTTTTTCAAATTGCCCAATTTGCCCTTTGCCAATTTCTCTCATAATATGTTTATCCTTTCTGGATTTTTTTTTTTTTTTTTTTTTTTTTTTTTCCTGAAACAAGGTCTCGCTCTGTCACCCAGGCTGGAGTGCAGTGGTGCAACTACAGCTCACTGCAACCTCTGCCTCTCAGCCCCCTGAGTAGTTGGGACTACAGGCGTGTGTCACCATGCCCAGCTAATTTTTATCTTTCTTTCTTTTTTTTTTCTGGTAGAGATGGGGTTTTGCCATATTGCCCAGGCTGGTCTCAGACTCCCGGGCTCAAGCAATCCACCCGCCAAAGCCTCCTAAAGTGCTGGGATTATAGGCGTGAGCCACCACTCCCGACCTCTTTTGTGGATTTTTAAAAGAAGCCCTTTACATGTAACAAAGAGCTCTGACATTCTTTTAGTCGATTTGCCTTCATTTATAGAGAATACAGAATATAGAAAATTTTAACTTTTATTTAATTTAATCTCTCAATCTTGGCTTTATGGTTTCAACATTTGGTATTGACTTTTTCCCCAAAAGCAGAAGCTTATTGTCATGCCATTATTTTCTTAAGAATCCATACTGCACACTGGTAGGAAACAACACCTTACCTTAGATGATAATCGAGAGTCTTTTCTGGCCTTTCCAATCTCTTTCATTGATCTGTTTATCTGGACATCATCACTATACAATTTGATTATTGAAGCTTTATAATACATTTAAACATCTGGGAAGGCAAATCTTCCCTTGTTTACCAGATTTCATTTCTATTTTCTATTCTATTTCATTTCTATTCTATTTCATTTC
Source organism: Homo sapiens (assembly GCF_000001405.40). NCBI lineage: Eukaryota > Metazoa > Chordata > Mammalia > Primates > Hominidae > Homo > Homo sapiens. The sequence goes on along the minus strand of NC_000010.11, from coordinate 104,373,729 downwards.
TATTTTCATATGTTTATTCTTCTGGAGGAACTCTAGAATCAATTTTTGAGTCCCATACAACATAACTCACTGAATTTTAAAGAGACTTGCTCTGTCACCCAGGCTGGAGTGCAGTATGTGCAATCATAGTTCACTGCAACCTTGACCTCCTAGACTCAAGTGATCCTCCTGCCTCAGCCTCCCAAGTAGCTGGGACTATAGGCATGTGCCACTACAGGTGCGCAGGAGCATGCCACCACACCTGGCAATTTTTTTTTTTGAAGAGATAGTATCTCAATATGTTGCCTAGACTGGCCTTGAACCCCTAGCCTTAAGCGATCCTTCTGTCTCAGCCTCCCAAAGTGCAGGGATTATAGGTGTAAGCCACCATGCCAGGTCCCAACTCACTGAAATTTTTTTGGAAAAATTAAATGTATAAATTAACTTGGACAGATTTATATTTTTATTCTATTGAGTTTTCTCATCCAGGAACTTAATATATCTCTCCATCTTTCAAGTCTTCCTTTATATCCCTCAATAGAATTTTGTGGCTTTTTTTAATATATAGATCTTGCAGATATCTTGGTAACTTTATTCACAGATATTTTATTACTTTAGTTGCTGTTGTGAAGAGAATTTTTTCCATTATATACTCTGATTTTTTTGGTATGAAAAAAAGCTATTGATATCTACATATTTATTTTATAACCTGCCACCCTACTGAACTCTATTAACCTCTGTTGTTAGTTCTGGTAGTTTTTCAGTTTATTTCTTGGTTTCTGTGGTAGCAAATCATAACATGTAGGAGGGAGACCCATGCTCCTAACCATTATGCCCAGTGCCACTTTTTGGTTGAACACATCAAAAGGACGTGATCCCTAAGAAGAAATAATGATATTGATGATACCTATAAAGTAGTCAAAAGAGAGAGAATGATAACTTTGTATACATGATTTAAGGATGAAGAGTTGGGCTCAACGCCAAATGGGTAAAACTTTTTTTTCCAAAGCTTAGAACTATTGCAAGCAAAAACAGAAATTTAAATATGGAAGTGTTTTGATAGCCAGTTACAAAAATTGCTCTTAAAGTTCCAGTTTTCTTCATTTCTGTCACAGAAAGTGTTAGATTGAAAACTCACACTAGACTGTGGCATAACAAAGAATAAAATCGAAATATTTAACCCCATGGAGGTCCTCCATGCACCCAGCACCTAGAATAATGCCTGCCCATAGTCTGGGTTTGATTTACTGAATGCATGAACAGAGAAACTGTTGAGATAAGCTGGAACTGCATCTCAATAAAACATTATTTCTTGATGTCTTAGAAGGAAAAATATCTACAAAGACCTAAGTGACAAATATTTCTTTTTTTTCTCTCTCTTTTTCTTTTTTATTTTTTGAAACAGAGTCTCACTGTGTCACCCAGGCTGGAGTGCAGTGGCACAATCTCAGCTCACTGCAACCTCCACCTCCCAGGTTCAAGCGATTCTCCTGCCTCAGCCTCCCAAGTAGCTGGGATTACAGGCACCCGCTACCATGCCCAGCTAATTTTTGTATTTTTGGTAGAGACAGGGTTTTACCATGTTGGCCAGGCTGATCTCGAACTCCTGACCTCAGGTGATCCGCCTGCCTTGGCCTCCCAAAGTGCTGAGATTACGGGCATGAGACACCGTGCTTTGCCTTAATTTTTTTTTAAGACAGAGTCTCACTAGTGACAAATATTTCTAATAATTCTATCCAGAGATTTAGATTGTACCTAACTTTTAGTGAGGAATGTGTGCTTTTGTGCTTTTACGTATGTTGTCTCATTCAGTGATTGACAACTTACAGCCACCTGGGAAAAGTCAACAGGACACAGATGTTCCTGCCTCACGTACTTCAGTGGAGTCAGAATTCATACCCAGGTTCTTTGTCTCCAAGTCCAGAGCTGTTTCTGCTGCACCAAATTTGACAAGTATACTGTATTTTAATTATATTTTTTATTCAGAAAACAAGAATATATCTGGATGATGATGGATGGAATGTAATTAGCACTTACTGTGTGTGCCAGGCAGTGCCCACAAGTGCTCTGTGTTCACTTATTTCACCCCCAACCACCAGATGTGGTGAGACGGGATCTAAACCCAGGCAGCTCTGACTCCAGGGTTTGTGTCCTTACTGATTTCTCTGTACCTCCCTGTGGCACTTAAATTTTCCCTTCACAGGTCGGTTATAACGGTAAGACAGCGGTTCATCACATGGCAAAGTACTGACAGAGAAAAGATGTTAGAAGCCATTCATTTTTGTTCCGCTGATTCTTAGTGCAATATTGTCCCAGATACTGCTAATGAAGGACATTCATTCTAACGTATTCACTATCTTCTGTGGAAAAGAAGAACTAAAGCAGGTCATGTGAACCTCAGACATAAGAGTTTAGATGCTATTTACTCCATGGACAAATACTGAGCAATAATACTTCAGGTTGGATTGTCATTTTTGCCAATGGAACCTGTGGAAGAATTGTTTAAGGTAAGAGTTTAAGGTGTTCAAAATGATGCCCCCCACCCCACCCCATATTGACTGTTTACCAGTGTGAGTGTTGTTTTACTGATTTCATTTGGCATAGGTTGTGTTTGGAAACATGGAGCCCTGGGTTACAAGATAACATCAGTCACCAATAAAATGTTTCTAAATGAATAAAAGCGCAAAATGGTTTACCTCTCTCTAATCCCACAATCTGATTTTTTAGGGTTTCTTTGTGCTGTTCGACTTCTGCCTTTTGATCTTCGGTGTGGTGCAATTTCTTATGAATTTGTTCTCTGATTTTGTTGAGCTTCCCGATGTCAAGGCGCATTTGATGGACTTCTTCCTCTTTGGCCTGTAATTAGTGAGAAAGAATTAATGAGTCACTTTGTAAATGAAGAGCCAGGAACTGGATGATGGTAAACTCAGAACCAATAAAAGGAAATTCTTCCCATGGCATTTTAAAGTTGTTCTGTGAGATTAAATCAAGCACACACAATTTGGTTTTGAGAGAAATTGAAAAACTGTCCACTGAATAAAATATGTGGTTATGTTTTATATTTTTATAAACTAAAAATAATAAAAACACTGAAAAATTTTGTTTCAAGTTACCATCTGAAATGGTTTGGCTGTGTCCCCACCCAAATCTCACCTTGAATTCCCACGTGTTGTGGGAGGAACCCGATGGGAGGTAATTGAATCACGGGGGCAGGTCTTTCCCATGCTATTCTCCTGATACAAACTAAGTCTCACGAGATCTGATGGTTTTAAAAAGAGGAGTTCCCCTACACAAGTTCTCTCCCTTTGCCTGCTGCCATCCACATAAGATGTGATTTGTTCCTCCTTGCCTTCCACCATGATTGTGAGGCCTCCCCAGCCATGTGGAACTGTAAGTCCAATTAAATCTCTTTCTTTTGTAAATTGCCCAGTCTTGGGTGTGTCTTTATCAGCAGCGTGAAAATGAACTAATACACCATCTAACTGTAGAATCAAATAAGATAAGAATGCTAAGTTGTACGTATCAAAAATATGTGAATTTTGTATACAGTATTTGATTAGCAATTTTCATGAACTTGTGAAGTGATCTCTCTCAGATGGTTATTAACATATATAAAATATTCAAACACTCTTTTGGACTCACTGGGCCATTGTAGGTCAATTATATACACTAGAGAAGGGGTCCTCCTTCCTCAAAGTATGTTGGTCTCTAGGTATACATATGGATAAGTGGACCAGATATTTCATAGTATGAATAGGCAGTCTATAAAATGGCAAACAGTCCCCAAAAATAATCCTAGCAAAGAAAAGCACCCGATTTTTGTCTAAAGACTTCAAGCTTTCCAGATTTTGGAAATTTTAATTAAATTCACTTTTTTAAAATTTTGCCATTAGAAGTGACTGGAAAAGCAGCTGGGATTCTTTTGCGAACAAAGGTTAGCAATTATCTCAGCTCATAACAATGAAGAGACCAAAATTAGCTGTTCATGTTATCCTCAGATTATTGCTAGAGGCTGAATCCCATTAGGCTCATGATCTGATAACAGAAATAGTCCATCTTTCAAAATGCCCCATTCATATTATCAAGGGAAAGAATTAATGGCATGAGTCTTTTTCCTTTAATTTTACCTTAGGGGCTAATACATTATTTTGACTTAAGTAGTCATCTCATCTCTTCTTTAACTTATTGCATTCTCATAAAGAATGGTTTCAAGTCTACCCATTCTGGGCTGTTTTAAAAGTTTTTCAGCGTCAGACCCTCAGACCCTATAGGGTTCAAATTAGTCGATGTTAAGGCCTCTCCATTTCTAAGATGTTTTAATTCAGTGGTTATTAATCCAGACCCCACAGTTAGACTTCAGAAAAATCCTGGAAACCTCTCCTATTTCTGGGATGCATGCAACACAAGATGTAAGATATGCAAATAAGTGTGTGCATGTGTATATTACCATCAGATTCTCAAAAGAGTTTGTGATATAAAAATGTTATGGTTCTCTGCCCAAATCTATGTATTATTCTTGCTAGGCCACTCTTTTTACATCCAGTATTCTAACATAACCAGAGTAGGGAATATGGATTTTTTTCAGAATTAAAGTGATAAACGTAAAGCTGCTCTGTTAAGCAGGTAGGCATACAATATACATCGGAGTATAAACTGTTATCTAAACTATCTAAATTGAAGAATTTGCAAGCACTCTTCAATGAGAGCAAGGAGAAGAATAGGAAATCTGTCTCAAAATATACATTGGACAGAAGTGAAAATCATGATTCCACAATCCTGTAAGTAGACCCTAGGTAGTATCAGTCTCTCTCCCAGCCATTCCATCCCACCTTCTCCAACAAGCAGTAACTATAATCTGAATTTTTTGCTGTTCACACGTGTGAATGGATTGCTAGATTTGAGCAACTGGTTTCTTGCAAAGCTAGTTACAGAGATAGACATCTGAGCTCACTTTGGAAACCATTTGCATAACCATATGATCAATAATCAGGTTTGCAATTTTACAAGAATGGAAGTCATCAAACTCTGCTTCTGGGCCTAAAGCAATCACTATAGGCTTGCACCTGCCTCTGATGTGTCAATGTACTCAGTAGAGCCAACACAGGCTCTCCAACTGAGGGCTCCAATTGCCAAGGCAAACCTGTGTTAGGAAGAAAGAGCTAGGGAACAGACATGTAACTTGGTGTTTACTTTGAGCTCCAACGCCTTCTGTTGGTTTTCCTGGGATAGCTGCTCACAGACCAAACTGTGCTGTTCATTCTCTTGCTGAAGTTTAGCATTTCTCATCTGAAATTGCTCGAGTTCCTTTGCAGCTCTCTCATTCAATATCTGAAAGGGATGGAATGAGCTGGTTAATGCTTTTTAATCTGATTACAATAGTTGGATATACACACAGGGGGCCCCACAAACCTCCTGGGAAGATAACAGCAACCCTGAGTTTTTGTCTTTGTAGAAATTGTTCTTTATTCCCGATGAAAGCACTAACGCACTCAAATATGATGAATGTTAAACGGTTGAGGAAAATGATGCCTTCTAATGAATAACACAGTGAGCATAATTTTTTTTCTGAGAGCCTTGGGAAGTCTTGTTCACAGGTGGTGGATAAATATTTTAATGCCTGTTTGCCATTTGGCAGGCTTCGCATATGCAACAATTGCTATAATCATTGCAAATGAGCTAGAGATTCAAACGGATTTTATAAGCTGTGGGGCTCGGAAGCTACATCTTCAGAAGCAAATCCTGCATTAACATGCCTACAACATTTTTGTCAACAGAACTGTTCACTAACACCAACACAGAGACAATTTTCTTTTAATCTAACTTAAGTCGAAACCGTGGAACAGCAGCAAAGTGATTTATATCTGCTTGAGTGCAGTGTCAGCCAGATTTTCCTCTTCCCTGCCTTGACTATCCTAAGCAGATATGGTTTTATAAAAACAAAGGATTATATCTTGGGGGCTCATTTCTATTGGGGGAATATTGAGGAGGTGGAGGGATAGCAAATGAATTGCAGGATAAAAATAGAAAGCCAGTTTAGGTAATGTCTCCAAAATATAACTTCCATGCACACAAAAATTAAGCATGAAAAGAATCCAGCTAATTCTCCATCAATAGGGACTAAATAAAATGTAACCAGTTATGCTAAAAATGAAATTGTGTTTCATAGGAGAATAGTTTTTATCCTGATGTCCAAAAGCCTCTCTTATGTTTCATGCTCAAAGAAGTCTCATGTTTTTCTGCTGGAGGCGGCACACTGTGAATTATCTATTTGACTTCTGACTTTATACAAAATTAATAGAGCAACGGACAAAAAAAAAGTATATTTATATCTATTTTTGAGTATAAAACTGCTATATGGCTTGACAATTCTTTGGAAACAAGCTTCCTGAGGAAAAACATATTTAAGAAAAGACTTTTCAATTATATGAATTGCTTCTTTAAGAAATGAGAGAAAACATAATACAATTACTAATACTTGTGTCACCCTAAACTGCTATAATAGAGGAAGTGTTAAAAACAGTACCATATTAAAAATACATAAAGACTGACCCTAGTTTGCTAAACTTGAAAATAACTTAAAAATAAACCTGTCGGCTGGGTGCGGTGGCTCATGCCTGTAATCCTAGCACCCTGGGAGGCCAAGACAGTTGGATTACTTGAGGTCAGGAGCTCGAGACCAGCCTGGCCAACATGGTGACACCCTGTCTCTACTAAAAATATAAAAATTAGCCAGGCATGGTGGCAGACTCCAGTTACTCGGGAGACTGAGGCAGGAGAATCGCTTCAACCCAGGAGGTGGAGGTTGCAGTGAGCTGAGATCATGCCACTGTGCTCCAGCCTGGGTGACAGAGAGACTCCATCTCAAAAAAAATAAAAATAAAAATAAAAATAAATAAATAAAAATAAAACTGTTAAAAATAAATTGTTATACTCACCCAGTGGAATACTGCACAGCAATGAGAGCTCATGCTCTACTGAGCTCTGTCCAATAGAGCTTTCTGCAGTGATGTAAATGTTCTCTGTCTGTGCTAATATGGCATCAACTAGCCATCTGTGGCTACTGAGTACTTGAAATGATGCTGGTACAACCAAGGAAATGAATTTTTAATTTAATTTCATTTTAATAAAGTTGAATTTAAATAGCCACTTGTTGCTAAGGGTTACCATATTGGGCATCACAAGTCTATAACTACATGGCAACAACATGAATATATCTCACAAACAGAATATAGCAGAAGTTAGACACAAAGAATATATCCTGTAATATTTTATTTCTGTAAAGTATAAAGACAGGCGAAACCAAACTCTGCTTAGAATTCAGGATAGAGATGGTATTTTAGGGGGAGAAGGACTAAGAGGGAGCACAAAAGGGCTTCTGGGGGTGCTGGTAATGTTCTGTTTCTCTGGCTGGGAGCAGGTGACCAAGATGCGGTTGAGTGGTGAAAATTCATCAAGCTGTCCACTTGTGACATATACACTTGTCTATATGTGTAGTATAGATCAATAGAAGGTTAAAAAGAAACTTATTAACCTGTTAGAGCTGGGAAATTTAAAAGGGGGGGCATAACTACCTCATAAGAGCCATTCAAAGACCAAATTGCAGTGCTAAGTTTTACATCATCAGCACGAGTAGTGAAGGGAATTTGCTGCTTTCCAAGAGAATTCAAAATGCACAAAAGGGTGAATAAAGGTGCCATTCTGGGTTTTTCTTGGTTTTTTGCGAAGACCCACACCCAACTCACCTTCTGCTCCTTCAGCTGCTGCTCCAGCTTCTGAAGCTCCTCCTTGCTCTTCTGCACATACTGCTGCAGGGCTTTTATTTCTGTCTGCCTGCTGTCCATGTCTGCCTGAATCTGCTTGAGCTCTTTCTCTAGTTTTTCCTTCTTCCGGAACTCCCGGGAAGCTTCGTTCTGACGTTGCTGGATTTCTTGTTGGAACTAGAGGTTGCGGAAAGGACAAGAGAGAAAGAGATGAGCCCTGACCATGGCAGGTCTCAGCCAGCCAAGCCCCCTCCTCTCTCAGGTCTGTGATTGTCAAGGCAGCACTTTGCAGTAGCATTTCCCCTATAGGGCAGACATCCTTGAGCCCCAGTGTTCAAACTTTTCAGGAATATTCTATACTGTTTCTTGGGGCCTTGAAATCAAATGACTACCCTGATGGTGGGCAACAAATCCACAAAGTGTGGTATAAAATCAAATACATATGGAAGCTCAGAGTTCTAGGGGCGTTAAACATGGAAAGAATTCATCCCGTTCTTTATCAATAGGGACTAAATAAAATGTGGCTAGCTACCCTAAGTATAAAATTGTGTTTTACATGACCCTGGATATTGCTAAAGAGAGCATTATAGGTTTATCTTGATGTCCAAATGCTATGAAAAGCCTTTTTCTTATCTCATGTTCAAAGAAGTCTCATGTTTTTCTCTTGGAGACTGCACATTGTGTATGACCTATTTGACTTCTGGCTTTATGTAAAAGTGTTCAGAAGAAGTCTGCTAAATGGCTTTCTAATAAAAATAAATAAATAAATAAGTAGGGCCAAAGAAACTACTTCCACCACCCCCAGATGTTGGGCCCCCTGGCCTTCATGGAGATCATCTTTTTGAGCCAGAATTGTAAGTAGGGAGTGCCCGCCTCAGTGACTTCTCAGACAGAGAATGCAGAGAAAGAACAATTCAAGTCGTTCAAATCAAGTAAAGCTCCTCTCAAGAGAACAAACTAAAGAAACAAGCAGAACTGAGGATGTTTCATTTGGGCGCTAGGGGGTAAATTTGAGAAAGGAGCAAGATGGGAATAGAGACTGTGGAGGGACAAACATCCTCTGGAAGGAAATATTCCTTCTTCTTGCCCTCCATGGCAGACCTGACTGATGGCATGTTCAGCCTCCTCTTTTGATCGCTCTGTTTCCTGCTGCTGTTCAGTGGTCTGAGCTAGGGATTCTCGTAATTTTACCACTTCTGATAAGAGCTGGTCTCTCTCCTTTGTCACTTCTTCTTTGAACCTCAGTAAATCTCGGATGCTAAAAAGGAAGAACACAGGAGTCAGACTAAATGGCCATCTGCTCAGGGGTCCTTCATATCATTCTCTGAGTTCATTTTCATGGGAAAGATGTCAGGTCAATGATTAACACTATTCAGACATTAAAGAGAAAGATCTTTATGCCATGATATGGGATCAGATTGTGAAATGTTAACTGGAAAGAAGTACTAATGATAACATGCATAGTATAATTTATTTTTTTATTTTTAAGAAAATACAATGTCTATTCATGCGTGTGAGAGTGTGTGTGTGTGTGTGTGTGTGTGTGTGTGTGTGTGTGTGTGTTTTACAGACATTTTTACAGAGCCCAGAAAAACATATCACTGATTATCTCTGAGAAATTTAGGGTGGAAAGTTGTGGGGGTTGATACTTTCCACACCTCTGTATTACTTGAATTTGTTATGATAAGACTATATTGCTATTGTCAACTCTGGTAATTAATCCTAAGCAGATGTCAATTTAGGAAACTATTTGTTTAATATATCCACTGGAGGGCTATGATCACAGCTATAAACTCTAGAATAAAGCATAAACAGAACAAAATAATATGCATTGCTAGTTTTCTATCAATTTACCCAAAAAGATTAGTTTCTCCCAAATGAATGCAGCCCAGATAAAATGTTACAAAGAACAAAATTGGGAAAATCATTCATGATGCCCATTTTTGGAGGTTATGTGATAATATTCATTGATTTGAATTGTAAACCAGTTACCTCCAAATTTCAAAAGCCATTCCATATGATTTGGCATGACTTCCTGCAGAATTAGCACTTTGCAATTGGAAGCTCAGTGTCTGATACGACCTCTGCAGCAGAATGAATGTAGAGCAAGGCAGCTCTTGGAGCTGAGAAGGCAGAGGAGAACTTGCACTGCAGACTCTTGCAGCTGACAGTCATCAAACGACTGCTCAAAACACAGTAATTTGTCAAACTATATTTACCAACACCTTTGATGTAACAAATGTTTAATAAGGAAACTTTAAACCTGCACTCAAATTCTACTCCAGAAATAAAACCTCAAATTCGAAGGTTACTATGAAGACAGAAAGTTACACCTGGGCACACTGTTAAAGATAAAATTATTGGCTGGATTGTTTCTTCCATTCTCCTCCTCACCCTCTTCCAATGCTTGTCTCGTATCTGAATCAGTTCCCTCGCATTCCTCTTCAGTAGTTGCTCTGAATATGCTTGACTTCCTTAACAAGAAGATAAAGCCCACACTACAGGCATCACATTTTCTGTTTTTATTTCCTATTCCCTCTCCCAACACCTGTACTTAGAACTATCTGTCAGTGTTGGATCAATGCATCAAAAAAGCGTAAGAAACTGAAACAGCAAAATTAGATTTGGTTAATTTCCTTGGCTGCCCAAGGAAGTGTATGTTCATTCCTGATTCATTCGTTGATGCCATGTTTTGCATGCCCCACACAGTGCTGGGCTCCTGGAGGGGATATAAAGGTGCCTTCCTTCAGGGAGTTCACAGCCTAATGGGTAGAGAAGCACATCAACAAATAAGTTTCAATATAATCTGATCAGTGCCATACTGGAGGTAAATGTTGGGTCTTATGGAAACAGAAAACATAGTGACTTTCTGTGTGGTCATTGGAGTCTGGATGTGGAGAGGATGTTGGAACAGTGATGCTGATGGTGATGAAGTTAAGACAGTGTTTGAGATGGGTCTTAAAGAAGGCATAAAAGTTGACCATGGGGAGAATGGAAGACAAGGCACTCTGAGCATGGAAAGCAACATGTACAAAGGCATGGAGGTGTGAGCAACTTGATGGGCTCGCACGAGGCTAGAGAGGCTGACTGGGGCAGGTTCTCAAAGGGCTCTGGATGACACAGTCAAGAGTCTGGGCTTTATCCTTTGGGTATGGGTAGCTATTGAAAGTGTTTATGCTGGGGATAGGTGCACATGTGCTTCAGGAGCCTAAATTTGGTAGCAATGATGGAATAAAGAAAGACATGTCTTCTGTAGGCAGGGAGACCAGTTAGGACGCTACTGCCAAATCTGGCAGAGAATAGGAGGCCTGAACCAAGGCAGTAGCACTGGTGACCAGAAGGAGTGAAAGGCCATGCTTAGAAGACCAAGCCAACAAGACAGTGGCTTTAAGAGATGGGGGAGCAGGAGGAGGGAAGAGCAGCACTGTTTTCTGGCCTAGAATCTGAAGGGTGGGAGGGTTGGTGATGAGACTGATCATGGGGAGTAGGTGGGAGAAGCTGGGACTCTGGGCAGAAAATTAGCCAGTTATATTCTACACAAATTGCAGAGAAACCTAACATCTTACTCATTTTGAAACTATACTACTGATTCCTATGGAGGCAGAAGTTTAAGATAACCACAAATTAGAAGTTCTTAGGTGTGGAGAAAAGAACATTACTTAAAATGCAACAGACAGAAAACAATCTCTAAGAACCCAATAAAGAAGAGTCTTGTATCACAGACAATGTTCAAGAAGACACTGGCAAGCCCCAGGCTGTCTACTGAAGGAGACCTCTGCAAAAGCAAGTTTAACATACATCAACAAGGCTATGACCTACTTGCTATGCTGGTCCATTGACAGTCCAGACCCCTGCTCCACTAGTTTGGTCAGGTTCACTATTTCCTCTTTCAGAGCAAGAATCGTCTCCTTGGCCTTCTGCTCTTTGTCATAGGCTGAGTCCACCATCTTCCAGGCCTTTTCAATTTCCTAGATGGGCCATAGGATATCAGTGAGAAAGACCAAACTGGATTCTAGATGCAAGATAAACCAGCAAACAGAATAATACCATGACCACAGTGTAGTTATATAAATGTGCATTGACTAAATTGTTTAACATGAGCTAGTCAATAGTGAATAGCACACTGAAAGAGGAGGACTGGACTGGACGTGGTGGTACAGGCCTATAGTCTCAGCTACTCGGGAGGCCGAGGCAAGAAGACCTCTTGAGTCCGGGAATTTGAGGCTGCAGTGAGCTGCAATCATGCCACTGCACTCTAGCCTGGATGACAGGGCAAGACCCTGTCTCAAAAAAGTAAAAAATAAAAATAAAGTAGGGACTGGCAGAGGGTATTTTTTCTTGTGTAGCTGAGTGTGGCTACAAGGCTCACTTACTGCAAGGTTTGCAAAATTACAAATGAAAGTTTATGTGCTTTCTAAGTCCAGATATTAAAAGGAAAAAAATAAGTTTTATCACATGAGAAATGATCATAGATCCAAGCCCTAAATTGATAGACTGAATTAAACCTCTCGAAAGATTTGTAAATAAAAAATATATTTTATCATCTGGTCCCAAGTGATCTCCTAGTGACAATGTGAACTTTAGAACAATCCACACAACGATGTTCTTTACTGTTACCTAATTGTACCCAACAACCTTGGTAATTCCCATTTTTCAGAAACTGAAGCCCAAGCCTTCTCATCAAATGCTTATATATGGGAGAAAACCCATAACGGGGAATGGAGGCAATGACCCATGCAGCTTTGGCTTCCTTACTGTTATAAAATGCAATGTGTATTTTGACATAAATACTTAAAAGTGAATTACAGCAGTTCCAGTAAAGGAGAAAAGCACAGTAAATTTTGCAACATGACATAATTTGGATGTATGTCCCTGCCCAAATCTCATATTGAAATGTAATCCCCAATGTTGGAGGTGGGGCCTGGTGGGAGGTGATTGAATCATGGGGGTGGATTTCTCATGAATGGTTTAGCACCATCCTCTTGGTACTGTCCTTGTGATAGTGAGTGAGTTCTCATGAGATCTGGTCATTTAAAAGTGTGTGATGCATGCATATGTTCATCACAGTGCTATTGACAATAGCAAAGACATGGAATCAACCCAAATGCTCATCAGTGATAGACTGGATAAAGAGTACATATAAACCATGAAATACTATGCAGCCATAAAAAAGTACAAGATCATGTCCTTTGCAAGGACATGGATGGAGCTAGAGTCCATTATCCTTAGCAAACTAACACAGGAAATGACAACCAAATACCACATGTTCTCACTTATAAATGGGAGCTAAATGATGAGAACACATGGACACATAGAGGGGAATAACACACACTGGGGCCTTTCGGAGGGTGAAGAGTAGGAGGAGGGAGAGGATAAGGAAACAATAACAAATGGATACTAGGCTTAATACCTGGTGATTAAATAATCTGTACAACAAACCCCCATGACACACGTTTACCTATGTAACATCCTGCACATGTACCCCTGCACTTAAAAGTTTTTTTTAAAAAGTGTGTGACACCTCCCCCCCGCCCCTCTTGCTCCTGCTCTGGCCCATGTGAAGTGTCTGCTCCACTTTGCCTTCTGCCATGACTGTAAGTTTCCTGAGGCCTCCCAAGAAGCTGAGCAGATGCCAGTGTTATGCTTCCTGGACAGCCTGCAGAACCATGAACCAATTAAGCCTCTTTTCTTTATAAATTACCCAGTCTCAGGTATTTCTTTAATGCAATGTGGTGACCAACTAATACACAACAGCTTTGAGTTTTAGGCCACTACTTAACTTTCTTGCAAAATTCTGTCGAGTAGAATGTGGGTCCTTTATACAGATAAGAACCTATAAGCTTTAGGTTAAAATATTCCACTTGTTTATTGACAAGGAATAAAATGGGTGGAAGAGAGTATTTAATGTAACAAATTCGTGGTCACTATTACATTAGACAGATTACTCTTGGGTAACTATAGCACATAATTCAGTGATTCAAAGCAAAATGTCAGTTTGTGCAATATTTCTTATGTAGCAACCATATGTGCTATATTTAGCAAAACAAATGAAAGATATTTACATTAAAAAATGATTACAGAAGTTTTATCCAAATCAACTTTACCAATTAGATTTTAATCCATTCATGACCTCCATTTCCAGATTTTGTTTTTTTGTTTGTTTTGGGTTTTTTGTTTTATTTTGTTTTGTTTTTGGAGACGGAGTCTTGCTCTGTTGCCAAGGCTGGAGTGCAGTGGCACAATCTTGGCTCACTGCAACCTCCACCTCCTGGTTCAAGTGATTCTCCTGCATCAGCCTCCCAAGTAGCTGGGATTACAGGCATATGCCACCACGCCCAGCTAATTTTTATATTTTTGGTAGAGACGGGGTTTCACCATGTTGGCCAGGCTGGTCTCCTGACCTCAGGTGATCCACCCACCTCGGCCTCCCAGAGTGCTGGGATTACAGGCATAAGCCACCACAACCGGCCCTTTATCAGTTTTTAAATTTACAATGAAAAATGTTTTTTTCCATTATAAAATGACTTTAAGCCTTCTTATATTGGTTTTTCAGTAAGGAGAAGAACATGACAATAAACTTCAAAATAGCACTTAAAAGTGAGTAGTTTCTAAGAGAATTGATAATCGTTATTTAGTACTGGTCTTGGAAATTCATTTGAACTGGATGGTATCTAATTGCATGATACCAAGGCAACTGTCTAAAAATTTTATAAATTGTTTCTCATATTTAGGGTTTTAATTATGTTTCAACCTCTTATCACCATGAGTCAACAAGGAACACTTATATTTTACCTTCAGAATAATGCAACACACTTAAGGATGAAAAAAATCTAGTGTAAAACAAAGCAATACATCCTCAGTATCCCCAGACTGAATCTCTGCTCTCCTATTATGAGGAACTGGGAGGATTCAGAGGAAAGAAAAGGGGTGCTAGGAAGAAAGGTCATGAAAATTACTATCTGGGAATTCTCAAGGCAATCTTTACTAAAACAGGAGAAAAAGCAGAAATATGAAAATATCTTTAACAGTTAAACTACCATCATGAGGTATTAAATTACTCATCATGCATCAAATAAGATATATTGAGATTCCAAATATTGCATTTACTTATCTCTAAATCTTTTTCCTAACCCATTATTTCCCAGAAACCAAACAAGTAAGATTCTCCATTATTTTCTGCATGATGTGATTCACCCAGGCTAAAAAATCATTTTCTTTGAAAATGAACATTATTCCTTAGGCTTAATGAATATAAAATCATGTAAATTTTTACCTAATAACTCATTTACTACCAGCCTAGAGGTGCCAATATAATGAGAGAATGATGTTTTAAATTCAGGTTCATTCCATTTCTAGAAGATCACTGACCTTCTTTAGGGATGCAATGGTGGTCTGATCATCCTGAGAGAGCTTAAGGGCAGTGGCGACCTTCGCAGAATTCACTACAATCTCTGCATTTAGCTCTCTGCATTTGGCCATCAGACGCTTTTCATTGTCATAAGACTTTTTCATGACAGCATGAAGCCTCTCATATTCAATCCGAAATTTTTCCAAACTTTTGTCTCCAGAAAGTTCATGGAGAACTCCCTGAAAATCTCTTTCCATTTCTTCAAATGCAGATTCTTCCAGGACTTGCTTTCCACCCTTTTCCTATAGAAAAAAAGCAGGGATGGGAAAGGGCAATGCAACATTTACATCATTACCATCAAGGAATTACTGCTATTACCTCTGAATGAAACACCTCCATATGAGCAAAATTAAAACCACTGATAAGCAGAAAAATTAAGATTATATGACAGGAAAGGTCCTTGTTCAGACCCTGATGCTTATGTACATATATAAGTACATATATATGTGTATATATAAGTACATATATATGTGTATATATGTACATATATATGTGTGTATATATATGTACATATGTGTATATATGTACATATATGTGTGTATATGTACATATGTATATATATGTACATATATGTGTATATATGTGTACATATATGTGTACATATGTACATATGTGTACATATATGTGTATATATGTGTACATATATGTGTGTATATGTGTACATATATGTGTGTATATGTGTACATATATGTTTATATATGTGTACATATATGTGTATATATGTGTATATATGTGTACATATGTGTACATATATGTGTATATATGTACATATATATGTGTGTATATATATGTATATAAACACACATATATACACACATACACATTATACATTTATACACATTACATATATATATATGCATTGGGATATATATGCAGAATATATATGCATTAGGATAAAAGTAGTTCCCACTACATGATGTTACTAAGGATTAGATTAAATTAGATCACTGATGTTAAACATTTAGCCAAATGCCTGGCAAATAGTAGGGATTCAAGGAATTTTCAGAGCTATTATGATTATTCCAAACCCTGGTCTCTTTTCACTGGGCCCTGCTTCTTATTGCCCCTAAGACTGCAAAGGGCAGCGGGGGGTGGCCACGGTGTGTTGAGGCCAGACATAGGAAGATCTTGGCATAGATATCATGAAATCACATATACAGTGAAACTCACCTGAAATATGCACTTATCTCCCAAAAGAGATTCCATCATTTTTATTCCTTAGAAATGTAGGCTAGGTCATGCCCCACAGTGTCCTAAAATGCCCCTGTGCAATACTCATGGGACTTTTCCACATTTGCTTTCCATGGTTAGATGGGCAACAAATTATTTCAAAATATAAGCCCAGACATATAGATATAATTCAAGCAAGTCTGGCTATTACTTAGATGAGAACCTAAGAGTGAGTTATATCGGGATTCTTATTTCTCTACTTTTAGGGGTTGAATTGTGTCCCCCAAAAAGGTATTTTGAAGTCCTAACCCTGCTAATCTGACCTTATTTGGAACAGAGTCATTTAATAAGTTAAGATGAGCTCAGACTGGAGTAAGCCACCCAGTTTGTGGTGCTTTGTTATGGCTGCTCTAGCAAACAAATCCACCTACTTCTTGTTAGCTACAACATAATAATGAAGAAGAATGGGTATGGTTAATATATTTATTCATTCATTGAGCAAGTATTTATTGAACATCTGCCATACATAAATTCTATGATGGATTGGGAATAAACAGCTTATCCACAAGATGAGTAATAAACAGCTTATCCACAGGGAATTTATACTTAATTGCTGGTGGGATATGAATGCAGTTAATGAAAGCATAGAATTTGATCCCTATCATAAAATGTATTCAAAGTTCTCTATGAACCCACAGAAAGAGAATTATTCCCAGCAGCAAGAATAAAAAAAAAAATCTCAGAAAAAAATTGGCATTTGAGCAGGCCCAGAAGGAAGCTAGGGAGTGAGGGACACACAGTGAAGACACTGAATTACATTCAAAGGAGTACGGATTGCATTATTCTGCAGGCCACAGGGAACCACTCAAGACTTTTGAGCAAAGGACTCATAAGGCTTGCAAGGCCTTACTTACGTTTGCAACATTATGTTTTAATATTCTACTCTACAAAGGGCCTTGGCATCAACACTCTCTTGCTAAAAGAAACCAACTGAAACAATCTGTAGTCCCAATAATAAAGTAAAATTTCAATTCACCCTGAAGATTTTAAGGAGTCTAGTTTACCTTCTGTTTTGACAAGCCCGTCTTGCCCAATATGGAAAAAGTCTACGTATTCTTGGTTTTCGAAAACACTTGTACTATTAATTAAATCTCTAACGATGACATGCAAGCAAAACAGTCTTTGTAAATTAAAATAAATGTAGAGTCACAAGCATATCTATAGCATTTTGTATAACAACTTTAGTACTAATTTTAAATTCACATAGGTTTTTCTTCCTGACTAAAAGCAGATTATTGCAAAGACCACAATGTAGTAATTCCACAAAGGAGGAAAAACCATATTAAGGAAATACGGTGTTGCTGCTGTTCTGTTCTTCTCCCTTGTTGATGCTAAACATAAGCACACACAAAAATTTGTCACTGCACTGTTCTTGGTTCCATCCCTGTAAATGGTATTAACGTCAACACTTGATCAACAGCCTAATGATTTGTTAGCAGTCCAAGTTTTACCTGTTTACCTGGCACTTAGCACAGGAATGGAAAAATACCAAAGAAGGAAAAGTTTTAAAGAAACTTTTAGGAACAAAAGAGATTTGTTCCTATTGTCATTAAAAGCAAAGGAAAAATAATCTCTTAGCTTTGGCCAATAAACAGTTGATATTTCCACTGTTATAACATATAATGGTATCTGTTTCAGAAGGATGAAATCAACGTGAACTGATCAGAAAGGAACTGTGGCATTTCTTTATTCTTCACCTATTCACTGATTGTTTGCTATGTGCCAGGCACTGTCCTGTCCTAAGTTCTGGGAATATCAATTAGTGGGGAGAAGGAAAAGGGAAAAGGAAAAGAGAACTGCAATATAAGATGAGGCCAGAGGGGAAATAGAGAATTGTGAAAGCAGAATCGAGAAAGTTGGCTGAGGTCAAGTAAGAAGAAAAGTAGAAGAAAGGAAGAAACGAGAGGAGTAACAGAAAGAGGGAAATGGAAATAACTAATCCATAATAGTGGAGCAGCTTCTGAGGCCGGCACCTGGGCAGGGTTCCTCACAGAAATATGCAAATATATCCTGAATAGGGCAGAGCCAAGGAAATGAGGGGCTGGTGCCTCTGGGAGGCTGGGGCTTCCCTATGGGGAATGAAGAATGAAATAAACAAAGATGACTGGTGGGAGAAAAGAGGAGAAAACACTCAAAAGCAATAATGGGACAATAAAGAACTAGAAGGAACAAGAAAGGAAATGGGAAGAAAGAGATACAAATGACTATGGGTAATGGGGAGAAGTGAAGTGGCCACAGCAGCATGGATGTCAGAGAGAGATGTGAGTGATGGAGCCCAGGCGTGAGGAAGATGGATGATATGAAAGAGATCGTATGATAAGGAAAGGAAGGAGGTGTTGACCACGGGAAGACGGAATTTATAAAGCTAGACTGGAGATGGAGGAAAAGCAATGATGAGGGGATGTGAATGGTGCAGAGGAAGCAAGAGAGTAACTAGAATGGGGTGGGGAGGGGGTGGAGCACGATGGTGCTGAAAGATGATGGGGCTTGGGCTGGCTTCATGGGAGTGAAAACTGGTCAGTTGCACAGGGCCCCTTGCTCAGAAAGGCCCCATTCTTGGTTGAATGCTCTGCTGTTCTGTCTTAAAATTATTTGTAATTTTTGAAGAGACTTTGTGTTTTCACTTTGCATCAGGCCTTGCAAATCATGTAGCTGGTCCTGGCTGGAACAGACCGTGGGATGGGTGATGGGGGAAGGGCTCTGATGGGGCCATGAAGGATTTGGGTAGGGCCATAGTGGATGGGGACTGTGAATGGCAAGTAATGACAGGGACCCGAGGCTCTTGAGGTTATACGTGAGGGGGCTAAGGGGCAGGCAGGGAGTCACTGAAGGGTTGCAGAAATAACCCCTCATTGGAGAGGCTGAAAATGGGGTGTACTGTAATATGGGGGAGTGGTGGGGTGATACGAGATGTTAACACAGGAGTCAATGAACACACGGGGCAGAGGTGATGGGCAGAAGAGCCTTAATGAAGCTGTGTGACAGCAGGTGATCACATGTTAGGAAATCAGGGTGTGACAGGTGGACAAGGGCCATTGATTGGGATGACAGCAGGCATCTGTGAAGCTTTCTTCCCGGTTTCCCCTGTGAGATAAGACATCTCCAATATTTCTGTGTGAGCCTCTCTTATGGTATCACTCCATGACTAAAAATCTAGGGCTGGGTGCATGTCACGTGTGGATTTCAGAATTCATTAATTTTCTACCGCACTTAGCATAGCGCCGATGCCACAGTGGGGATAGTGGGGTGTCCACACAAATGAAGGAGAAACAGGAGGTAAAGAGGCCAGAGCCAACGGAGAAAGGCGCGGGAGTGAGTGAGGGTGCAGGGGAATAAGATGTTGATGGGGGGAAATATTGGAATCACCGTTTGTGACAATCGTCAGTAGGAGAGGGACAATGGGGAGGGGTCAAGGGAAAGGCGACAGAGGGGCGCTGACTCCTGACCTCAGCCATCCTGATGCTCTCTGGGGGCGGCCTCAGAGGCTGCTGTGGAGATCGCAGGAGCTGGGCCGGAGTCTGGGAAAGAAGCTAAAGGCGCGACGCGCTGTCTCTATCGCCCGCCCCGAGCGGAAACCCGCGCTCGGCGCGTCGGCCCGTCGCCTGGCAACGGACACGCCCTCTAGGGGCGCTAGCGGGAATTCGAAAGGGGAGGAGCTTCTGCGGCTGGCACCTGGGCAGGGTTCCTCAGAGAAATATGCAAATATATCCCAATGGGGCGGAGCCAAGGAAGTGAGGGGGCGGTGCCCCTGAGAGGCTGGGAGGAGTCCCACGGTGTGGGCAGATGGAGACACCCAGGAGAAAGAAGAGGGCGAATTGGAAGAGGCCACCCAGAAAGGACGGTGTGTGACACTAGGGAGCCAAGCATGGAGAGCCGAGGACTAACGCTTGGAAGGAAATGTGGACCAGAAGGTTCCGGATGAGGGAAGGACTGGCGGCTACACTCTGCCTTCCGAGACAACGAGGAATAATCTCACTTCAGTCAGTTCAACCCTTGTAAAACAGCTACTGTGTGCAAGACACGGAGGGAAAGCTGAAGTAGAGAAACCACAGACGCTGTCTTCAAAGGGTTTAATCTAATATTAGTGATGAGAAAAATAGGGTGCAGAGCTTAAGGCATCCTGGAAAAACGTATGTAGCGCCACATCGCGAAAATCTCTCTTCTGGGACCCCTCTCCCAAAAACGTTTCTTCGCCCTCTTCTCCCCCTTCTGCCTCCACTCTTTCTGGACTTCAGGTACAAATAGTTGAAATAATTATACTCCTTGGTTCATGAAATGTGTAAGACTCCTCTCTGGTTTTATTTTCCCCCTTTATCCCCATCCCTACTCCCAACCCCTATCCTCAACCCCATAGGCATTCATGCTGCTGTGCTTCCATATGTATTTTTGGGAAATGTACAAAATTTTTATCAGTGTATTTTTTAAAAATGTTTAAATAATGCTACTGGACTTTGGAGATTATCTTATTTTCTACTTTTTTCACTCAACATTCTTTTTAAGGATCTGTCCTCGTTGCGATTGGCAAGCATATAGTTCATTGCTTCTGAGTACTGCACAGCGTTTCATAAGGGGCATCTACCACACTTCACTTCCATTCCCCAGGTGTTAGGTAACAAGGCCGCCTCTAATTCTCCAATACATCAAGTAATACAGCCATGATCGTCTTTGTCCGTGGTCCCTTAAGGACCTCTGTGCAAATTCCTCTGAAATATATGCCAAGGAGTAAGATTGTTAAAGTTATAGGGATGCACAGGGACATTTGCTTATGCAGCTGCGTCCTGCACAAACACATCCAGCCATGGGGCAATGGAGGCTGAAAAACTGTCTCTACTCTCTTTCCCGTGCCATGTGCCCTACTGGAGAAAGGTGTGCACTTTTTATTCTCACAAAATCTCTGTACGCCAGCCAAGTCATGAACCTAGAAGGCTGTAACTATCTAGAGGGTGTGATATTTTCAAACTCATCTGGCCAGATGAACAGTTTTCCAAGAGCACAACGATGCCCAGTAGCCTAGTACAAGCCCTGGGTACTTACCAAGCACTTTAAGATTGTGTACCAGAGTTACTGCCCTACGCTGCACTCCAGTGTGGGGTTTCCATCCAACACTTCCATCCATCCCTTCCAGAAGGTGATAGGTCTTTTTTATTAAACACTCATAAAGTGTTTAGTAAATACCAGATACTATTCTAAGTGCTTTGCAAATATTGACTCATCTAATTAGCTAATTTTCTAATTTCTGTCAATATGATGAAAGTAGTGTAAGCTCATTTTTTGCTTTCATTTTCACTTCTCTAACTACTAGTGAATTTTTTGACCATTTCTTTATACATTCATAGGCTACTTGAGATTCCCTTCTGTGAACTGCCTTTTCAGTGTCTGTGTCTATTTTTCTATTGATCTTTTTTCTTTTTCTTTTGATTTACAGATATCTTTGAGAAGCCTGGACATCAATCTGCTTTAGAAGACTAGAAACTCTGCCTTTATGTCTTTAAGGGAACAATAGTCCTTAACTTTGATACTGTGGCTCTTTAGCTCTTTTTTTCCCTATATTTTTTATATAGTTTTTTGGTATTATTTAGACCTCCTTAACCCCACGGTCATAAAGGTATTCTCCCATCATTTTTTTCTATCCATTAGCTTCATAGTTTTACTTTTTTACATTCAGTTATCTAATCCATCTGGAGTTCTCCTTCCCATATGGTGTGAGATAGGGATCTAACTATATTTTTCTCCATGGGGTGAGCAAATTTTCCAACAACCCATGTCAAACAATCCATTCTTTCCAAATTGGTTTGGGGAAGTTTCCAAATAGACATGAGTATGTTCTGAGCTCTCTGGTTTGTTCATGTGTCAGTACCACAAGGTTTTGTCACTGTGGGTTTTTAGTTAGTCATCATGCTTGAAGGGCAAGTTCCCCATTCCAAATTCTTCTGTGTTAAGATTGCTTTGTCTATCCACGGGCCTTTATCCTCCCTTATAATGTTTAGAGTAAGTTTGTCAAGTTTATGAGAACTGTGTTGGGTTGATGAATAAATGCAAGGAAAACTGGCAACTGTGCAGTGACATCTCATTCATGACCTGACACTGTATATCTGGTGGACAAAAAGAGGGAAATGTGGCTGAGTCATAATGTGCATGGAGGTTGCTGGAGAGGTGGCAGATGAACTGGAGAGGCAGGCTGAACCACACTGTAAGCCAAGCTAATAGAAATGAGCTTGAAATGGGACAGGCAACCCAGCTCAGGCTGCTTTGTGTGTTCACAGGAAACCTGATTACACATTGGGACCATCGGTTTGTAGGATTGCCATGATCCAGAGAAACTCCATAACATTTCTGAAAGTATATAACAAAAATAAAGACCTAGAGGGCCCTGGTCACCCATACGTTGCACTGATGTCAAGTGCAGGGCTGTGTGTCTTCCCATGTCCAAGGGATCTCCTAAAAGAGCTTTCATAAGTAGGTGCCCTGCATAGGTGACAGCAGTTCAATCCAGTAAACAATTTTTTAAGGAACGTACTGCATGGTAGGCACAAGGCTGCCCACAGGAAGCACCAAGGTGACTATGGCAGAGTCACTGCCCTTTGCATTCACAATCTGTATTAGGGGAAAGACAGAAGGGAACATCTACAGTTAATTCTAATGCAATAAGATGGTATCATTTAGTATATGCCATTTTAACAGAAAGCACAATGGGAGCTCAGAGAATCTAGATACTGGTATCTGAGACCTTACTTATAGGAGGACAAAAAGACCCAAATATGACTGAGCAATCAAAGAACCACAAGGAGGTAGAAAGGCGCGTGACATGTTCAGCTCATAGGAAAGAGATGCAGGGGGCATCAACACAGATGGATGAATGGATGAAAGGATGGGTGGTCGGACATATCAATTTATGCTGATGAAACAAAATGTTTGATTTCCAATTTTCTGGATTACAGAAGACTAGTCACCACCCTGCTCCCCTGTGTTGTTGTAATAACAAGAATCACTAGGTGGCATTATAGTATCAAAGTCCTCACCTTTCAGAGCCTCTAGGAGAAACACACCCAACAAGATCGCGTCAGCCCCTAATTTAGACAAATGAGTGCTTCTATTCATCTCATTTCTCATTATATCCACTTAATTTATTTCTTGAGCACCTACTATATGTCCAGCCCTATGTTGCATACTGTGGAGAGAGAATACAAAAGGAGTTGAAGACACGATCTTCTCCCTTGAGGAGCATCAGGAGAAGCAAATTGTGCACGCCAACACTCC
Organism: Homo sapiens; assembly: GCF_000001405.40. Taxonomy (NCBI): domain Eukaryota; kingdom Metazoa; phylum Chordata; class Mammalia; order Primates; family Hominidae; genus Homo; species Homo sapiens. The sequence goes on along the minus strand of NC_000010.11, from coordinate 104,350,095 downwards.
CCTTAAAAGATTTTCTGACAACAGTCCGAGACAGGATATAGTAAGCACTGAAATGAGGATGTCAGTAAATAAGGTCCTGTGTAATCTGGCCCTTTCGACTTTCTGGTGCCAGCTCCCATCACTCACTCCTTGTTACACTGGTTCTTTCAATTCCCTGGGTAGCCATGCTCTTTCCCACTGCCTGGAATTCACAAATGCTGATCTTCCTGTCTGGAATACTTGACTCTCTCTCTTTCTCTCTTCAGCTGGCTGGCTCCCATCCAATCTTCTTTCAGATCTCACTTCTTCACATTACTTTCAGTCTCACTTCCCCAGACTACCTTTTCCAGCATTGTGTATTCTACTTCTTGCATCATCCCACAGTGGTAACTAATGGCCTAGTCATGTAAATAGTTGCTTAATACCTGTGTTCCCTACCACACCGTCAAACTACAGGAGCTCTAAGATGATGCACGTCTTCTTCACCCCTGTCTCCACTGGTGTTAGGGGCTGAATTGTGTCCCTCCAAAATTCATAAGTTAATGTCCAGATGCCCCCTACTTCAGAATGTGATGGTATTTGGAGATAGAGCCTTTAAAGAGGTGATTAAGTTAAAATAAGGCCGATCAGACTGGTATCCTTACAAGAAGAGGAAAATTGGTCACACAAAGAGACACGAGGTATGTGATGTGTGCACAGAGAGGAATGACAGTGAAAAGGAGACTATCTGCACAACAAAGAGAGGGGCTTCAGAAGAATTCAAACCTGCTGACACTTTGATCTTGGACTTCTAACCTCCATAACTGTGAGGAAATCAATTTTTTTGTTTGTTTTGTTTTGTTTTGTTTTGTTTTGGTGTGGAGGCGTTTGAGACGGAATCTCACTCTGTTGCCCAGGCTGGAGTGCAGTGGCACAATCTCGGCTCACTGCAACCTCCGCCTCCCAGGTTCAAGCGATTCTCCTGCCTCAGCCTCCAGAGTAGCTGGGACTACAGGTGCACACCACCACACCCAGCTAATTTTTTATATTTTTGTTAGAGACAGAGTTTCAACGTGTTAGCCAGGCTGGTCTCAAACTCCTGACCTCAAGTGATCCTTCTGCCGTGGCCTCCCAAAATGCTGGGATTACAGGTGTGAGCCACCACACCTGGCCTCAATTTTTGTTTTCTAAGCCACCCAGTCTGTGGTATTTTGTTATAACAGCCCTAGCGAACTAACATAACCAGCCAGCACTCTGCTGTATAAGTAACTGTTCAGTGAATCACTACTGAATGAGTTCTAAAGTAAGGAAGCCCAGTGAACCATGACATCTTAAAGAAAGGTACATGGTAGACATGGCTCTTGAACTTGACCTTAAATGATATGTATGAGTTAGAGACACGGAAGGAAGTTAAAAGAATCTCAAGTATGGGGAACAGCACTGGGCAGAAACCAAGGCAAGAATCCAAAAATCCTGCTTTAGGCAGGGTGAGGTCCCTATCAGGTACTTGTGGACACTAAAGTTGACAAGAGGGCATGGGTGAATAGCAGAGAGCCTTGGAAGGATAGAAGAGAAGTGCCTCCAAACTCAAGGACTAGGGACAGTCAAGAACACACCCATTTTTTCTGCCAGATATCTCAAATACATGATCATGAGATATACTACCTCTGCAAAGCTCCTTATTTAAACCTGGATAGAATCGCCTCTTAGAACTTCTCAGGTGCGTGCTGTAACACAGTAATAAGAACAGTATTTATACCCAGTGTTCACCTCTTCAATAGTACCCAGTGAAGATATGAAGTAAACCTCCAAAAAAGCAGAAACACTGACTTGCAGGCCTACATGTAAATTCCTAGCCTGTAATGCAAAGCAATTGTGCCCTGACAGAAATCGACCTCTGTCATAGATCAGAGAGGTCCCAGAGGCTATTTTGGGGGTGTCTGTATCATCCACAATCTCCTCTGAGATTATTAACTCCCACCCAGAATTACGTCCCTCTCTGAAGCCATGATGCTCTAGGCCACCCTACATACCTCCCCAGGGCCACAGCTGATGGGTCAAGGTGGAGACCTGACCCACATGAAGCCAGTTCTATTATTTTCCCTTGGAATTTATAACAGGGACCAAGAGCAAGTCAATCATTGCTCAGGTCTGGAACTGAGCATGTGAAGCCCAGGAGAGGCAGAGAAAGGCAGGCTGTATGGAGGGAAGAATAAAGCAAATAAATGAGGGGAATCCACAGACCAAAAACAGGAAGCGAAAGATGGGAGAGGGAGCTTCTTCCTTGGTGGCCGATGCCCTGTGGGAACCTGGTGGCAGGTCCCTTGAGAGACCCAGCAACACCTGCTCTCTTGGATTCTGCTAGATACTTTGTATCCTCCTAACAAAATAACCTTATTTGTTTAAGCTAGATGAAGTGAGTTTTCTTTGTATATATCAGAAATAAAAAAAAAATTTTAAAGCCTGCATCAACACAGATCCTGTTTGCACAGGCATTCTTGTGGCATTGCTGGATTTAGTGTCTATGGAATCTAAAAACTACATTTGGGGCCCTTAACGACATGGTAAAAACTGCTCCTGTCATCATATCTAATATTTTTCCTCCAGACTGTTGGGAAGATGAAAAGCCCACGTGTTACAGAAAATTGTTATCATTTATCAGCCAACCATATGGTCACCTTAGATGACAGAGCAGAGTCCCCACTGGCTAGTGTTCTCCAAAACTGTTGGGGGCATATTTTATTCCTTTAATCTTCTCCTTTTCCAGACTACTGCAGCACTAACTTAACAGAACATTTGTTGAGCATTTGACATCAGCTCCCAAAGGGTCTCCAGACAAACTCCCCTCGTGACACCTGAGGAGGCACCGAAGCTCAGGCAGATTTATTAGGAAGACTGAAAGGTCAGGCACCAGGTAGAAGCACTGAGGGAGCAGCCACAGCGGGTAAGCATTTTTACCAGGAGAAGGAGACAGCAGTGTCATAACTACCCAGTCGTCTTACCTGCCTTGAATTTTATTGGCTTAAAAGCAGCTGCTCTCTTCTCCCACACAGATTACTTTTGGGTATGACTGGTTAGGCTAGATCATTCAGTTGGTGCTTCTTGCCCAAGACACCAAGGTTGCAGTTTGATGTCCTACTCAGGACTGGTAAGGACGTGCACAAGTCAATCGGTGGACCAGATTGGTTAAAAAGCTTAAGTGGGTCAAGCGCGATGGCTCACTCCTGTAATACCAGCACTTTGGGAGGCTGAGGCAGGGAGATCACTTGAGGTCAGGAGTTTGAGACCAGCGTGGCCAACATGGTGAAATCCTGTCTCTACTACAAATACAAAAATTAGCCAGATGTGGTGGTGGGCCCCTGTAATCCCAGCTACTTGGGAGGCTGAGGCAGGAGAATCACTTGAACCCAGGAGGCGGAGGTTGCAGTGAGCCAAGATCGCACCACTGCACTCCAGCCTGGGCGACAGAGTGAGACTTGGTCTCAAAAAAAAAAAAAAAAAAAAGACTAAATGGCTCCATACAACCTATTCCCACTAATAATAAATAAATAAATGAGTGGGTAAATAAGTAGCCTGAACAATATAACAAGACCTGGTATCTAAACAAAAAAAAATTTTTTTAATGAGCTGGGCGTGGTGTTGCACACCTGTAGTCCTAGTTACTCAGGAGGCTGAGGAGGGAGGATCACTGGAGCCCAGGAGTTTGAGGTTACAGTGAGCTATGATTATGTCACTGCACTCCAGCCTAGGTGACAGAGCAAGACCCTGTCTCAAAAACAAACAAACAAAAGTAAATAAGTGAATGATATGGTGTGGATGCTTTGACCCCTCCAAATCTCATGTTGATACATGACTTCCAATGTTTCTACCTCAGGTGTTCGGGTCATGGGGGGTAGATCCCTCATGAATGGCTTGGTGCAGAGGTAATGAGTGAGTTCTCACTCTAACAGTTCACATGAGATCCGTTTGTTTAAAGGAGTCAGGCACATCCTTTCTCTCACTCTTGCTTCCTCTCTTGCCACGTGACACACCAGCTCACACTTCGCCTTCCACCATGGCTATAAGCTTCCTGAGGCCCTCACCAGAAGCAGTTGCTAGAACCATGTTTCCTGCACAGCCTGCAGAACCATGAGCCAAAACAAACCTCTCTCTTTTATAAATTACCCAGTCTCAGATATTCCTTTATAGCAATACAAGCAGATGAACACAGTGAATATATTTTAAAAATTTTAAAAACCAAAGCACAAAATACCTTTGATGATGGGCCAATGCTTTTATATCTACTATCCCCTGAAAGTCTCTATTTTCAAACACCTCTAGACTTTACAAATGCTGATCCCTTTTCTGGAAAATCCAATGACTCCTTATTTGTCCAGTTAGCTCTTTCAAGTGGCAGCTCAGTGTTGCCTCATCCAAAAAATCTTACCCAGTTAATTACCTCTCCTCTGTGCTGCTGGAAAGACTGAGCATCTTCTGTCAATTCACTGCATTATCATTGTGTGTTCACTTCTATGTCTCCCCACCAGACTGGGAGGACCAGTCTTTTCTTTAATACATCTATGGTGCTGCCCCATAGGAGACACTAGAAGTAAAAAGTTTGATGAATGAATGCAAGATACAATTAACTTATAAACTCACACACACAGCAATTACTCTTGGGAGTGATTAGTGACTAAAGGAAGGTGAAAGGTATCAGTACACGAACATTTAAGATTCTACAGTGGTTAAAATTACTTCCAAGTACACACCAAGATCCCAAACAGAAGTACAGGTAGTAAGGATTACAATAAAATGCACTTATCTCATTTTTTTCTTATCCTCAATGTAAATACCAAAGAACTATGTCTTTTTTTTCTTACCCACAAGGTGGGACACACAATCAGTACTCAAAAAAAGTTGACTACTGAACTCTCATAGGCAACAAGGATAGGCATCTATAAAATGAAATCTGCTATATTAAAGGAATAAGCTTTTTGTTTTTGTTTTTTTTTGAGACAGAGTCTCACTCTGTCGCCCAGGCTGGAGTGCAATGGCACAATCTCGGATCACTGTAACCTCCTCCTTGAGGGTTCAAGGCATTCTCCTGCCTCAGCCTCCCGAGTAGCTGGGCTATAGGCATGTGCCACCATGCCCGGCTAATTTTTGTATTTTTAGTAGAGACAGGGTTTGACTGTGTTAACCAGGTTGGTCTTAAACTCCTGACCTCAGGTGATCCACCCACCTTGGCCTCCCAAAGTGCTGGGATTACAGGCGTGAGCCACCATGCCTCTTTTCTGCCTGTTAGGTATGTTGCTTTCTTGCCAATACCTGCTGCAAGACCTACTGGATGATTTTAGTAGAAGCAAATGCCTGCTGAGCATTTACTGGGAACAGGTGCTTTTTGAGGCAATGCAAGGGAGGCAAAAAGCCTCAAACCTTTTTAAATTAAGCAGGACAATTTAAACCTCTAGGACAGCAGAGACCAGTCTAAGATACCATTGCATTTTAGAATCTAGCACCAAGGTTTGCAAACTTTTTCTATAAAAGACCACATTAAGAAATATTTTCTGGTAGAAAAAAAATAGAAGTATCCTGAGGACAGGTAGGAAAAAAAGAAATATTTTGGGCTTCACGGGCCACATGGTCTCTGTGGCAGCTACTCAACTGTGCTGTTAGAGCCCCAGAGCAGCCATAGACCACACATAAATGAATGGCCATGGCTGAGCCAATATAATTGTATTTATAGAAGCAGGTGGCACTCTGGATTGGGCCTGACAGCCATAGTTTGCCAACTCCTGATTTAGACAATGCCTGGCATAGATTAGGTGCTGAAATATTTGTTGAATGAATGGATGGATGAATGAATAAGTGAATTAAGGTATTCCTAAGGTTACAGCATAATGATCTGTGTCAAAGGCAAGGGTACCATCTTTAGACATTAACTACAAGGAGAGCAATGAATATCTACTGACCAGAAATAAGTTGGATGGCAATCATCTGACTGTTCTTTCCCAAGCCAAGTGGCATATGTAGATGGAAAATTAACATACATAAACCAATAACAGTTTTCAAAACAGAGATGTGAGTTAGAAGAGTAGTTTAAAGAAATATTTTCTAGCCAAGCATAGTGACCCACTCCTGTAATCCCAGCACTTTGGGAGGCCGAGGAAGGAGGATCACTTGAGCCCAGGAGTCTGAGACCAGCCTGGGCAACATACTGAGACCCTATCTCTGCAAAAAATAGGAAAATTAGCCAGGTATGGTGGCACACACTTGTAGTCCCAGCTACTCAGAGGGCTGAGGCAGGAGAATTGATTGACCCTGGGAGGTTGAGGCTGCAGTGAAGCCGACCGTCACTCCCGCCTGAGCAACAAAGTGAGACTCTAGCTCAAATTAAATAAATAAATAAGCATTTTCTTCAAACTTTGGATCTTGACTCATTTAATAAGTTGTGGCCTGCATTTTTTTCAAAAGAGGTTAACATAGGAAGAGTAAAAAGAAAAGGGAACATAACAGTTTGTATCACATTCAGTAAACATAACAATTGTTTTTAAGGAAACTGTCTTTCAATTATAATGCACTTGTATGTGTGAGTATACTGGGTTGTGAAATAAAATGTATTTTCAAAAATCTTTGAAAAACGTAGGTTCTGTAGAATCTAATGATTCCTACCACGTGAGTTGATATGAGGATTAAATGAGTTGGTAGGTATAAAATGCTTGAGTAATACCTAGCAGATGGCACAAGTTTTAGCTATTATTATTCAGTCACTAACCAGCAATGTGACCTTGAGTATGTGACCTAACTTCTCTGGACTTAATTTTTGTCAGTAAATAATCTCTAAAGGCCCTGTGGGCTCCGACATTCCCAGAGGAGGGACGTGACCAGCACTGACCTTGAGGAATGAAATAGCCAAATGCAAATCATTCGTCTTGTTCAACTGACACCTCTGAGGTCTCAGCAAAGCAGCCTGTTCTGTGAAACATCCTCTAAACTAACTTGCTATTATCTTGTGAAATTCCATGTGAAGTTGAAATCAGGGTAGTGGGAAATTGACCAAATCAAGGGAAGTGCCCTTTTTTCCCCTCCATCAGATGCTTAATGACTAGTATAGGCTTCCTGTCTCTCCCATTGTCATGCATTTTATTCCATATACTGGAATAACCACAGATGGGGTGAACAGGAAATCTGTCCCTGTGTATTTAATCTTTAAAAAATTTCCAGTGCTCCTAACCGTGAGATGTGGTGTGAAGCTCCCCTGCAGTTGGTTCAGACTTTGTCACAAGTCACTTTTTTTTTTTTTTTTTTTTTTTTGATACAGGGTCTCACTCCCTCACCCAGGCTGGAATGCAGTGGCACGATCTCGGGTCGCTGCAACCTCCACCTCCCAGGTTCAAGTGATTCTCGTGCCTCAGCCTCCAGAGTAGCTGGAATTACAGGCACGCACCACCACACCTGGCTAATTTTTGTATTTTTTTTTTTTTTTTTTTTTGTATAGACGGGGCTTCGCCATATTGGCCAGGTTGGTCTAAAACTGAACTCATGTGATCTGCCCACCTTGGCCTCCCAAAGTGCTGGGATTACGGACAGGAGCCACAGCACCCAGCTGACAAGTCACCTTTCACTATGGAATGTGAAGCCTCATCTAGCACTTAAATGATCATGAAGAACATTCCATCTACTTTCACACACACATGTATACACATAAACAAGCCAATAGAAAACTGGGGGATGTTGTAACAGAGTCTTCACACATAAACACATAAAGGTGGCCAATAACAATGTTCTGTTCAGCCTCACTCATAATTTAAAAACTGCAAATCAAAACATTGAGATTAGGGGTTTTTTTCACCTATAAAAGAAGCAAACTAAATTAAAGTTATAATAGAAAATAGCCAATGTTGGCAACAATGTAGAGAAAAAGGCAATCATCATACTATGGGAAATAGTTCAAATTGGTGAGATCTCTTTGGAGGGCAATTTTGTAATATATACCAAAATAGTAAATGCACATATCCTTTGATCAGCCCTGAAACTATCAAGGCACTGACCCAAAATAGCCACCTATATACAAGCTTCTGATGTGAGAAAAACAAATCCTTATTTGTTTAAGCCTTTTATAGTCTTAGACACTATAAAAATTACAGTCTGGTATTCCGTTACTTGCAGCCAAACATATTCCTAATTTATAATTTTTAAAAAGAATAGGGGTGAAGGAGGACATTCATATCTTGCACTGACTTTAGAAGATTTCTAGTATTTCCCCATTAAGCATAACACTGGTTTGGGGGCTGAACTTTACCCTTTGTTTTTACCATGTTACAGAGGGTTTGTTTATATGTCGATGCCAAATTTTATCTGATGGCTTTTCAGCATATATGGTGATGATCTTTCCATTTTTCTCTTTTGATCTATTAATGATGTAATATTCTTTGGTGTGCTGCTGGAATTCTATTTGTTAATATATTATTTTAAATTTCTGAAATAATTTATATATTTATAAACAATAATATATTACTTTTCTTTCCCCTTTTCAATGAGCTATTTTTATTAGATTTTTGACTGATATATTACCAACTGCCTAAATAAAAAAGAATTTCAATCATTGAGGTTTTTTATATGTAAATGACTAAACTTTTTATTTCTACATATTATAGCTGTACTTTTTCAAATTTACCTGTTCTTTTTTCATAGTCCTATGTCCTATCATTTTATCTCTGTATTTTGACCATAACTATTTGATACTCTTTTTCAAATTGTTCTATTGTCTCAGATACTTAAGGGGCTAATTTTCCTGTTTATTACATTTACCAGTTCACACCCTCATGTGGTTCATTTCCTAGTCTGGTTTTTAATTTTTTATTATAAGCTTAATGATTATTAATAATTCTTAATTTTAAGAAATTAAAATAATATAAAGAATATTTTAATTTCTTATCATGAAACATTTTAATTTCTTATTGTAACTTCAATGGGAGTTGTTTATTCTGCTAGGGACCAGGATAAACAACCGAATTTTACGTTTGCTTCTGACAGGGCCAAGGGGATTCACCACTTTGAAACAGGTTTTTTGTGTTTTTTCTTGACATTAGGATTCCCTCAGCACGTGGGTAGTATAAATTGGGAGCTCACACCTATGCATAGTATAGGCAGGCTAGGGGTTTTCATTTCTATAGAAGACATTTTAAAATTCATCCAGGGCCGGGATAAACCACAAGTTTCCTTCCCGCGACCCTGAGCCAATGGGGAGAGGGCTTTTTTCTATCCTCCTCTTACTAAAGGGCAGCCTTTCCAGGGTTCCAGCCTTAGGCAGAGATCTCAAGTCCAGATCCCTGTCTTTATAGAACTCAAGGCCTGAATAGATACTAACCCCAATCCCTGAGTGGGTACTCACCCCTGGTCCTTAGTCATTTGGGCTTATATTCATGTCATGCTTTTGAGTTCCCTTGACCTATCTCACACCTGGAGACCCCCTTTCTTCCCTTCCGTTGTTGATATATTTTATTCAGCCTTTCACTGTTCGAAGCAGGAGTTCCCTGACTTCTTGACTCCTCAAGTTCCCATAACTTGAATCTTTGTACTTTCCTATCTTTTAAAAAACATTTCTCGAGTTAGCACAGTGTTCTGTAGAAACGACAGGAGGGGTGTCCAATCCAGACATGAGGGTTCCAGGAAGACTTCCTGAAGGAGTAACTGCCTGTTCTGAGACAGGAAGACTGAGCATACAATTAGTCGGGCAAAATAACATGCATGTGCACTGGGGTGACAGTTTGGAGGAGGAGGTGGGGTGGCTGTGGCAGGCAGAAAGTAGAGTACATATGAATATCCAAGGGGAGAGAAAAAGCATATCATGCAAACAGCATATCAAAGAGCATATCACGTTCTGGGAAGCACAGGTTCCAAGAACTGCAAGGAGTTTTGTGTGGGACACAGAGTGAGATATGAGGCTGGTGAGATAAGCAGAGGCCAGTTCATGAACGACTTACAAGCCAGGTAGAAGGGTGGACCTTAGAACAGACAGGAACCAATCAGAACACAGAAGGTGAAATCATCAGGTTAAAAGCAAAACAAATATAATAAATATTCCTTATATAAATATACATGGCTGGTTAGAAATTGCTGAAACAACTTTGCAGACGGGATGACAATCCCAGAGGGCATTCAAGCACTAACCTTGGCATTCCAGCACAACGCTGAACTCTTAGCCCAAGGATGACAAAGCTCAGCCCAGCGCTCTTACTTCACAGAAATTTCCCCCACCTGCTTTGCGGAGGGTGTGAGTAACCCACCGGACCAACTTCTAGACATTTTGGAAATACAGCTCTTTCAAGACCGTTTCCCCAGATCGCCCCCACCACCTCCAACACACATACTGGCCCCCAAAATTCTGCCATAACCTCTTACGTAAGGAAAGAATTTGAGCAGCAGTAGAAACTTGAAAACAAAAGTACCCTGGGCCAAGGGCCAGGGAGTCTATTTTTAGAACATTTTCTCATTGCCTGTTTATCTTTCAGACTCAGCCAAAAAGTCTTCCAGGCGAGTGTTAAAGGAAAAGACGAAAAAAAGGTGATCTAAGACCAAATAGCAGTAGCAATGGTGATCATTTTGGACACTGTGTTCCAATTTCCCCAATGTGCCTTCACTGGCATTTGGTGCCCCCAAAGCCGCTTAATGGAGAATTCATTCAAACCCTGCTCTGCCTTTTGTACTGATGGTAGGATTTGGGCAGGTCAAAGGGAAGACAATAGAAGTTATGGATTTCATAAACTATTAAGCTCGACCAGAACGCTGCTGCTGCTCCTCCAGGCCTCAGTTCTCTCGTTTCTAACATAGGGGTAGTAACACTTGATCTACCGTCACAACAGTAACCAGAAACTACCGCGCCTGTCCCGTACAGTATCCGGTCACTGTTCTCCTTTGTGCCCGGTTAATCCCGGAGAAAAGCAACCATGCATTTGATTATCATAAAAGTCGGGCGCGGTGGCTCACGCCTGTAATCCCAGGCGCTTCGGAAGGCCGAGAAGGGAGTTCGAGACCAGCCTGACCAACATGGAGAAACACCTTCTCTACTAAAAATACAAAATTAGCCGGGCGTGGTGGCACATGCCTGTAATCCCAGCTACTCGGGAGGCTGAGGCAGGAGAATCGCTCGAACCCGGGAGGCGGAGGTTGCGGTGAGCCGAGATAGCGCCACCATTGCACTCCAGCCTGGGCAACAAGAGCGAAACTCCTTCTCAAAAAAAAAAAAAAACGGTAGTAAGCTATTTTAATCCTTTCAAGCTGCAAAAGAGAAAAAGGCTGGCGTTTTGTCTAGAGTTATATTTTCCTCCAAGAGACTAAATAGGTGGCCCCAGGAATTCCGCCACTTGTAAAACGCGCCGCAGAAAACTCTCCCCGACTGGTAAGGACTTAACCCCTTCCGCTCCGCGGCTTAGGACGACTTTTAAGGGCGTCCTCCCCGCGCCCCTGTCCACTCGCTCCAGTTTACTCCACTGGCCTGATTCCGTCTCTCCCAGTCACTCTCCAGTTCTGCCGTGCCGGGGAAGTTTCTGGGGGCTCACTGGGAAGGTCTTCCCGGCGGATCCTGGGCCCAACCACCGAAACCCACACGGTCCTCCTTAAGGAGCTTCCGGGGCCGCGGGTAGAGGCGGGTGTTTTGTTCTTATAAGGAGGAAAAAGTTTTTGTGACATCCAGGAAATGAGTAACTCTGAAGTTCAGTAGAGCCGGCCGCTGCAGGCCAGAAGGTGGGAGCCAGCGGGGGCATCGCCGCCCGCGCCCCTCTAAGTGCCGGGCCGCAAGCTCCACCGCAGCCGCCTGCAAGCAGCGGCGCCTCGGCCCTCGACCTGCGCGCAAAGCCTGTGCTGGAGCCGTCCTCCCGCGGCGGGGACCGGGACCGGGGACCCAAGCCAATCGTAAGTCCCAGGGCAGCCTAGTGTGCTGAAGGAAGAAGGGCGCGATGGAGAGCGCGAGCTCGGAGGAGCTGTGTCGGAGATGGCTGCCGACAGAGGGGGCGCAGGAGGGTGTGGGGAGCGCGGGCGCCTGCTCCTCCCGGGTGGGGGCTGACTTTGGAGACCCCCTTCCCTTAAAGCGCGCGTGCCCAGGCGGGCGTATTGTCTCCTCGCGGTCCCGCATCCTGTTCCCGCCGCGTCGGGGGATGCGTCCCGGGCGCTCGCTCCAGCCAGGGCTGCGGGCAGCTCCTCCTCGAGGCGCGCGCAGCCTCGGAGCCCAGAGCGGGACCACATTTTTGTTCCTAGTGGCCAGGTGACCCGTTACTTCTCACATCTGAGCAGAGCGCTACCGAAGAAAGAAAAGCCGGTTCGCCCTGCTCATTTGCTGCCCCCTTTTCCCCTTCCCCTTCCCTCCCTTCCTGTAAGGGAGGAATAGGCGTGAAGTTTTTTTTTCTCGGTTCATGGTAGTGAAGTTATGGGGCTGCTTCAGGCCGGATAAAATCCCCGCCGCTTCCTCTTTCGGGACTATTAGTGGGCCAGACCTCACGCTGTGCAGACTTGCTCTTGGGCTGCAAATAACTCTCTGCCCCTTCACCCCTAACCCCACCCTCAACCCCATCCCTGTGACTTTGCCATTCTGGCCGCCTGGTGAAGACTCCCGGGGCGGGACTCCCCATCCAAAACGCTTTCTCTTAAAAAAAGAAAAAGAAAAAGAAAAAAAAAGCCACCGACCAGGAAGGTAAAATATTTTACGGAACCAGGCAGGGGCCTCATTTTGCCTTTTGCCCCTCTGCTGGTATGAGAAAAGCACCCTTTCACAACTAGTAGAGTACCAGATACTGGTCTCATTTCACAAACAGTAGAGTACCAGATATTGGTCGCAATCTGGACTCTGGTCTTTTGGATCTAAATCGGGGTCGCGGTCTATTTTCTTGTTCTTTTTTTGGATATGACCCAGTGCTCTTGCCTTTTACAAACCGAGTCTATCTGACTGCCAGCTAAAGTTCATCTGTGGTTGGTGCAGTTTTAGGCCCAGGTGAGCCCTGAAAATAGAGTATCAGAAAAGTGGATTACTGTCTTTCCTCCTTACGAAAACAGAATAGGCTGTGTTTTTGAGTCCTCCCTCCAGCCCTCGTGCCTAAGTGGCTTTCATTGTTTGCTAATTCCCTGTATGTTGCGGCTGCTCTGGGCCATTCTGCCTTCGGATTTTCTCCACTTGTGGGTAACCATGAAGTAGTTATACTGACTCTCTGCTCTCCCTGGGTGCATTCTTCTCATGCTCAGTAAATCTACATTTTACGTAAGATAAAGTAAGCATGTGAAATTATAGCTATCTGTTTGGCAACAAAAGGAATGCAGTTTTGTTTTCGGTTTTGTTTTTTGCATGACTGAGTTCCCAAGCTTAACTTTTCCCTTTGGCATCCTGAGCTTGGGGTCCTAAGGTTGTATTTTCCTTTCACAGCTATCAGCAGAGACAGGTAGCCATCAACAGTTAGGAAAGAGTCTGGGCTGGGTGGCTGCCTGTCTTCCCAGAGCTTTGGGAGGCTGAGGTGGGAGGATTGCTTGAACCCAGGAGTTCCAGGCTTAGAGCTGGGATCACTTGGTTGGGATCACTTGGTTGGAGCTAGGATCGTGCCACTGCACTCCATCCGGGTGACAGAGTTCAGACCCTGTCTTTAACCTACCCCCCAATGCCCCGCTGCCCCCCCCCCCCCAAAAAAAAATAACTGGGCAGGAGAAGGTGCTTTCAGAGTCCAAGACTCAGGTTCCATGTTTCGAGTTGAGAGTCTGCCCCAGTAGGGTTGAGGTGGCACGGCAGCCTGTGGGGCTTTAATGGAGAATCTGCTTGGAAGGGGTGGGTGCTCCAAGTGTTCTGGGAGCTGAGAAGCAGGACTTTATTATGGATGACACCAGGCCATCCTGGACCCTTCTCTCATCCAGTCTTGCTGGGGAGGGGTACAGAGCCAGGAGGATGCTGAGAACTGTTCATGATAACCTCCAGGGCTGCTGCTAGCCTATTCAGTCCTTCGCATGAATTAGAATAAGGTGCTCTGTCTTGGCAAGAGGATGGGGCTTGATGCCTCTTAGAAATACTGGCCTTACTTGAGTGGACATAGCCAAGCCATATAGCTGGATAAGTGGCATGTGAGCTGGATTTATCCTCACCCCTCAGCCAGGTGCCTTAAGCAGTACACTGCCTGGTCCACCATTCACACAGCAGCCCTGATAAACAACCACTATTGAGGGCTTAACATTCGCCAGGCTTTTTTTTTTTTTCCCCAAAAGTACTTAGCCTGTATTAACTCATTTAATCCTCACAGTAGCCGTATGAGTTAGGTATTGTTAACTCCATTTTACAGATGAGGAAACTGAGGCACAGGGATGTTAAGTGTTCCAGAGCCTGGAAGGTGAGTCTTAATCACTGGGCATTCATAGACCAAGAAGCAACTTAAGCTTAAAAAGCTAGTTTAATTGGGAACCCTCGTGGGAAAGGGGGAAGAACAGTTGCCTTTTTCTTTCTCTGTCAAAGGAGGAAATACCCATTCTCAGTCCAGGTGGAGGAAGGAGGGGAAATTCATCTGGCAGGAGGCAGAGGAGGAAAGAAAAGAGGCAAGCCGGGCCTTGATGGCTGATGGGGAGCCTGGCCCAAGAATCAAGTGACTTTCCTTAATCTCTGGGCGGTGTGAGGTGGCAGATCCAGTTTGGGGCCTGGCATGAGGGTGATGAGTAAGTGCCCCCAGGTGTGGCTCAGAGGGAAACGGCGGTGGCTGCACGCAGGGTCCTGACCTAGGCAGAGAGCGAGTGGAAGGAGGTGAGACAACTGTCCTGACCTTCCAAACCCCTAATCCCCATCTGTGGTCTCTTGCTTCCTTGTTGAAGTCCCATTCACCCACAAATGCCCTTCTCAAGTTCGTCCAAGAACCCTTCCTGAAACTCCATTTCACAGTTCCATATACATGATCTCTTAGTTTCCACACCGTACAGCTGAGCGCTTAATTAGCTGGAACCGAGCATTTCACTATGTACTGTCGATAGGCACTTTAAACAAAATAGGCTTCTCATCAGTGAGGAAGTCAAGATGCCTCCTGGGAGGGGCCAGCTGGTGCCCAGCAGATTGCTCAGAGGGTGGTGTTTACCTGGATCACGTCACCTGTCCCAGGGCATGGCTCTTAGCTGTGCCCGCTCAGAAACCCAATTTCCATAATTTTCAGAGTGGTTTGGACTCAAGCTACTGATTCACCCTGAGAAAGCTCCCAGAAGAGGGTGTACGAATCAGAATGCTGGTTTATTAATTTGCAAGGAGACTTCGCAAACATCACACAGACTGAATGTCGTCTCTTCCCTGCGTCCTAGACAAGCCATATGGGAAACCAAAGACCAGAAGGTGGACTGCGCTTATCAAAGCTGGAGTCAGAACCAGGCAGGAGCAGCATGGGGTGAGGGTGGGGGACAGTGATGTCCAATAGTGCAGGGCTTTGTCTACCTCTGCGGCCCTCTCACCAGCAGAAAGATAGCTGCCAGGTAGACTGGATACTCAGGTCAGCCTGGCTATGGGCATCTCCTTGGCCAGTGCCTCAAGGGCAGTATTTCCCTGAGAAATCCTGGTAGCATTTCTCCCTTTCCTCTCTCATAATGTAGTAATTTTTTATTTTATTTACCTATTTGTTTAGTGCTTTGCAAGCATTAGCTCCCAGAGACATAGATTTGCATTTGCGTAAATTCGATAACTACTGTACAATCTCAGAGTTGTAGGGCCAGGCCATGAGAGTAAGTGCTATATGCAAATCAAGAGGATGATCCGGTAACCTGGATGGATCAATAGAAAGCCAAGCATAGAGCAAAGACACGTGGTCCCCAATCAGCATGGAGGCTGGGCCAAGGCTGGCCAGTTGTTGCATCCCCTGCGTAGGCCAGGGGGTGAAGCATTCCTAAAGCAGTGCCTGCTTCGGCTGCCTCAGGCAGCCTGCCCTGCTCAGCTGGCCTCTTTAGATTTAAAGGGCTCTTTCTGGTCTCTGTCCAGGCCCTTCATGGCTCATCTTTAATGAGCCACATCTCCAGGTGCCCAGAGCCAAGGCGGTGTGACTGCACGGGCTTTGAAGTGGGGCAGACTTGAGTTGAGTCCTGGCTCCACCACTCGGTGGTTGGGCGTTCTCAGTAGTTGGGCAGGTGCCTTGATTCTTCAAGTCTCGGTAACATCATCAGTAAAATGGGGATGACCCTCAGGGCTGTGGGGAGGGTTGACCCAGACGATGCACAGAAGGCTCTGAGCACCGTGCCTGGCGCAGACTGGAAACCTGGCCAGTGTGCGCTCTTCAGGACAGCAGAGGTCGGTTGGAGGTCTGCATTCTCTGCCGACTTGGGCCCCAACTTCCCCATCAGGTCACTGCTCCCTCCTCTGAGGTCTGGACAAAGGACAAGGCTGTAGGGACCTAGACTGTCCTAGACGGGGAGGACATCTATCCTCAGTGGTCTTTCCAGCAGTTTGTTTGGAGCTGCTCATCCTGATCTTTTGGCTGACTCTGGCAGAGGGAAAGTCAGATTTGAGGCCTGAGCTCTAACAGGCATCCAGAGAGGAAGGAAGGGTAAGGAGCTCTTCTGGGCGAGGAAAGGGGTCATTTGGGAGTGCCCCAGAGGCCTGTAGACCCCTCCTCAACAGTTTAGGACCTGTGACGTTTCCCCACAGAGAGCACATCCCCCCTCTATCTGTTAGGCCCACCCCGTGACATCAGTGAAACGGAAGCACCCTGCAGGTGACATCACTGTTGCTCAGGGCAACGCCTCCACCCTAAGGCGGACGGGGAGGTGAAAAATCGGCCTCAAGTGTGAGACGCATGTTGAAGGGAAGGGACATAGAAGGTGTAACGTTCACAGGTGTGTTTCTCAGAGGCTGGGGAGAGGATGGGCCCAGTTAGCGGCAGGGTGAATAGAAGAGGGAGGTGCTGCAGTCTCAGATCTGGGCTGTGTCAGTTGGTGGTGGGTCTTTAGGCCTTGGGTCAGAGAGCGCAGTGCTGACAGCTGCAGTCTCCTTCAGTTCTCTGAACGGGACTCCTTAGGGGTCCTCCTGCAGCCTGGATCTGTAAGGAGGGTTAGGGGAAGGGCAGGCTGGAGCAGTGATGGGGCCATCAGAAAAGTGACTTTCCATTCTTCAGCCTCCCCACAAAAGAGAGTGAGAAATAGGATGCTCACATCCTTATTACGGGGGCTTCATTGATCGAGCAGCCATTGTGTATCTGTTATGCATGGCCTGTGCCAGGGATTCAGCGGCCTCGTGGAGCGTTATGATGAAATGCACATGGAGAGGAAGAGTGTATGGAATCCACTGCCCCAAGAGGCAGGACCAACTGGAGATAGGAATCCCGTCTCACAGTTCACCTCACTCAACTTAGCATTCCCTGTGGAATTCTAGATGGGTTAAACTAAATTCATGGAATGCTTTCAGTTGGGTGTGCTTGAGATACACTTGCTAATTTGGGAGTGGAGTCAGAGGGGGCAGCCATGGATGTCCATCTTGTCCCTGGGATGGCACTGTTTACAAGGCTGAGGTCACTCAGCAGTTCTGATGCTCTTAACTTGGTGACCTGTGTTTCCGCCACATCTTATCAGGTGATGCCTGCTGCTTCTCCTAAGCAAGGGCTGCCAAATGTCAGCACAGGAGACGAAAGAGGCAGGAAAGGGAGGACTCCCTGCCCTGAAGAAAGATGAAAAACTAGATGATATAGTAGGTGTCTCTGTAGAGGTTTCAGGAATCGCCTTGTCCTTCCACTTGAAGGCACCTGATTAAAGTTTTTGTTTTGTGCAACTAGGCATAACTTCAGGTGCTTTTCTGATGTCCAGCATTTCGGTGGCTAAAGTCATTGCCCTAATTCTTGTATGCACCTAGCTTTTTCAGGTTTATAAATAAAAATTAGAGTATCATTAATCTGCAGAATCCACCGTTATGGATATGACATTGTTCATATAAGTAGAATGGCCTTATTAAAAAAAAATAGTGGCTTCATTTACTGAGCAAAGCCCCATTCTAGGGGTTTACACATATTTATTTCTCCTCCTCACAATGGCCCTTCAAGGTGGGTGTTATCCTAGTTTTACAGGTGAAAGAACAGACTCAGAGGGACTTGCCCCAAACGGACAACAACAGAGAAGAGATTCGAATTTAGATTTGCTCTCTCCCAGGGCCTTGGACTCTTTCTGCCACCTCAGGCGTCTGTCTGGACACTGTAGCCCAGAACACATACAGATGGCATAAAGAATCCCACAAAGTTTTAAGTGTCAATACTGAGAAAACAGCAAGCAGACCACCAACTCCAGGCCTGAGACTTCTGGTCCCTTCCTGCTGTCTCACTCTGATATTAGCAGACCTAGTGAGCTTTGGAGACTCCTTCTGCCAAGAGATTCTGTGAGTGTGGCCTGAGCTATCTGAGGGTGAAAGGAAGGAAAGGCTTTCCCTTCCAGCACTGTTTGCTTTTCTGTTTAATAGGCACAGTAACAACCAGTTCCTGATAATATTCAGAGCACTTTGCAGTCCTCTGCTGGAAGTCCCTAGGAAAAATACAAAGCCCCGCAATTATCAAATGACTCACTTCCAGGTGCATAACACAGTGGGACACTCACTGCCTGGGAAGAGGGGCTCAGCTTGGAAGCAACCCTGGGCTGCTACTGCTTTCTCTCCCTTCTAGGTCATTTCCCTGAAGCTGATGCAGGAGTCCCCCCAACTCTCGCCCCCTCCTCCTGTATCAAAGCAGCAGGGAAGGTGTTGTCATTATTTTGGCCCTGCCCGCTAGTGCAAAACCATGTGCTCATAACATACTGTTCTCATGGGAGCCGGCTTCAATAGCCTCTTAGCAGCAGCCGGGGGACCCGCCTGAAGTTTACGAACGCGTCCTTTGTTTGCTGAGACTTTGTTCCAAAGTTCCCAAGGAGGCAGGGGTGCAGCATGCCTGGGCTGGAGGGTAGGAGAGCAGGGGCTGCCTGGGTCCTACCCCTGTGTGCTGCCCCAAAATGTCCCTAATGTACCCATGCCGCTTCCTGACATTTCACCCCAACACATGCCTACCTGCCAGTGTCAAGAGAGCCCTCACTCCCTTTTTTGCAGAGAAGGCTTTCCATTCCTTTTATCTCAAATAGCCCAGGCCACACTCACAGAATCTTGGTAGAAGGAGTCTCATAAGTTCATTAGGTTTTACTCCCTGCTTCATGCCCACATTTCATCTAGATTGTCACCTACCCTTCCCTAAACAGTCCGGGTGAGGAAAGTCCATAGGTACATGTCTAATGTTTCACAGATACCAGGTCACTGAGCAGCACAGCTCGTGGCTTCATGGGAAGAGTATAGGCTTGAAAGTCAGATAGGTTTGGATTCAGATCCTGGCTCTATGATGTTGGTGAGTGGCCTCACCTCTGTGCCTCAGTTGCCTTATCTGTAAAATGGAGATAAGTGCCTGCCTCAGAGGTTTGATGTGAGAATGATACATGTAAAGCTTTATTGTGCAATGCTTAAGCCTCAATAAATGGGATGCAGTGGTTGTAATTCATTAAACCCTCCCATGGTGTGTCAGGGCCCTGAGGCTTGTCCAGTTTTTTCCTGAAAGAAGAATTACTTCTCTGCTCCTTCTCTTACTCTGTAATCCTCTGTTTATTTCTACAAGAAGCTTGAGCAAGAAGGGAGGTGTCCACGGCAAGGCAGCTGAGGGTCAGAAAACGTGTCAGGGTTCATTCCTGGGCCATTTTCTAAACGTTGGCAGTGAGTCTGCCTGCAGTTACATGAAGGCCAGTCCAGACCAAACGGGGCTGCAACCGTCTCTGTCTCCAGGGCTACGTCTGGAAGGGATTTTGCTGGAAGGGATTTTCCAAGGCACTTACACTGTTAGCACTTTGTTTTTCTGACTGCAGTGCCCCTCCCAGGAAGAAAGAATGTAGAAGTTACTTTATCCAGAGCTTTCCACTTCACTCCAGGAATTTCAAATTCCTGCTCCTGGGAGTAAAGGCAGTGAGGTTCTTTTCCCAATCCTAACTCCATTCATGTATTCAGCAAGCATTCATTATAGCAACTACCCTCTTCCAAAGCTGGGTACTCAGAACCTAATGGAAGAGCTGTCAGTGTCAATGATGCCAGATTGGAGGGAGTAAGGGAGGGTGCTGCTGACCTTCCTAGGTCTCCAAACTTCCTCCTCTTCCTCTGTGTCAGCCCCTGGGGCCTTTAGAAGAAGACAAGGAGGTGGAGGAGACAACTTAGTCATACTCCCCAGGCTTCTGGAGGAGCTGCAGGGATGTTGTTCACCCACTTCTTCCCAGAGGACTCCTTAACATGCAACCATGACGATTTAACAAATCAAAAAGGAGACATGACCGCAGCACCAGTACCAGTGCCAACAGCAGTATCATTTACCAAGCACTGCCGAGTGACTGTGAGATGGTCCACAAGGCCATAAATTGGACACTATTGCCATAGCAAGTTGTAGAGCCAAGATTCAAACCCAGGCCTTCTGATTCCAGAGTTTGACTCCTTAGCAATGGTTCTCTAAGCCTCTGCAAACTGTTAAGCTCTTCTTAGCTGATGAGCTTTGGGCTGTTTCTTTCTCGGTGACAGTAGGAGTGGAAATGAGCCTGTGTGAACTTGACACTATCAGTGGCTGCTTGCTGCCCACCTCAGTCTGACTGACGCACATATGAGTCATGGGTCCATGCATTCAGCAGGCATTATTTGGACACCTACTGGGTGCCAGCACAGCCTCGGTGGAGCACCCGCATCACACCTTATTGCTCCGTCCCTGTGACTAGAAAATGATGTCATAGTAGGGTTGTTTTGTGCAATCCGTAGAGAGTGTGACTCTGAGTAGTCATAGGTACTTCTGGGAGCAATTTTGCTAACTGTTCCTAGCCTTACCATGTGGGCCCTCTGCTCTCCAGAGAGGAGGAGGACTGGTTTGCTCTGACTAACTGGTGTGGGAGGGCTGGCAGAGGCCCGGCTCTATTGTTCAGCCCAGATCCTTGCAGCAGAGCACAAGCAAAGACGCTCTTAATTTTTTTTACAGCTGGGCTGGCCTCCCCTTTGTCTTTGTGTCTGTTACTGTTCCCCTTTATTGAGATGAAAGGGGTTTTTAGATCTTTGCAGGGAGAGTGTGTGTGTGCGTGCATGTGTGTATGTGTGTGTGTGTGTGTGTGTGTGCATGCGTGCAGGAGGCCCACAGCGCTTCTCTTCCTCTCCCCTCCCCGCTCTCCCCAGCCCAGCTGGGGCCCAGGCTTTGTGTCAGGTACCGCCTAAGCCGCAGGGGGACTCGGGTAGAAGAACAGTCTGGGATTTCTTTCACTGTGTGGGGCCTAGAATCTCAGGAAGCCAGGACGTGGGTAAGAGACCAGTGGGGTGGGGAGGCTGAGGTGGGGAACAAGCCTTTCCGAGGTCGTGGACAAGGCCTTGGGGGGTTCATCCTCCCCCATCTCCTAGAGGCAGAGTGTCTTTCTAAGCTGGGCTCTCTTTGTTCCCATCCAGGGGTCAAACAGAAGGTGGCTGCTGGGTGCTGGCCCTTTATTTAATTCCATCCATCCTAGTTTCTCAGTGAAAGGGGGAAAGTGGAAGGGGGCGGGGAGTGGCCAAGGGAGGGCTTTGTTCCCTCCTTGTTTTCCTTTGTGTTTACTCCCGGTTCTGTTCCAGTCCCTTCCCCTTTCCATTGAGTCAGTGTGTCTGCTATTGTGCAGAGCCTGCGTCTAAGCGTGCAGCCTCCCCTCCCTGTCCCACTGAGAAAGTGTGGTTTTGCCTGAACGTTTGTGGCTCTGCTTGGAGGCAGGGGGTGTGTAGATCATGGGGTGGAGAGAGAGAAAGGGGACGACTCTTGGGAACTCTGGCATGTCCTGCCCCAAGGTGGGTATTCATGCTCTCTCCAAACCAGCACCCTTGTGGGTGAGATGCGGCCACAGGGCTAGGGGAAATTCGGAGGAATACGAGCCCAGACCAAGCCAATGTAGGACAACGGGAAGTGGTGAGGGCGCATTGCTGTCACTGTGATTCACGCATAGAAACCGGAGATGGGAATCCTGGAGGCTGAGGGAGACCTTCCCCTGCAGGCTGGCTGTGGGAGAGGCATCCTTCCTGCAAGTGGTGGGCATTTGTGGGGAACTGTCTTGTGAAAGTGGTGCCTCCAGTGCATGGTGTGAGCTGTGGGCCCCCAGGATAGTGTGTGTCCTTAGCACGGAGCGCAGGTCTATGCCAGTTGCTCTGGGGAATGCAAAGACAAACAGGACCCTGCCCTTGCCCTGGAGGAGCTCACAGTGAGGAAGGTGATGGGGCAAGACAAAGACAGAGGCAGCTGTCGGGCACACCAGGGCGACACGGGGCCTGGAGCCAGGCTGTTGTGTGACCTTGAGCACATTGCCCCACCTCTCAGCACCTTGGGCTCCTGCCAGGGACATGAGGCTGATGGCCCCCTCCCCCGGGGTTGCTGCGTGGGTTAAATGCAATAATTCAAGGATAGAGACACATGGGACCAGCCTCAGTTGGGTGCCTGCTGTGTGCCGGTGCATCTACAGAGCCACCTGACCTACATGAGGTACCTGGTGCACTCAGTGGGGCCTAATTCATATGTCCCTCTCCCTCCCCTGTTCTCCTATCCCTTGGAAGAAAGAGGGATTTGTCTTGGGATCCTGGAAGGCTCCTTGGAGGTGGAGTCTGAGATGGGCTTGCTGTGAGGTCAGTTGGGTAGGGTTTTGGCCAGCAGAGGGGTGAAGCATGGATGTTTCCAGGAATGGTGGGGAGGTGCAGGAGCTATCTGGGGGACAGGAGATGATCTGAAGTGGCCGGGCCAGGCAGAGAGGGAACCAAGAGGTCCTCTGAGGCTGGTTGGGCCAGGCCTTGAACATTCTTAAAGCGCTGACTTGTGTCCCATGGAAACAAGACTCCCTTGAAATGGGGAGGGGAGACGTGCAGGGTTGGGGAGCTAACTGGGGGTTTGGAGTGTTAGGGAGAGCTCAGATGAGCTGACCCCAAAGGCCTACGCTGGCCAGCACACGAGAGAGATTCCATCTCACGTGGAATCCCCAGGCTTCGGTGCAGAGCAAAGGCCAGGTCAGAGGTGGCTGGGGAGACTGGAGATACCCCAACAAGAGGAAGGTCAGCGAGGGGAGCTGGCTGGGAGAGAGGAGGGTGCATTGCGCTTTGAGACTGCAGTAGTCTCCTGGGGTGGCCATAACAAGTTGCCACACACCAGGAGGGCTTAAGACAGTGGGCATTTATTTTCACAGTTCTGGAGACCAGGATCAAGGTATCAGGGCCACACTCCCTCCAGATACTCTAGAGGAGAGTCCCTCTTTGCCTCTTCCAGCTCCTGTTGTCTCAGATGATGCTCAGCTGTGGCAGCGTCACTCCCATCCTGGCCTCCGTCTCCCCTCACCTCTCCTCTGTCTCTCTCTTTTGTGTCACTTCATAAGGATACTTGTCATTGGATTTAAGGCCCACCCGGGTAATCCAGGATGATCTCATCTCAAGTTCTTTAATTTAATCACATCTGCAAAGACCCTTTTAGGTCCCATTCATAGGGGCTGGGGATTAGCGCGAGGACGTATATTTTGAGGGCTGCCATTCAACCCACACAGTTGAATGGATCTGAGATGCCCTGGAGGGAACGCGTGGGAGAAAAGGAGGTGTGGGCCAGAGCTCAGGGGTTGCAGGGGAGCCCCCTCCTTGTCTCTGCTACTGTTTTACTCCTTGTAGTCTCTTCTCACTGTCCTCTCCACAACCCAGCCATAGAGATCAGGCGTTTGTCTGTCTGTCCCAAGATGCTGTGATTTCTATGATGTCCTGCTGGAGGAGGCAGGCAGAGTGGCTGGACGGAGGGACACTCTGTCCTTCCTGGGAGAGGATGGCTTCCCTGCCTTCTCCATCTGCTCGCCGAGGGACGTGCATCAGCCGGCGGAGGAGCGGGAACAGGAAGGATGTGGCTCACCCACCCAGAGCCAGCAGAGTCCAGCCCTCTGTCCTTCCTGTGCCTCTGCTGGCTGGCAGACCACCCCCATGACCCAGTCCTGAGAACAGAGTTGGCATTCTGGTGACTTCTTGAAACCGCTCCCTCTCCCGAGAGTGGGCCTTGAGAGCACTTAATGCTTTGGACGGGTGTGAGCAGCACCTCCTGTGAGTCCGGCCAGAGTGTCCACATGCAGACAACAGAGGCTCGCTGGAGCAAAAAAAGGCAGCTTCTGCCCCGCGTGTACTTCCCCACCGGCTCGGTGGTAGGGCCACCTCAGGTGGGCACTGGGGTGGAGCTCTCCCCTCTCTGCTGTCTGTCCTGCTGCCCCACCTCACCAGAGTCCAGACTGACCCCTGGGTGCTTCTGAGCCCAGCATCCCACTCAGTCAGTCTGGGCTCTCCCCTGGGTTAGGGAGGGACAGTTGGGGCTCCTGGGGCCCACAGGCCTTACTCTAATACCAAGCGCTTCTTAGCGCAGCACCATTAGGCCTTTTTGCTTAGGCGAGCCTCTGCTGTCCGCGTGTGCACACGCTGGCTGGACTCGGGGTGCCCGGTTCCACCCACTCGAAGCATTAAGTGTCCTCAAGGCCCATTCTAGGAAGAGGGAGGGACTTAAAAAAAGTCACCAGGATGCCAACCCAACAAAGCCTCTTCTCTCTTTTCTTCTAGTCCTTGCAGAGGCCATGGGGAAGGAAGAAAATCTGCTCTGGCATTTACACTAAGTTCCTACAAGGGCTGGCACAGAGTCAGCCCTCATAAGTGCTGGTTAGGATTATTCCGAATGTGGCTGCTGGGGCCAACGAGGAGACACGGGAGTAATCAGGCCTAGGTTTGGGGAGAAAGGTGGAGCCAGTATTTCAGGGAGTCATGGACTCAGAGGAAATAGTGGGTTTGCTGAGTAGTTGCTGATGGGGTAGGAGTAAGGAGAGTCCTGGGTTAGGGGTTACCTTGAGGAACGCTTCATGGGGGGTTGCAGACCAGAGCCCACAGGCTCTGGGTGGCCACTAACATATTTTATTTCATTTTCTTTTCTTTTCAAGACGAGGTCTCACTGTATCACCCAAGTTGGAGTGCAGTGGCGCCATTTCAGCTCACTGTGACCTCCGCCTCCCGGGCTCAAGCAATCCTCACACCTAAGCCTCCTGAGTAGCTGGGACCACAGGCATGTGCCACCACGCCCAGCTAGTTTTTTTATATTTTTGGTAGAGACGGGGCTTCGCCATGTTGCCAAGGCTGGTCTCGAACTCCTGAGCTCAGGCGATCCATCTGCCTCAGCCTTCCAAAGTGCTGGGAATTATAGGTGTGAGCCACTGCACCCAGTGTTGCTCACATGGTTTTTAAGGAATTTTTGAAATAGCAGCTAACATTTAAAAATGGGGGGATTTTGACAAAGTCCAGATTAGTGGCTTTTCTTTGGGAAAAAAAAGATCTTGTCATTCTGGGTGCACAGAATGTGTGGCGTGGGGACTCGCCCCTTCAGACGAAGCATGTGCCATCCAGTCGACCAGTGTCCCCTCCTCTCAGCTGTCCACTGCAGCCCCGCTCATTTTCCCTGCGGGCTGGCCCTCCCAGACACTTGATTTTACAACCCGGGTCCTCGAGACAGGTGTCTGGAGAGAGGAAGGGAAGGAGCCCAGTGGCCACAGGGTGGCAGGTCTGGGGGAGGTGGGTTGGCCAACATGATGGTCCTGCCCAGTGGGAGAGGGGGCAGATGACTGGACGGGGTCAGGGCTGCAAGGACGCCGAGAAGAAAAGGAAGTGCGGCAAGCCCAGAGCCGCAAACGCACCCTTTCCACCTACTTTCTCAATGATCTTTTTGTTGGTCCTCTTCCTTCCTCTTTCCTCACTTCCTTTCTTTGCCTGTCCCTCCCTCCCCTTTCAGGGCCCAGCCTCCGGCCCCAGTCTGCTCACCTGCCCCTCTATATTCCCTCTCCTGTCCCCATTTGGAGTGCAAGTGAAGAGGGACCCAGCCAGAGATGCCCTGGTGGGAGCAGCTCTGAGACCTTGCACTTGCTGGAGCAAAGCCCTTCTCCTGTCCCACTGTCCTGGAAGGATGGGAGCCAATCAGGCTGAGCAGTGACACATTCAGAGCCATTGTTACTGAGCCATTTGTGCTGTGTCCTCTGTCCTGAGTTAGGCAACAAGGAGGGAGTTGGTGGAGACATGTCACTCCCCAGCTCTATCTGCCACCAGCCACCTCCTCCCAATGTGCAATAAGTCAACTCCTACTTACATGTTGGGAGCCTGCAGTGTGCCCAGCCCCGTGCGTGGTACCCTGGGGGCTGCAGGAGAACATTCAGCTTCTTGACCATGCTGGAACTGTAGGTAGGAAGGCAGGGACCGGTGGGTGACACAGTAAAGAGCAGGAAGGTGGCCTGACCTGCAGGAGTTCCAGGAAGGGTGAGATAGGCCAGATCCAGGGGCAGGTGCCTGGAGAAGGGCCCTGAGCTGGCCTTGTGCTATGGGAAGCTGGTGTCACTGCAGCATGGGGCGTGAGCCCTGCTAGAGAGAAGCATGGAATTGAGGGTGAGACAAGTAGGCTGGGCCATGGGAGGAGGGTTTCACGATGGCTCAGACCGCCCGCCCATGAGTTCCAAACTCTAAAACCAAGACTCAGGGTAGAACTCATGCTCCTTTCTCAAAGTCCTGTTTTTCTAAGGCCTGGGAAGCTCGGGAGACAGCCAACCTGGATAATTTTGGTGGTCACCACTGACAATGATGCTGCAGAGGTACCCCCAGGCAGGGGAAGAGGCAGGACCCACTCAGTTTTCCATCAGTCCCTTGAGGGGTTGGAAGGAGACCAGAGGGAGGGGCAGACTCAGCCTAGGTGCTGCTCACATTCAGCCATGCACTGCAGACTCAGGAATCCTAGAGGCCACCCAGTGACCTTCCCAGAACATCAGTCTTCTTCATCTGTAAGAGAGTTTTAATGCAACTACCTAAATGAGGTTGTGACAATTAAATGACAAAACATATGCAGAGTACTTAGCATCCTGCCTAGTATGGGGTACCTGCTTCCTAAATGGCTGGTCATGTAAACATCTTCACCTTTCACCACCCTTCCCCTGTTCTGTGCTGGAATCACTGCCAGGTGCTCCCTGGGAGGGTCCACGGGATGATACCCAGCCTGCCTCTTCTACTCCACCCACCCTCCAGGCCTAGCATGTCTTCTCTTGAGGCCTCGGTTTCTACCTCTGTAAAATAAAGAAACCTAAATTCAACTCTATATTCTGACTTTCTTAAATATTTGGCTTGATTTCCCCCCAACAACTGTGTACCTCATCAGCTGGGGCTGAGAAACTGCAGCACAAGGCCAGGATACAGAAGGAGTTCAGCCCAAACTCATGGCAGTTTGGGCCTCCCTTGGCTCCTTCTTTCTTGGAGGACCCAGAACCTAGTGAAAGGGACCCAAGTCACCCCCAAGGCCTCGGCTAAAAGTGCCCTCCCCTGCCCTCAGCCAGTCCTTTATTCCATTTCGTAAAGGAAACCTATCAGCTACTCCTTTTGGCTCTGAACGTGACGCCAGGGCCAGGCCTTCTTTTGCTGTTGTAATTAGCAGAGCTAATTGCATCTGTCAGGCTGTGTGCTGGGCAAGCCCTTGGCAATTTCCAGGATGTGGGCTGCTGTGACACTGCAGGAGCCCCACCCTCCTACCCAGAGGACGCCTGGTTTGGGAAGGGATGGTTCTCAGACATAAGCGGGCATTAGAATGACCTAGAGGGCTTGTTGAGACACAGATACTGGGCCCAGCCCTGGCATTTCTGATCAGCGGGTTTCAGGTTGCCTGTGAAAATTTGCATTTGTAACAAGTTGCCAGGTGGCACTGTTGCTGCTAAGCACGTTGAGAACCACTGTCCCAGAGGGAATACCAGGTGGCCAAGAAATGGGTCCTGGGCACCCCTGCTGCTTAAGGCTGTGGTCAGTCAACCCTCAGTGGGAGTAGATGGGCAGTGGGGCAAAAGCGGTGTGATGAACAGGTTGTGGGGCCGGACACATGCTCCTACTGTTCCTGGTTGGTTGTAGTAATTCTGTCTGGAAGGAGAGGAGGAGGTGAAGGTGGAGCCAAGGAGTTGCACACTGACATCTCCCCAACAGGTGAGGGCAGGGAGAGCTCCAGACAGGGAGAGGCCTTCAGAGAACAGGAAGGAAGCTCCCTCCCTCCTCTGCATTTTGCAGCCTGTAGCTCACGTGCCTTTTATGCCCCACATCTCATTCTGTCTGGGGACTCCATACGTAGTGGCTGTCTACCTTCCCGCGTGGATTGTAATGCTTTTGCTACCAGGGGTCAGGCCATACTCATCACTGCAGGCCCTGAAGCATCCATCATGTTCCTCGAGCTCAGTATGTGCTCCGTACATGTAGCACAGTGGAAAAACTTGAGCTTTGCTGGCAAAGACAGACAGAATGAGCTTGAATCTCAGCCCAGCTATGGCTTTTCTAGTCCTGTGGCTAGAAAATGACTTAGCCTCTTGGACTTTGGTTAACCCATCTGCAAAACAGGGATGGCACCCACCTCTTAGAAAGTTACAGTGGTCAAAAAAAAAAAAAAAAAAGAAAAGAAAAGAAACTTACAGTGGTTAGTGTGTGCAGTGCCCAGCACATCCTAGTGAGGGCTCGAGAAATGGGAGAGCTATGGGTGTTAGGCAATGCTTTGTGGTGTTTATTGGATTAAGCTATGGTGGGGAGTGCTGCAGGCTCTGGGGGACCCAGGAGTGAGGGACCCCAGTGAAGGAAGGAAGCCTTGGATTTCTCCCAGGGTCTTGGCTTCCGGCCAGCCTCACAGTAAAGGTCTGAATAAACCACTGGTCCCAGCCAGCCACCTGCAGCCCTCTGTCCGGGCCACCCAGAAGCTTCCATCTTCCCTCAGCCCCTGTTGCCCCGTGACTCCAGCGTTGCCAGGCTAAGTTTAGCTGTGAACTGCATGGGCCGCCCCTCTCTGTGGACAAGGGCAGAGGTGGAGAGGAATTCAGCAGGCTTCCTGGCAAGCAGACAGAAAAAAGCCCGCCAAGTGACCCAGGTTTATTCTCAAAGCCAAACCCACCAGCTGATGTCTCAGACCACAGGTGCGGGAGAGCCTGGTAGAGGTGAGAACTTTGGGCCAAGGCAGAGGTGGACATCCTTGGAATTGGGAGTAGGGGACTCTTTGGGGAGGCATGTGCTGGTATGTGCAAGAACATGCACACATATACACATATCCATGGTTTGTGAGAGGCTCCTCACTACCCGTCCTGTCTCAGAATGTCAGAATGCCCTGTTTCCTTCCCTTTTGTGGACAAGTCAACTCTATACAATATTTGAAGGGATTTATTCTGAACCCATCTGAATGACCAAGGCCTGAGGCACAGTCCCAAGAGATCCTGAAAATATGTGCCCCAGACAGTTGGGTTACAGCTTGATGTTACACATTTTAGGGGGACAGAAGTTACAGGCAGGCCAGGTGCTCACACCTGTAATCCCAGCACTTGTGATCCCAGGCAGATCACTTGAGGTCAGGAGTTCGAGACCAGCCTGGCCAACATGGTGAAAACCTGTCTCTACTAGAAATATAAAAATTAGCCGGGCATGGTGGGGCATGCCTGTAGTCCCAGCTACTCAGGAGGCTGAGGCAGGAGAATTGCTTGAACCTGGGAGGCAGAGGTTGCAGTAAGCTGAGATCCCTCCACTGCACTCTAGCCCAGGCGACAGAGTGAGACTTAGTCTCAAAAAAAAAAAAAAAAAAAATTACAGGCAGACCTCCATCAATGCATGTGTAAGGAATATGTTAGTTTGGTGTGGAAAGATGGGACAACTTGAAGTGAGGGCAAGGAGTGGCTTCCTGGTCATAGGTGGATTCAAAGATTTTCTGACTGGCAATTGGTTGAACGAGTTAAGTTATTATCTAAAGACCTGGAATCAGTAGAAAGGAGTGTCTAGGATAAGGGGTATGGAGACCATGGTTCTTACTATGTAGCTGAAGTCCCAGGAAGCGAGTTTCAGAGACAGGAGATGGTAAGTGTCTGTCAAACCTAAAAAGGTGCCAGACCCTTAGTTCATCTCTCCTGGATCAGGAAGAGGCCTGGAAAGGGAAGGAAATTCTGTACAGAATGTAGATCAGACTCTTAGTTCATCTCTCCTGGATCAGGAGAGACCTGGAAAGGGAAGGAGATTCTGTACAGAATGTAGATTTTCCTGACAATAGGCAGCTTTGCAGGGCCATTTCAAAATATGTCAAAGAAATATATTTTGGGGTAAAATACTTTGATTTCTTTCAGGGCCTGCTATCTCATATGATGCTATATTGGGTTGAAATTCGGTATCTTATTGCTACAGAGTCTGTTTTGTCACTCCTAGGATCTCTGTTTTAACGTTAATGCTGTTCAGTTGTGCCTGAATTCCAGAGGGAGGAGGGTATAATGGGGTTTGTCGGCTCCTCCTTCCCATCATGGCATGAACTGGTTTTTAAGGTTTATTTTGGAATCCTCTTGGCCTGCAGGACATTCTTCTGACCCCTGGGGTCCCCAGGGCAGTGTTTCCTGTGACTGGGTTTGGGAAGGGGAAGTACCAGAGGCTTCAAACTGAACCCCATCTGGTGGGCCCTGAGCGACCACAGCCCTATTATCTGCCTCGGCCTGTCCTATCCCATAGGGTGCTGCAGACAGAGCCAGCCTGTGCAGAGTTTAACAGGGAGCCAAATGACAGCTGGGATCCGATCCGGGGAAGCGGGGAGATGGATTACGTGAGAAAGTGAGTCAGAGGGAACCCCTGACCTGCAGGAGGATCCCAGGCTCTGAAGCCTTCTCCCCTTTGCTGGGGGCCAGGGTGGACTCAGGGGTGTGCCAAGGAGGAGAAATAGCAGTGGAACATCTTGTGCTTTCAGAGCACTTTCGAGCGTGTGTTTACTCCCCATGCCTGGGGCTCAGGCAGGGCTGCTGTGCTCAGCAGGTGAGAAAGCAGAAGCCTGTAGATGCTGAGGAGAGGAGCCTGCCCTGTGCCAGGCACGGTGCTAAGCACCCAAGGTGTATGATCTCACTCACCCGTCCCAACATCCCTGTGAAGGAGGAAGTGTTATTAATTCCTCCTCACAGGGAAAGCGTGGGAGCGCAGAAGCTGTGCGATCCACCCACAGTCACTCAAGGTTAGAACACAGGTCTGCTGGGTCTACAGCCCAGGCCCCCTTTCCTTGCAGTCCTTCCCCAGGCTGGTGCCCTGTTTCCCTGGTGCTTCTGTTGAGTCTTGTCTGTAATCCTACAATTACCAGTGCTACTATGCACTGCCTACATCCTGCCAGAGTTCCTTGTAGGGGCGTCTGCGGCGCACTCCGCCCTGAACCCCAGCAGGCAGGGTCATCTGCGTATTTCCATCCCATCGCAGTTCCTTTCATAAGAAAACTTGCTCAGGAGCAAGCATGTTGCTGAGTGCTTTACATGCATTATCTTGTTCAAGCTTTATAACAGTAGATATGATTATTCTCATTTTACAGATGAAGAAACTGAGGTTCTGGGAAGTGATTTCTCCGAAGTCACCTCCAGTAGGTGCACATACTGGGTTCTGACCCAGTCTTGTCTCCTCTCGAGTCTATCCTCTTTTCCTCTTGCACACAGAGTTGGTCCCTTCAGTTGGTTTGGAGTTCTGAACCTTGCCTGTGCCAGTACAAGGAGGCTCTTACAGCTCCTCCTCCTCTGGCAGGAATGAGGATGTAGCAAGTAGCACCATGAAGTGTGGCGTAGACACAGGGATGGTTCCCAGCCATAGGGCTTGGCCGTGGCCCCACTCACCTGTTCGTGGCATCCTGCACTGAGTTGACAAGGAACCTGGGTAGGTGGTTGTCCGGGCTATTACTGTGACTGGTCAAGGCCCACTGTGTCCAAAGGTGGCTGCCTGTGATCCAGGCAGCTTGAAGGACCCTAAAACCCCCCAAATTATCTCCTAACTGGCTGCTGCCTGATATTCTGCTATGAGTACTCTCCACCTTTATGTTAACTTTCTCACCCATGTTAATCACCCAGCCTCGCAGTTAGTTATGCCTTGGACCCTCCCTGGCAAAACTTTCCGTTGATGTTTCTCTAATGTAGAAACCAGGCTGACCTGTTTCTGCCATTATCCAGCAAGCTGCTCCTTGGCTTGGGGAAGGAAAGCTGGCTCGCTGCCCCCTGCACTTTTTCCTTACCCCACCCACCTTGCAGTGTGACTTCTTCCACTTCATCCTGTCCCCGCTTTCCTCCTCCAGTGGAAACCTGTAAGTGCTTCAGTGCTCACCTCTGAGGCCCACACTGAGAATCCTCAGGGTGGAGGACGGACCTTCTCCACTCCCCAACCCTTGTGGTTCCTGCAGACCTGTCCAGCTGTGTATGGGGTGGAACTGTCTGAGTCACATCTGAGCAGCAAGTTTGTCTAGGCGTGACCAGCAGCCAACTCAGTCCATCTCCATCCTGCCACTTGCCAGGGACAACCTGCAGAGGTATCTTTACCTGGGGACAAATCCCTGTTCCTTGGCACCATTAGGACAAGAATTTCATTGTGCAAATTCCAGGTCGGGCTCAAGCCAAAGGGAATGGGGCTCAGGTTGGCACAGTAGCTCCTATCAGCCAGTGTTAGTGTGCACTAGGGGGTGGTAGAAGGAGCCCTGTGCTCTCAACAATCTCAGGACCTCAACTGATTTGCATTTGGCCATTTGCTTCCTTCATCGAGGTCCCAAGCAAGGAGGGGGGTAGTTCAAGTGTGGAAATAGCAGATTGTTAAGTCCCAGGATTCCTGCTGAGGAGAGGAGAGGGTGTAACTAAGTCTTGCAGCGTAAGACAGTGCCTCTCAGATTTTTATATGGATGGTATTAAAATGTGGATTCCGATTCAGTAAGTGTGGGTGGGGCCGAGATTCTGCATTTCTAACAAGCTCCCAGGAGATACTGCAGCTGCTGGTCCGTGAATCATACTTCGAATTGCAAAGATTGTAGGGATTAGCCTTTCTCCAAAAGTCACTTGAGGCTTAAAAATCCACTTATCCTAGGGGAACAGAGTGCCTCCTTTCACAATTAAGAAGTTAGATTTAAAGTTCACATGCCTGGTAAGAAGAAATTAGTGATTCTTTGCTCTCTGGTCATCATCAAGATTGTCCTGGGGAAAGACAAAAGCCAGGAGAGTGTGTCTGAATATGGGGTAAGGTCTTCCAGGTCAGAAAGAGACGTTTACAGAAGAGGAGGATAAGGGCTCAAATCTACTTCCGAAACAGTTATTGTTCAGTGAATATGTGCTTTGCACTGGTCACTGGGCCATGCAGTTTGCAGGGATCATTGCGTCTCTCAATACCATGACCCTGTGAGATACTATTGCTTTCCCCTTGTGCAGTAAGGAAACCAGGGCTCAGAGAGGTGTGTTAACATGCCCAGGGTCACACAGCTTTTCAGTTGACAGTGCTGGTTTGGAACCTAGCCCTTTCTCCCTTAACCACTAGGCTTCACTGTATTGCAGGAAGATGACATTCACTTGGGAGAGAAGGGGATATGTTATTCAGGACTATTTTGATTTCAAGTGGTGGAAAGGCCACTCAAACTGACTTAAAAAGGGTTTCTTTATTGACTTGTGTGACTAAAGAGCTCAGACAGCAATGCCTTCAAGCAGAGCTGAGTGTGGGGAGGGGGGGTTCTGCTTTCCTCTATGTTGGTGTCTTTCTCAGGCGGGCTCCCTTCCCGAGAGCCCACTGCAGGTATAATCCTGTTCCCTCAGCAACCTAGCAACCAAACTAGCAACAGGATGAGTCTTTCTTCCTATTGGGCCCAACACACCCTACATCTGTCTCTCATTGGCCCGAATTGGATCAAATGCTCATCCCAGAACCAATCGCTCTAGCTGTAGCTGGGCGGCAGAATGTCTGATTGTCTTGGGCCTGGGTTTTGAGCCCACCCCAGGAGCTTGGAGGTGGGTATATCCTCGCCCTGGCCATAAGGACTGGTAGGAGAAAAGGGTTAGGGACAGTGGGGTGCTGCTGCCATCCAGGAATGTCTGGGTAGGACTAAAACAGATGTCCACCCCAGGGTAGGCCTTTGGGGCTCTTCCATGGCTGGACTGAAGCTCCTGAGGCAGCCGCAGGGAGCTCTCGATGGGTTGGGTGGGAGAACTAAGACCTTAACCAGCCCTGAGGGGCTGAGGTTGGTGCGGGGCCCAGGGACGAAGTGGCATTGAGGGAAGCTTGGTGTGACCATCTGTCTCTCTGTTCCCAGGAAAGCTCCAACCATGGCCATGGGGCTCTTCCGCGTGTGTCTGGTGGTGGTGACGGCCATCATCAACCACCCGCTGCTGTTCCCGCGGGAGAACGCCACAGTCCCCGAGAACGAGGAGGAGATCATCCGCAAGATGCAGGCGCACCAGGAGAAGCTGCAGCTGGAGCAGTTGCGCCTGGAGGAGGAGGTGGCTCGGCTGGCGGCCGAAAAGGAGGCACTGGAGCAGGTGGCGGAGGAGGGCAGGCAGCAGAACGAGACACGCGTGGCCTGGGACCTCTGGAGCACCCTCTGCATGATCCTCTTCCTGATGATCGAGGTGTGGCGGCAGGACCACCAGGAGGGGCCCTCACCTGAGTGCCTGGGCGGTGAGGAGGATGAGCTGCCTGGGCTGGGGGGCGCCCCCTTGCAGGGCCTCACCCTGCCCAACAAGGCCACGCTTGGCCACTTTTATGAGCGCTGCATCCGGGGGGCCACGGCCGATGCAGCCCGTACCCGGGAGTTCCTGGAAGGCTTCGTGGATGACTTGCTGGAAGCCCTGAGGAGCCTCTGCAACCGGGACACCGACATGGAGGTGGAGGACTTCATTGGCGTGGACAGCATGTACGAGAACTGGCAGGTGGACAGGCCACTGCTGTGCCACCTTTTCGTGCCCTTCACACCCCCCGAGCCCTACCGCTTCCACCCAGAGCTCTGGTGCTCCGGCCGCTCAGTGCCCCTGGATCGCCAGGGCTACGGCCAGATCAAGGTGGTCCGCGCCGATGGGGACACATTGAGCTGCATCTGCGGCAAGACCAAGCTCGGGGAAGACATGCTGTGTCTCCTGCACGGCAGGAACAGCATGGCGCCTCCCTGCGGCGACATGGAGAACCTGCTGTGTGCCACAGATTCCCTGTACCTGGACACGATGCAGGTCATGAAGTGGTTCCAGACGGCCCTCACCAGAGCCTGGAAGGGCATCGCCCACAAGTACGAGTTCGACCTGGCCTTTGGCCAGCTGGACAGCCCGGGGTCCCTGAAGATCAAGTTCCGTTCAGGGAAGTTCATGCCCTTCAACCTGATTCCTGTGATCCAGTGTGATGACTCGGACCTGTACTTTGTCTCCCACCTTCCCAGGGAGCCCTCTGAGGGCACCCCAGCCTCCAGCACAGACTGGCTCCTGTCCTTTGCTGTCTATGAGCGACACTTCCTCAGGACGACACTAAAGGCACTGCCCGAGGGCGCCTGCCACCTCAGCTGCCTGCAGATAGCATCCTTCCTGCTCTCCAAGCAGAGCCGCCTGACCGGTCCCAGCGGGCTCAGCAGCTACCACCTGAAGACGGCCCTACTGCACCTCCTACTCCTCCGGCAGGCCGCCGACTGGAAGGCGGGGCAGCTGGACGCTCGTCTGCACGAGTTGCTGTGCTTCCTGGAGAAGAGCTTGCTCCAGAAGAAGCTCCACCACTTCTTCATCGGCAACCGCAAGGTGCCTGAGGCCATGGGACTCCCTGAGGCCGTGCTCAGGGCCGAGCCCCTCAACCTCTTCCGGCCCTTCGTCCTGCAGCGAAGCCTTTACCGTAAGACACTGGACTCCTTCTATGAGATGCTCAAGAATGCCCCAGCGCTCATTAGCGAGTATTCCCTACATGTCCCCTCAGACCAGCCTACCCCAAAAAGCTGACGTCTTTTACAGAATGTGGGATCCTCGAGCTAAGATGAGGGCATCCCTCACGTTCACACCCCTGGTGGCATCTGCCAGCCCTGTTCTGGGGACAAGGCGGGCTTTCGTGGGAGCCGTGCTCAGCCTGCCAGGAAGCCAAGCCCTACAGTGCAGAGGAAACAGAATTTCAACGGGAAGCTGGTTTGCTTCATACCATTGGGATCTGCTGGTAAAGCTGTTATTTGGGTTTAGGGACTGATCCCTTGCAGTTTACTTCTGGATCACCATGAATGGCCAAGATGGTGGCAGAACACGCTGTGGACCCTGAGTTAGAGACAATGCAAATGTTGGATTGGGTGTAATTCTTTTTGAATCCCAGATCCAGTCTGTACTTGAATATGAGCAGAGGATCTACAAGAATGCTGACAGGGAACCGTGTTAAGACCCAGCACCCCTATTCCCAGGAGCTTCTGGCCTGACCATCTGCAGCCAAAGCACTAACAGGGACAGATATGGGAATGTCCACCTTTGATCCGCATCCTGCACAATAGTGGTCCCACCATGGCTGCCACTTTTTTATACTATTTGGAGAAAAGACCTTGTATAAATTCGAGGCCCAAATGACTAACGTCTCTGTCACACGGAAATGGGTACTTGGTGGCATAGAGAAACACAATTAGCCACTTTTTCAGCTACACTTCTCACTCAGCTGCACCCTACACTTCTCACTCAGGTGCACCCCCTTCTGCTGTCCTTTCCCCAACGTACTGGGTCCCGAGCGTGGTGGGTATTTGCCACACTGGGTGCCAGCTCAGCAGCCCCCCACCTCTCTTTATTCTCTCCAAAGCTGGTCTTTCTGACTATCATTGTGGTAGGGGGAGGACAGATGCTAAAGGTGGAAGCTGACCTGGAGAAAGAGACACACGGGGTGACTGTGGCAAAGGACAGCTGGAAAAGAAACTCTATCACTTCTTCATTGGCAACCACAAGGCACCTGAGGCCATGGCACTCCCAGAGGCTGTGCGCAGAGCCAAGCCTCTCAACCTCTTCTGGCCCTGCGTCCTGCAGCGAAGTCTCTGCTGTAAGACAGTAGACTCCTTCGATGAGGTGCTCAAAAATGCTACCCGGGGTGGTGGTGTCTGGCTTGCAGTCTGGCCCAGTTCAGAGAAAGTTGCAGAGATCAGGGGCCAAGGATGTCATAGCCCCAGGTTGTCCTCAGGGTCCCAATCCTAGGGCAGGGTGTGCATGGAAGCAAGAACTATGGAAACCTAGCTCCAGTCTGCAGGCTCTGAGCCCCTAGTTCCTCACTCCAGCGGGGCTCCCTCACTGCACAGAACCCACCCCTTCTGTGTGGGCACTGCTGACCACACAGATGACCCAGACCCAAAGAGCCTGGCAGAAGCTCTGTGGTTGGAGCTGGGCTCCGTCTCCAGGTCTGGTTCAGGGGGATCAGGAAGGCTCTTTTCCACCTGTGGCTTCACTGGCCCTTTGAGATTTCCTATCTCACCGTTACTTCAGTTACCCTTGCAGGGGGCCAGGGAGTCAAGAATATACCGTGTTCCTCCAGGGTTTAAGCCGGCCATGCCTTCCCGAGAGCATAACCAACTTGACAGGGGTGCCCAGTTACCCCACAAACTGAAGGAAGGAGATCCTTCCCCCATCCCCAGGAGTGCTCTCAACCAGCCTCAGAAAGCTTGAGAAGATGGACCCTTTGCCCACCAGGGTTAATTCCTGGTGGGGCAGCTCGGCTGTGATCAGGGCAACCAAACCTATAGGAAGCCTTCCAGTGTGAGCTGGAATTAGACTGAACATGTGCTTGGGCCTGCCTCTCCCTAGACGCAGTTGCGGGGCACTCCAGGGAATGAACCAGCTCAAGTGTGTCCCTAACAGCAGCCTGGAGCTACCCCCAATCCCTCACAGCCTGACCCTCCTCATTCCATCAGATGCATTTGTAGAATCGGGGCAAATTTCCTTATTTATTTATGGCCCATGCCTTTCCCCCTCTTCATCCTGATCCCGTTTTGCTTTGAAGAGACCCCAGTAACCAAAAAACAGCCTCCAGAAGCCAAAACCATGCCTGGATCTCCCATAGCTTCTCCTTTGCTTCCAGGAGAAAGTTCACTGAAAAAAAAATATCTTCTGGCTTCTTGTGTGTACAGAGACAACAGAACTCGGTGGGGAAACGGGAATCTTTTCTGCACCAAAGCTGCTTCTAAAGCAGAAAGCAGTGGGGCTCTTGGTGTTTCATGCTGCCTTATTTATATTAAAGGAAGAATTAAATCTTGCAAGGAGTAGAAATGGTCACTGTTTGTTTTTAACTTCAGGAAATCTGTGAGGCTCCCAGGGCAGAGTTGGGGACAGGGGGGTGGATTTCCTATTGACAAAGCAGAAGCTTTCACTCCCTTTTTATTCTTACACTTTCAGGAGACTTTAAAAAATAACAAAACAGAACATTTCTACCCTGTCTTTGAGGCAACTTGTGTGCTGCCCGCAGGGCTCCAGAAAGGGCCTTTGAAAGCTGGCTGTAGGGTGGATTCCAGCCTAAGACCTTATTTCACAGAGCTAATGTCAGCGAGAAATATAGGAGCTGGAACTAACAGGAAGCTTTTGGGTTTTAAAGAAAGAGATTGTATTTTAAATAGAGGATTTTGAGTCCTCTAGGGGACTTTGGCCTTTCCACTAAGGACAACCCTGCCCTCTTTCCCCAGAGTCTCTTTCCCAAGGATGCTTGACTTTCCCCAGCAACTGCTCACTTGCTTTGCAAAATAACAAGGGTGAAATGAATAGAGTTGGCCCCTAGGCCAAGAGGCTGGTTATGTTGGGGAAGGGCCTTATATCCTCAAAAGCTCTAGCCCCTCTGCATGCCTGGCTGAAGCACAGCCCCCGTTGAGAACCTGGGGGTGGAGCTCTGGTTCATCATCAAGGGTGTCATCCGAATCACCCAGACAACCTGGTCCATTGCCCCGACCCCGCCTTGAACCTACATGGTGCTCAGAATCCAGTCTGGAGTGGTCAGGCTAGGCTCGATTTTTAAAGATTTCCCCCAAGTGACTGATGGTACCCCTAGCTGAGGAAGCCCTCTCACTTTCTTTCTTAATGGAAAGTTAAAGAAAACCCAAGTGGACTACTTTCCCTACAGATCTATTGGAAGATAGATAGACCTGGGAAAAGCCAATGAGCCTGCTTGGAATCTGTGGTCTAAGTGGCATCAGCTACACCACAAGCTTCTCATGAGGGCACCCACATTCACGCTAGTGCCGTAAGCCTCAGAGAGAGGGTGGGAAGGCATAAGATGGTGAGCCCTTCTCCCAAGCAGGTCATGAATAGTCCACAAGCATTTGTCAGGAGCCTAACGTGCATGAGACATTGTGGAAGATGGGAAAATGAATAGGACCAAGCCTGTTCCCTAGGAGAGGCAGCAGAAGGTGGCCTTCCAAGTACTGAGCTATTCCAAGTGTGACCCTGCACTACACATACGGGTGTCACCTGGGGGCAGCTTCCTGGGCCGTGTCACAGACTCCAGTGGGATCCTGAGAAGTTAGGTAGAAGAATCTGCACTTCACCAAGTTCCCCACCTGATTCTGGATGTCCAAGAACCACTGGTACCTGGGCTGATTAGGGAAGGCCTCATGGTGGGGCGCTGCCAGATAGAGACTCTGAAAAATGACCAGGACTGTGGCCAGGAAAGACATTCCAGCCAGAAGCATGGAGTGAGGGTGGGAAGCACCTACTGTATGGCAGGCACCGTTCCGCACACACATTTGTTAATGCACACAGTTCCATGTCAGTCCTATGATGTAGGTGCTATTCTTATCCTCCCTGCTTTCCAGATAAGGAAACAGGCACTGAAGGGGCAACTGACTTACCTACTGTCACAGTGGTAAGTAGCACAGCCCAGATTCCAACCCAGGCAGTCCTGGTGTACATGTTGGCATATACTGAGAAGTCGTAGCAAATGAGGTTGAAAAGATAAGAGTGGGGCTGAACCATGCAAAGCCTTGAATGCTAATACAAGGTAAATTTGGACCTCACAACAAGCAGAGGTGGGCCATTGGCGGGTTTTGAGTGAGACAGTAACTTGATTCACCCCCAAACTAAGGAGTCCTTATCTATGTGATCAGTGCCATCCATGTCCTGTGCTGTAGGGTACATGGCCGGCTTCCCGAGCAGGGTTGGTGGCAGCTGGCAGTGGTTGGTGAATGTCCAGGAAGTCTTAACTCAAGCCACCCCAAGGCTGTGATTCAGAACATTTTCGTGGTCCGTCTCATCTCCACCTCACGGGACAGAGCTGGAAGGCTGTTTGGTTTGGCCAGCGACCGAAAGCAGAGGGAGCCAAGAGTCACAGAGTGAAGGGCAATGTGTGCCTTCAACAGGGCCCTCCCTCTCCGCCCCACTCTGCCTTGCCCCACCCCTGTCCCTGGGAAGGGCATCTTTTAGAGTTAACTTTTCTCATTGCCATCCAAAAATAGCTTGCTTGTTTAACTAGTTTGTTGTTTAAAAAATAAACATAAAAGCAATAATACAGTCATAATTTTAAAATTCAAGTACTAACAGGAAAATTAAGTAACAGACTAACGGTCCCACTTCTGACTTCTTAGTCCACTCCCCAGAGATAACCAATATGAAGTTTTTGGTGTATCCTTCCAAAATTTTTCTGTGTATGTGTCACATGTATGTATATATATATGCATCCTTTTAGTCCTTTTTTACATAAATGGCATCATACCGACTAATTCTTCTTGGTTATCTTTTTGAACATTTGGCTCTACCTTATTCTTTAAACTAGCTGCTTACTGGCCGAGTACATTAGCTCACACCTATAATCCCAGCACTTTGGGAGGCCAAGGCAGGAAAATCGCTTGAGCCCAGGAGTTTGAGACCAGCCTGGGCAACATGGCAAACCTTGTCTCTACAAAAAATATATAAATTAGCCAGACATGGTGGCGTGTACCTCTAATCCCAGCTACTCCGGAGGCTGGGGTGGGAGGATTGCTTGTGCCTGGGAGGCAGAGGCTGCAGCGAGCCGTGATCACTCCACTGCACTCCAGCCTGGGTGACAGAGTGAGTAAGACCCTGTCTCAAAAAAAAAAAAAAAAAATATATATATATATATATATATATATGGCTGCTTACTATCTCACTGTCTGTATGCATGTACCATAATTTACCCAACTTTCCCTACTGAGGAACACTTAAGTTGTCTCCACTTTTTGCTGTTATAAACAACACTCTAGTGAACGTCTCTGTGCACAAATCCTGTTTTGAAATGATCCTTCCTCTCCCAGTAATCTCCATATTCTGTACTTGCTGTATGTGGATTCACCACCAGCATCTTATTATAAAAATAACCATTGCCTGGGATTTAGTCAATCATCGTTGAATAAATTTTGAATCAACAGTGAGGAAAAGGTGTTTGACCAAGTACTGAGCAAGAGCATGTGATCTGCCTAGGTCCGGCTCTATGTGGGGAACAAAAGTATAAGATGGGGGCTCTGTCCCCAAGGAACTGGGTCTAATAGGAAGACTACCAATGGCTGCAAAGTAAGTCAGAGATCAATGAAGTGTGGTAAGTAATTGAAAGTGAAATTGTGTGGCTCTGAAGCCCGCATGAGCGGAATGTGAAAACAGATCAGCTTTGAGTTTCAGCTGTAACCTCTTTTGCTCCCTTACAGATGGGAAACTGTGAAGAGCCTCCCCAAAGAAAATCAAATCCACGTAATTGTTCTGTCTCTCAAATGCTTGTACTCACTCCATTCATCTGAGCCCGGGTCTGGTTTATTTCCTCCTGCACAATGTGGGGCCCTCCTTTACAGGTAAAAATGGCATTTTCCACCCTTTGATGTTTCTCCACAGCCCCACAAAGAAACCAGAAAATAAAACTGTCAACAACAAATTATCTCTCAGAAAGAGGGAACCACATAAACCTCAGAGATGTTCAAAGACATTTCTTCTTGATGGGAATAGGTGGGCCTCAAAAGTGTGAAGTGAGAGTTGTAGCACAGCGGTGGGTTAGGGAGTCTGGAAGAGTTTCGTCCCATCTGTTTCTTTCAAACCCACAGGTCAGTGATATTTTAGGTTTCTTTTGGAGCAACTTTATTTAAAGTAGAAATAGCAAAGACCCACACCCCGTTTCTTCCCATTAGCTGCCCTTGGCTATCTTCCCAACTGCCCAGAGATGACGCCCATAGCCCCCACAGCCTTGCTGCCACGAAGAAGGCTTTCTTCCTGAAGAAAGGACCGGGCTATGTTAGACCAAAGGTCTCCTGGGACGATGGCCTTGCATCTCTTCCAAAAGGCATGGCTAGTGCTGAATCAAGCCCCCCAAGGGTCTGGAAGGTGTAGGTCAGCCGCCAGTTCTCCCAGCCAAGGACAGTGAGTCAGCCCATACATACCCCATGTACTCCCACCCCAGGAATCAGAGCCAAGTGAGACTAGAGCTGGTGCTGTATGTAGAGCCAGATTCAGGGCCAGGGAGAAGGTCAGTGGTGTTCAGCCCTCTGGATATCCACAGCTTTGCCCAGTGCAGTTTCTAAGAAGCCCTCTCCATAGGGACAAAATGCCACAAAGAGGAAACAAATCTATGGAGAGGGCCTCTGGCCAGGCAGGGAAGCTGCACAAGCTCCATACATCCAGAGCAACACAAGATGCCACACTAAGCTGCAAGGTTGCTCAGCCTGAACGTTTAAATCCAGAGAGAAACAAGAGCAGGTCCCCTGCCCTCTCTCCATATACCCTCTCAATATGGAGGCCTATGCAAGGTCCTGCCCACGAGGTTCCAGCCTTCATGACAAAGCTGGTGCTAAGGCCAAGGAGACTGAGAGCCTTACTATAAACAGCACAGGGACTAAGAGTGTGGGCTCTGTGTTCAATCTCTGCTATGCCATGTCCTAGCTCAGCAAGTCTCACCATTTCTAAGAGCCTTGGGTGTGCCTCAGTTTCTTCAACTGTAAAACAGGAATAATACTGCCCACCTCGTAGAGCCATTGAGAAGGTTAAATGAAGGAGCGTGTGTGATGCACTTAGCTTCGGGCCTGACAAATAAACTCAACAACAAAAACTGCGGAGATTCTTCCCCTTGCTCTGAGGAGGGCTCCTTACAGCCCAACTCCTACTGCCTGGTTCCCCCAGCAGTGTGAGCTGTCCCTCCACATGGGAGTGCCTCCTCCCACATGGGGGTCTGTCTTCCCTGGGGGTTCCCTCACACACCTCCCTTAGGGCCAGACACTGGCCAGGTGCTCAGAAAATGTTTGTGCACCTCACAGGAGGGGTCTGGGGCCATGTCCCCTGTTTAGGGGAACAGAAAGGGTCTCTTGCCTCTGCCCTTCTGACCCCTCTGTTCTCCTCGTCCCTCTGCAGGACAGCCAGAGCCTAGACCTGCAGTTGCCATAGCAACGACAGAGCCAGAGAGAGTACAAGGCAGGGCATCCCTGTGGCTCCAGAGAAGCAGCTACCTCTTCTAGACAGCAAAGTGGGGAAACAGCTATAATAGCGGCCTCATGATGAGCTCCTGGAAGTGGCCTGGGTTTCTACATCATCCATCCATCCATCC
Source organism: Homo sapiens (assembly GCF_000001405.40). Taxonomy (NCBI): domain Eukaryota; kingdom Metazoa; phylum Chordata; class Mammalia; order Primates; family Hominidae; genus Homo; species Homo sapiens. The sequence goes on along the minus strand of NC_000010.11, from coordinate 104,306,879 downwards.
ATCCTTCCATTTGCTCAGTCATTCATCACTACTATACACAAGGCACTGTGCCAAGCACCAGGAAAACAAAGTCAAGTGGGACACTATTCCTACCTTGAGAGAGCTCCCAGTCCAGGAGGGAAAGCAGAAGAGGAAGGCAGCAAGGGCAAGGAGGTGAGGTAGTGCTAGTAGTGGGGAGGCCGAGCAGGGCAGAGGTTAAGCGCACAGGCTCCAGAGTCAGCCTCCCGCAAGCAAACCTCAGCTCTGCTCATCACTAGCTACGTAACACCTGGGCAAGCGACTCCACCTCTAAATCTCGGTTTACTGATCTATAAAACGGGAGTGATTGGTACTTACCTCATAAGGTTTGGAGGTATTAGTAGTATATCTAAGGTACCTAGCATATAGTCAGTGCTCAAAAAACAGAAGATTTACTATCATTCTGAATCTACCCTACATTCCCTCCTCCAAAACCCAAGTCTGAAGCCCAAGTTTCTGGTTAGGGCTTCCTGCAGTTTCCTCAGCTAACTCTTCCCCTAGCTTCCAGGATAAGCAGCCCTTGCTGCCACTGTACCTGGGATGTCTGTGTGTCCCCATCTCTCCAACTCCCTGCTGCTATCAGATCACCTGGGACAGTGTCTCAGATAAAAGTCCCCAAAGAGGGTCTTTCTGTTTAGCAAATAAATGGCCAAAAACCATTAAGTGAAATACTTAAAATACCTCCCGCCCTTACCTTTATACAGCTCCTCATTATCCATCCTGATACCCTCCTCTTATGGCAGAAAGGCACAAAGGGTGCATGTGCTGCACATGCGCATGCACACGCGCACGCGCGCGCGCGCGCGCACACACACACACACACACACACACACACACACACCCGTTGAGAGATATTCTTCACCTGTGAGCGTAACCTGAATACGCCCAGATTTAGCAACAGCTGTTCCTGCTAACAGTCATCCTCCCACTTCCCTGCCCCAGTCCTGTGATGCTGGAACAGAGGCTGCCCCTACTCAGGGTTCCCTGGGGGGCAGCGTCATCACTAAGCAACTACTACCTCCATTGCTTTGTCCATCTTAGCCCCAGGACAGGACTGGAAATGGCTCTTCGTATTGGCTTCTATAGCAGGGAGCTGACTGTTGCTGCTCAACTGCTCCCTCTGGAGGGGGCTGTCTGCTAATGACAAAGTAGGCCAGAGACCCTTGCTGTCTGCAAGGGGATTCCTGGGCATGGCAGGAATCCTTGGGAGGAAATGGCAGGGCAGAGTATTGCACAGTTCTTGTCCCTGGAGCACATGTGTAACCATCCTGTCTATGCGCAGCATGGTACTGGTGTGCTTTAGTTTTCCATTCAGCATCCAAGCTGATTGGTAACTGGGCAGGCCTGCAGGCATTTCAAATCCCTCACATTTTAACCCTTGGAAAGAGATAACCTGCTCCAAGAGGAGACAAAGATTCTCTGCTTGACCAAACTTTAGTCAGGCTCCTGAACCTCCTCCTAGGTTCATCTGTGCGTGTCCTTGTAAAATTGTTTTAGCAAAGAACCCTGCTAAGTTAGTTTGGCAAAAGAACTCCCCCACCTCAGTATCAGATCATCCTTGATATCTGATCAAGTTCCTTGTCCTCCGCCAGCCCTCTGGTGATGTCTGATCATCCTGGCCTGTCTTCAGCAAGAATCCTGTTAGGTCAGTTTAGCTAGAATCCTCCTTATCCCTGACGTTTCCTCCGAGTGATTTTCAATCCACTGACCTCTGCTCTACTTCTGGGCTATAAATACCCACTTGTTCGTCTTGTACTCAGAGTTGAGCCCAATCTCCCTCCCCAACTGCAGAAGTCTCATTGCAGCGGCCCCGATACCTACCGTGATGGTTATGAGGAAGTCTTCCTTCACATGCTTTAAACAAGTGTCAGTGAATGATTTTTTTCTTTAACAGAGTAGCGAGATTCTGAGTATTCTTCAGAAACACAGGAGAGAAGATTTATTTTACATCATCAACATTGCAAGATTTCAGAATGCACAGTATTAAACTTGGCCTTGGGGTGAGAGGGAGGAGGACGGGGAGGGATAAAATTGCAGCTTTCAAGGGATCACAGGTTGAGATTAAACCTGCACACAGGAAACAACCAGAAAACAACTCCAAACCATGAATCAAGCCATGTGCAACGTAGGACATCTAGTTCCACAAAGTGATGGGGGGATGAGCACAGGGTTCAAGTCTGATCATTGGCAGAAGCCTAGTCATAATAGGGTTGCCTGCCATTCACTGAGTTTCACCCAGCTGGTACTAAGCCCTTGCATAGATGAGACCATCATTATTCAACAGCCCAATGAAATAGGTACTTAGCCGTCCCATTTTACAGATAAGAAACTGAGGCTAATAGAGGTGTAGCAACTTACTCAAGAAAGTTAAGTTGCAAAGTCGGAATTTGATCCCAGTGCTAACCTTGAAGCCCTGTTTGTAACCCCTATGGCACGCCACTTCTCTTTACATAAAGAAGAATTTTGATCTGAACTTTGCAAGAGAAAAGACTGGTTGGAAAAAAAAACAGAGGGCTGCTCTGAGGAAGAATAGTATGTAGAGGAAATGGCATTTTCAAAGGCTCAAGAGCGCTAACAGGCCAGATGAGAGAAAAATGTTTGAAAAGATCAAATGTTCAGCCTTCCAGGCACTCAAAGAAGAAGATAAATGAAAATGGGTCTCCCAGGTGGGCACAGTGTTTGGTGTGTGTGTGTGGTGGGGGATGGGAACTGGAGACTACTCATTGAGAACTGCACTGGGCTGGATATTTGGTTATTTGTGAAGACTTCAGAAAACAAACTAAGCTAGGCTGATATAAACCACAGGGCAGTCAAGCTTGCTTCTCAACTCAGAGTAACCCAGTCTCCCCTCCATCAAGGCCAATGACTCTGACAAAGGAAACATGGGTAAGGAGACCTGAAGGTGAGAAACCAAGAAACATAACACCTGCCCCTGCCACCCCTACCACCACCAAAGCTCCAAGAAACAATGTGGGAGCCACATGCAGGCAGTTTCTGCAGCACTGGAGGGATTGCTCTAGCTTGTACTTTATGATTTAGATTAAATCTACTTTAATACTCAGAGTCATTCTGTCCTCCTAGGCCTCTGAGTCTGTGATGGGAGGGGCTGCCACAAAGGTCTCTGAAATGCCTTCAAGGCCTTTTCCCCATTTTCTTGGCCATTAGCACTTGGCTCCTTTTTACTTATGCAAATTTCTGCAGCCTGCTTGAATTCCTTCCCTGAAAACGGGCTCTTCTTTTCTACCACATAGCTGGCTGCAAATTCTCCAAACTTTTACGCTCTGCTTCCCCTGTAAATATAAGTTCCAACTTAACATAATTTCTTTGCTCACAAATATGAGCATAGGTTGTTGAAAGCAGCCAGGGCGCATCTTGAATGCTTTGCTGCTTAGAAATTTTTTCTGCCAGATACCCTAAAATCATCACTCTCAAGTTCAAACTTCCACAGGTCCCTAGGCCAGGAGCACAATGCAGCCAAGTTCTTTGCTAAAGCATAACAAAAGTGACCTTTGCTCCAGTTCCCAGTAAGTTCCTCATTTCCATCACCTCCTCAGCCTGGCCTTCACTGTCCATATCACTACTGGCATTTTGGTCACAACCATACAACCAGTCTCTAGAAAATTCTAAACTTTCCCTAAAGAAAACAGGTTTACAAAAACTGCATGTTCTCACTTATAAGTGGGAGCTAAATCATGAGAACACATGGACATGTGGAGGGTAACAATACACACTGAGGCCTATCAGAGGGTGCAGGGTGGGAGGAGGGAGAGGATCAGGAAAAATAACTAATGGATACTAGACTTAATATCTAGGTGATGAAATAATCTGCATAACAAACCCCATGACGCATGTTTACCTATGGAACGAACCTGCACATCCTGCACATGTACCCCTGAACTTAAAATAAAAGTGTTTTTAAAAAGAGGTTTAATTGGCTCATGGTTCTGCAGGCTGTATGAGAAGTGTAGTAGATTCTGCTTCTGGAGAGCCCTCAGGAAGCTTCCTCTCATGGCAAAAAGCAAAGGGGGAGCGAGGCATCTCCCATGGTGGGAGCTGGCGCAAGAGGGGTCAGGGAGATGCTGCACACTTTTAAACAACCAGAACTCATGAGAACTCACTCACTATCATGAGAACAGCACCAAGAGAATGGTGCTAAACCATTCATGAGAAATCTACCCCCATGATCCAATCACCTCCCACCAGCATTGGGGATTACATTTCAACACGAAATTTGGTGGGGTCTCAGATCCAAACCATATCACAGAATTTTAGATCTAAAAGAAATTTCAAGTACCATTTAGTCACCAGCACCACGACCATAGCCAGCTGTCCCAGCCACACAAGCCCTGCCCCATCATGCTCCCTCCTCCCCCTAGCCATGTTAGATTGTAACTGGACTGAGTCCAGGCTAGGCTGTAGCTCAGAACCTCCAAGGAGGGGAACTCCACACAACCTCCATTCTGATGTTAACATCATCTATGACCATTTCTTTTAAATGCTGTGGTTTAAACTAATTTTTTTATTTTTCCAATCTGCAAAAGATAGAGAATGGCTCTGATATGGTTTGGCTGTGCTCCACCTAAAATCTCATCTTCAATTTTAATCTGAATTATAATCCCCACATGTTGGGGGAGGGACCTCAAGGGAGGTGATTCGATTGTGGGAGTGTTTTCCCTATGCTTTTCTCATGACAGTGAGTGAGTTCTCATGAGATCTAATGGTTTTATAAGGAGTTTTTCCCTCTTTGGCTCTGTACTTCTCTCTTCTGCCACCTTGTGCAGAAGGACATGTTTGCTTCCCCTTCCACCATGATTGAAAGTTTCCTGAGGCTTCCCCAGCCATGTGGAATTGTGAGTCAATTAAACCTCTTTCCTTTATAAATTACTCAGTCTTGGGCAGTTCTTTATAGCACCATGAGAATGGCCTAATACAGGCTCTCACCTTTAAATCTTTAAGTTTAGTGCTTTTTATAAGATAGACACCCACCAGGCATGATGACTCAGACCTATAATCCCAGCACTTTGGGATGCCGAGATGGGAGGATCACTTGAAGCCAGGAGTTCAAGACCAGCCTGGTCAACATAGCGAAACCCCATCTCTATTATTTAAAAGAAAAGGGGAAAAAAAGGTAGACACCAATTACTAAAAGTGGTTATCTCTAGGACACAAGATAATGGAAGATTTTCTATTCTTTTACATTATTGTATTTTTAACCCATATGTATTCTTTCCACATGTATTAATTAAGAAGCATATTTTTAAAGTTCTTCATGGAGCATTATTTAATTACCTCCTTCCCTCTTTTCTCCAGGCCACATCCTTCTAGTTTTATTCAAAGATTGATAACTCAGTTTTCTCTGTGGGTCAGACAAGTGACAAAGAAGCGAGATGGAGGAAGTGTAAGGATGTGCAGGTGACCAGGACCCTGGTAAACAGCAGGGAGCATGCCTGGCCAAGAGGCACTCAAATCCCAAACTGGGCTATAGGCCACCAGGCTGCAAACCTCCCCCATGAGTGCTTTTCTCCATTCTATAATTCCTGGTTCTTCAAGCTTTCTAAATTAGTGTGCGGAGCCCCAAAAGAGAACACCTTCATTTTGGTGAGCCAGAGGCATGCCATTTCCTGTTGCATCAGTGGTAACTTTGGTCTTATGACAAGCACTCACTAGCATGCAGGATTTGTACCGGCAAAAGGCTGATCAATCTCCTAAGTCCTATGAGAGGCCACAGGAGAAGATTCCCCTCTTCTTGGAGCAAAGATCCCAGGAAAACGGTGATTCACAGACCTCACTCAGCATTAACTAGGGTGCCATGGCAACAGGGCTCCACATCCGGAGCAGATGGTGCGGCAGACTGCCCCTGTCATGCGCTGCCTCTTCTGGAAGTTCTGGCCACCTCACCAAGCAGGCTTGTTTCTGTCCAGCTGGCACAGAGTAACACCTGGTAACTATTTACATGGGTCAAAATATACCCAGAGCCAGCAGATGGCAGGGCCAGACTGAGACGTGGGGAGAGAGGAGGGCTGATTTGGGCTGTCTCAGAGGCAGAGGTGGCAGACAGCTCCTTAGGGAGCACAGACAAGGCAAAACATCGCTCCTGTTGCTGCCTGGTGTCTCAGCACAGCTAGGAGGATGGGAAAGGATCCAGCATGAGCAAAGCTGAAATGATCACAGGCTGATCCTCAGACACTGAGATGAAACAGCATTGGACAAACTTGGTCCCCCTCCCATAGTGCAGGCAGTAGATGCTCCCAGCCCAAGGGACCTGTTGGCACCAGCCATCCTCAGCTCTTTGCTGTCTTCAGTGGGGTGGTACTGCCTGGCGAAGCTGGCAGAGGGGCCACATCAGAGACAAGCATCCCTACAACAGACAAGCAGCTCCAAAGCGCTAGGTTTAAAACCTCAACCAAGATAAGTGGAGAGATGGGGGCTCCCAGGGACAGAGCCAATGTCTTTTTCAACTTTATCCCCAGTGTGCCCCTGGGCTTGGTACACAACAGGCAACCAGAGGCATTTGTTGAGATGAATTGGAAGAGAGTGTGACGCAAATCCAACGGAATGACCTTTGCTTGTGGCTGGGTTTGGGGCGTGTGTATTTTTTTAAGGCAGGATGCCGGCTATAGAACATTTTGTGAGACATCCTGAGCCCTGACAGCACCAGTGAAATTCTGACGTAGTTAGTCCTGGGTGATAAACCGGTGTTTCATTTCCTGCTTTGGAATTCTTTCCAGTCACAAGACCCTCGGTGTCTCCAGGCCCATGGCCAAAGTTTGGAGAATTACACTCATACTCGCCCACGTGGACAGCGACATTCATTTGCCAAATGGAAGGTATTTAGGTTTGGAGTGTTTTCTTCTTCCTTCTCCCTCTTCTTAAGCTTTCACCAGGGAGGTCTTTGGAGGGTGCCATTCTGTAGTGACAAGCATCAGTCATAGGTTGACCCTGAACCTCAGCATCAGCATCTGCACCAATAATCTGGAGATCAAACTAGGCTGAAGGCCAAGGAGTTAGGAGGCACACAGGCTCCCAAAATGTGCTCTGACATTAGCACCAGGCACTTTCTAGAAAATAGTTAGAAGCTACAGGCTAGGCAGGCCAGGTGGCTCATGCCTGTAATCTCAACACTTTGGAGACCAAGTTGGGTGGATGGCTTGCGGCCAGGAGATGGAGACCAGCCTGAGCAACATAGTGAGACCCTGTCTCAACAACATTTTTTTAAAAATTAGCTGGGCGTGGTGACACATACCTGTAGTCCTAGCTTCTCAGGAGGCTGAGGCGGGAGAATCAACTGAGCCCAGGAGTTCAAGGCTGCAGTGAGCCGACTGTCCCACTGCACTCCAGCCTGAGTAACGAAGCAAGATCTTGCCTCAAAAAAAAAAAGGAAAAAAAAGCAGCAGTAGCAGCAGCTACAGGCTAGAGGAGTCAGACAAATGATTATCAGAAGAATACATTTCCTGTTTTCATTTTATTGGGAACTTCAAAGAAAAGAAAGAGAGACGGATTGGTTCCCAAGACAAGCCGTGACGTAGACTCCCAACAAGCTGGGGAATTCTGGACAGCGAAGGGGTGGACAGTGAGACTCAGCACAGCCCAAAGTCAAAGGCATTAGGGTTGTTCTGAAAATAGAGATTCAAGAAGCCCTGGAAAATGCTCTTATCCATGAGAAGAGCACAGACTGTGGGGTCCCACTTCATGGCTGATATCCAGAGCCGCAGGGCTGGCGTGTGGCTCACACAGCTGCAAGACAGGAAAGAAGCGTCAGCACAGTGCAGGGGTAGGCATCAGGAAAGGGGATGCACGTTGCTTTTTAGATTTGCAAGATATGAAGAATGAGTTTATTTGGGAAGTTATCTTAGTTATCTTATTATCAAGTGAGAATGATAACTTACTGGAGGAAAATCTTATTTTTGGAATAGTTGAATGTTTAGAAGTTGTTGCTTCTAATAATACAGTGAAATACTTTGGACTGATGGCTCTGGGAAAATAACATGTCTGTGCTTCATTTTTTTTGTTTTGTTTTTTAATATATATATATTCTAAAGCTTGAGAAACTTACATGTGCTTCACTGCTTGCCAACAAAAAGACAACCCTCTGAAACAAATATTCTTGGGTCATTCTCAGATTTTACTTTAGGAGATATAAAAAAATAAAGACAAATAATTTCTAAAACATTTTTTAAATGAATAAAACAAGGATGAAACCTTGAAGTCATGGAGCCGACAGGGCTCTTTCAAAGCTCAACCAGGATATTTAGTTCTGGGGTTTATAAAGCAATAAGCTGAAGATAATATGAATGGGTTGTCGGGAATCCAGGACTAGAAGTGAGGTTTCCTAACCTGTGACTCCATGCTCTGTCTTCAGAGGATACAGCCTTTTGTAAATTTTATGTTTGATATTGAGTTTTAAATATCCTGACAAAGAGAGCTGAAGTCGGAAGTGCAGGAGACAGTGGCTGGTTGGGCTCCAGCCCACGGGTTATGAAGGTGCAGACACAGTTCTGCTTCAGCAGGGCCGGATTTCCAAGTGCCAGAAATGTCCAGCACCCACCATGAGGGTGGCTTGGATTAGGGTGGACGTCCGCACACGTCCAGCTTCACTGAGCTTTGAAGTAACACAGCACTGCTCTGCCCAGGAGCCTACACAGCTATTTCTTCTCCTTTAATGTCCCTGCACTTCCATACTTCCATAGTGTGTCACTGCCATTTTGTTTGTATGTTCCAATATCAAGCATATATTACTACACAAATCTTTTTTATAAGGTTATTCCTATCTGGGGGAAGATTCCTCCGGGCAATGAGACATGACTAAGGTTATATGGTGTCCCCTGGGGACCCGTCAGGACCAGGTGGAGGCGTTGGGCACTGTGACTGTGACTGTGACTCTCCACTTGCTCTCAGACCGGCCATGTGGGGGCGCTGGTGAGGACAGCAGGCTCTGAAGTCTGCGGGAGGCTCCTGGGCTAGGGGTCTGATCTGCAGAAATGCGGGCAAAGTGTGGGTCTGAAGTTAGCAGTGGAAAAGCACATATGTTTTTAACAAGGAAGCACACACTGCGGTTTAGAAACCTGATTCACTTCACAGACATCCTGAAACATGTCTACAGGGGGCATGCAGACCATCTTAACCATTGTTACTCAGTGTGACTCCGGGAATTTAACACCACAATGTCAAATGTCTTACTCCAGTATCCCATACACATCCAGCCGCTCAAACCAGGGCCAGAGGAGGTAATCAATCATGGATATACAGGTTCCACCAAAGAAGGTGGTGTTCTGATACTCAAGAATCTAAAAATGGAAACAAAGCAAAAGCAAATAAGTTTATATATCTGCTGACATGTTTATAGACACTAAATGTAAATCTCAAATTAATTCCCAGAGAGGGAGAACTGAGGCCTCTCTCCTTCTCCCTCTGGTTAGGAGAATGCTTCTTCTCTTTCTCTGAGGTCTCCTCTGCCTCTTTTAGGGTCACACTCCTGGCCACCTCTGTCCCTTCCCTCCTTTCAACACTAGAGTGACAGTGTGGCTCATCTGATTGAAGAAACTGGAAGAACAACCTCTACAGAGTACCCCAGTCCCTCCCTCTTAGCCTGGAGCAGCTCCTCAATGTGCTAAGCCTTCCAAGGATAAGCTGAGCCCTGGACAGAGGAGGCTCCCCTTCAGGCCAGCACTGCCCATTACTTGAAGACAAGGTGAGCCTCAGCCTGATGTTGAAGGCTAGCATTAGGAACCCCGCTCAGGATCTCCCATTCTCCAAGATCTGCTTTATCAATAAGAAAGGGGATGCTGCCGGGCCTGGTGGCTCATGCCTGTATTCCCAGCACTTTGGGAGGCCGAGGCGGGTGGATTACCTGAGGTGGGGAGTTCGAGACCAGCCTGACCAACATGGAGAAACCCCGTCTCTACTGAAAATACAAAATTAGCTGGGCATCATGGCACGTGGCTGTAACCCCAGCTACTGGGGAAGCTGAGGCAAGAGAATTGCTTGAACCCGCGAGGCGGAGGTTGTGGTGAGCCAAGATTGTGCCATTGCACTCCAGCCTGGCCAAGAAGAGCAAAAAGTAAAAAAGAAAAAAAGAAAAAAGAAAAGAAAAAGAAAAAAAGAAAGGGGATGCTCTAATCTCCATGCCTTATTATTTTATCTTCTCAATTAATTCAAAACTAAGGCAGGAAAGAGCATCCTATTTAACAGGCCCCCTCAAATTCCAACCTGTGTTCTTCTTCTTCTTTTTTTTTTTTTTTTTTTTTTTTTAGATAGGGTCTTGCTCTGTCACTCAGGCTGGAGTCCAGTAGATCGATCACAGCTCACTGCAGCCTCAACCTCCCGGGCTCAAGCAATCCTTCCACCTCAGCCTCCCAAGTAGCTGGGATTACCCCTGGCTGATTTTTACATTTTTTTTGTAGAGATGGGGTCTTGGGGTCTTGCCATGTTGCCCAGGGGTCTCAAACTCCTGAGCTCAAGGGATCCTCCTGTCTTGGCCTCCCACAGTGCCGGAAATACAGGTGTGAGCCACTGCACCCGGCCCCCAACTCTGTGTTTCTATCACACTTTTTTTTTCATTTGAGCTTTTCAAACTTCACATTTGTTGGCCACTCAACACTATTACTTAATGCATTAAAATAAAATTTCTCATTCCCAAATGAGACAAATCAACCCGGAGGGACTGTAAATCAGATGGACTGTAAAGAAAACAAACTCTCAACAGACAGGCAGCCAAAGACAGCCCCAAAAAAGTACCTGCAAATTTAAAAAAGCGAAAGTGTTTAGCAGAGGTTATTGTTGGTACAGGTCTTCCCAAAGAGAAAAGTATGGCACGAATTACCTGCTTCAATCAAGCAAGCTACTCATTTTGACCTATATAACTCATAATCAACTCAATACTTCCCTATAGCTATAGATCTTGATTGCTGGGCCCAGGTGAGTTGTGGAAATAAGCTATACTCGTGTTTTCATCTGGAAATATCAGGGTTCTGGTGAGGGACAGAGGGCAAAAGGACCAGAATCAAACTGTGGATTAGGGTCCCGGGGCAGGGATGGCACTGGCAGCCAGGAGACACCCAGGCTTGCTTCTTCACATGCCAGGCCAGCTTGTTGACTCTGCTGTGGGGTGATTCAGAGTTGTAGGTAAGGATGTGAGCTTGGGAACCAGCAGACTTGGTCCTGTGCTGTGTGCTGAGCTTGACCTCTGATTCAGCATGGAACCTGGGGCAACTTACCTCCCCTGCAAGCCTCCATGTTCTCATCTGCAAAATGGTGGTCATGTTAGCACGCACCACGGAGGTTATGGTGAGGAGTAAAATCACCATGTATGAAGAACACTCTGGCCCCACTGAGTAAATATGAGCTCCTGTGATGAGTGGGAACACAGGCCCCTGAAGGTGACACCCACAGAAAGCAAATCCATCCCTGATAGAAAGGATCAATGGGCTCCTCCACCTGCCACCCCTTCTCAGAGGGGTTGCCCTAAAGCCTACACCTTCACACCTCCCAGTGTGGCATAGAGAAGTCCCCCTGATCATTGTCCTGGAAGTCTGAAAAAACATGTTAGGTGGCATTACCTTGTTCAAGGAAGCTAACAGGATGGCACTAAAACAGCAGGGTCTGACCAGTGAAAACTCAAAACAGAAGCTATTTATAGCCAGGTATGAATAAAATTTGGTTAGAGGGGAAAGGAACAAATCATTCCATTTTTATGGATTCCAGAAGGCTCCAGACTTTATGTTCAGGAATAGATGATCACTACTCAAACTCTTACCACTGGCTTTGAAATGTGTGCCTCCAGTTTGTTATTGGGCTTCACGGCACAAATCAGAACCAAATTTACACCAAGCGACTCTGGAACATCTACACAGCTCTTCTGCTTTACAGAACAGAGGTGTTCTTGGAAAAGTCTTTGTCAAAACAAACCATAAATAGACATTTAATGGAACCCATGGTGGGTCCTTTGGTAAAGTGAGGAGGGAATTTTTAATTAGTAACTGATGTTTATTTAGTGTATATCTCTAAAGCTTTCCATTTACTCAAAGTAGGAGCATGCCTCTAAATATACATGATCTGATGGACACTATCAATTTATATATAAACGCTCATAAAATAACCCAAGCCTTATCAAGGTACTCGGCACAATAAAAAGCTGAGATGAGCATTAGGAATAAATGGATCGGTGATCCTTCACCAGTCCCCCGCTCAGCAAATGCACATACACATTTCCCTCACATTTTCCAAATATGTCTTGAAACCACCCACATCAAAACTACTTGCATTTCCTAATACAGCTGCAGATTATTGAGCCCCATCCCAGACAGGTATTTTTCCACCAATTTCAAGCAGGGTAAGTCTAAAATCCCAACAGAAAAGCTGTCTTTCCCTAAACTAGCACAAAGTGCTCACTCCTTTACAGACGTAGGAGAACATCCTGGACAGGCCTCCCTGGAGGTCTGCTGAAGTCCTCAGGACTCTCGATAGGAGAGTTCCCTTCTGTGCAAACCTGGAACCTTCCAGACATGTAAAATTACTTTTTCCCCTTAAGAATCCTGGAAAATTGGGACTGGAAGGACCCCTGAAACTCATCTAAGTGGGACCTCCTCATTTCACCATTTATTTCTACCATGATCATTACACAAAGGATTAGAAGTGTAGTGTAAAAATGTGCACTACATACTAAATATGAAAAATAATAAAATGCTATAATCAGGGAAAACGCAAGTTGGAACAGAAGGTCAAAAACCAGGAAGGAAAACAGTATCAAGATATCACGTCCTGGGTCCTGCAGAGTTCCTTCAATAAAGCCTTGAATTTGACTCTTGAGTTTCCTGGCAGCCAAAGGGGAGAGGAAAACATGCTGGTGATGTGATTCTTGTCTCCCATGGGGAAGGACAGGGGAGCCTTGCTGTGCAGAGGAGGAAACCCAGTCCCAGGGAGGTTAACGGGCTCTCCGGTTTGCACTGGAACTAACACGCATATCACATTTTCCTAATTCTCTGACTAGTGTCAACCCTGTGTCATTCAATTCAAATATGTATTTTTAGACTCTAATGAAAAGCTTCCTTAAATTGCTTGAGCCAAGGAGTTTGAGACCAGCCTGAGAAACACGGTGAAACCCCGTCTCTACAAACAATACGAAAATTAGCTGGACGTGGTGGTGGCACCTGTAGTCCTAGTGATGCCTGTAGTCCTAGCTACTAAGGAGGCTGAGGTGGAAGGATCACTTGAGGCTGGGAGGTCAAGGCTGCACTAAGCTGTGAACATGCCACTGCACTCTAGAGAAAGACCTTGTCGCAAAAAAAAAAAAAAAAAAAAAATTGGCCAGGCGCAGTGGCTCATGCCTGTAATCACAGCAATTTGGGAGGCCGAAGTGGGCAGATCACTTGAGCCCAGAAGTTTGAGACCAACCTGGGCAACAGGGTGAGACCCCATCTTAAAATAAATAAATAAACAGAACAAAATAAAAATAAAAAAGCTTCCTCAAGTCTCTTGTGAATTCTTTTCTGTAAGAATGAAAAAGAATACCATGACTTGATATCTTGATACGGTTTTCCTTCCTGTTTCTTGACCTTCTGTTCCAGCTTTAAATTTAAGTAACAGAAAAAAGCTTGGAACCAGCAAACTCTGAAAGCTCCTCCTTCTCTACAGCCAAGGATTGGTTCGGCTCTGAGCTTCTCTGTGAAAAGAATTTCCTCCTTAGTCTCACCTTTTCATGCTCTCTGAATCAGAAGCTCAAGCCAAAGCAACTGACAGAGGGATGAGACATTCCAACATAGTCATTATGAAAGAGCTTATCAGAATTCTGTCCTTCCTGTTTTATTCCACTGATGAGCAGATCTTCAGGCAACTTTACTAAAATAGTTCTTTCTTGTACTCAATTTAAAACAAGTCCCTTGCATTTACCCCTCTGAAAAAATTTTAGGATAGAGGCAGAGGCAAAATAAACTGACAGACTTAACATCCAATGTCTTGTCTTTCTTAAGTGTTTTATCATCAGAAATGGAATGAAAAATGGGTGTTAGATCTAGATCCACTTAGCAGTAGTTATGTTAATATCCAATCCATCCTTTTAAAGAATTCTATGTTGAGTTCTTCCACCTGATTATATATCACATATAAAGATACAGCCAGGCATGGTGGCTCATGCCTGTAATCCCAGCACTTTGGGAGGCTGAGGTGGACAGACTGCTTGAGCCCAGGAGTTCGAGACTAGCGTGGGCAACATAGCAAAACCCTGTCTCTACAAAAAAACTAACTGGGCATTGTGGTCTGTGCCTGCAGTCCCAGCTACTTGGGAGGCTGAGGTGGGAGGACCACCTGAGCCTGGGAGGTAGAGGCTGAAGTGAGCAGTGATCACGCCACTGCACTCCAGCCTAGGTGACAGAGTGAGATCCTGTCTCAAAAAAAAAAAAAAGATATTGGTGGTCAGACACTGTGCCTTACGCCTGTAATCCCAGTGCTTTGGAAGGTCAAAGTGGAAGGATCTCTTGAGGCCAGGAGTTCGAGACCAGCCTAGAGCACATAGTGAGACCGTGTCTACAAAAAATAAAAAAAGTTAGCTGGGTGTAGTGGTGCCCAGGAGTTCGAGGCTGTAGTGAGCTATGATCACATCACTGCCCTCCAGCCTGGGCAACAAACACAGCAAGACCCCCTCTCAAAAGACAAAAAAAAAAAAAAAAGATATTGGCCATTCTTAATGTTGAATAGCTTCCCTCACAATGGCATCCCTCACTTTCAGAACCCCTGTCTTTTGTATGAACAAGCAAAGCAAAATAGCCTACTTAGAAAGTGTTTTTCTTCAAAAACCCCAGATATCCCCTATAAGGCTTCTACAAATGGCAGGGGAGGGAACTGAGGCTCTAGCTTCTAGGCCTCAGATTTTCTGAAAACATTGACACATTTTCAATTCAGGCTTAAGAGTTCAAGAGGTTTGTTGGAGACTTTAGTACAATAGAAGAGCTCCTTTCTAATGCAAACATGGTACCTTCCAGACATGTAAAATTACTTCCCCTTTAGTATGCTAGATACTTTGCAGAAAGGTGTTTGACCTTCTGGAATATTAGAAAAATCTATTTTAAAATTTTCTGTTCTCCAGTTCACTGAAAAATAAGACTACGGACGCGATGCAAATGAAGAGGAAGGGACTGCTTGGTAGGATGGGGATGCACTGTTCCCAAGCCCTGCACGCGAGAAGCCTGGCTGGAAAGGCACCTCATCTTCTGCGAGGGCCCCTCGGGCGCCCCCAGAGGGACGAAGGAGAACGTCAGCGTTTTGAAGTGCGCCCTGGAACACAAGGGGAAGGAGGAAGCGCGCGGGGCTCCCCCTGGTGGCCATCAGTGCGAGGCGCGTCGGCCGCGGCTCCCCAAGAACGTTCAACCGGAGGATGAAGAAATCTGCAGTTTTCGCGAGAGAAGCAAGATCATTAGGAGAAGCGAATCCCAGACATCTCCAAACCAGGCATTCGAGAGAGCTCCAGTCTTCAACTCTTTGGTTCAGCCTCAATAATTGAGCTTCAAACCTTGAAGAGGCCAGCTCACCTTCACCATCCTCTACACCATTGCCAAGAAATCCCAAGCCCCCAATCTCGAAACAGTGTGGTGGCTCCCAGTGGGGGCTGCTGTACTTGCTGGAGGAGGAAGAAAGTTTTTCCTCATGAAAATCGTTCTGAAAATGCAGAGGTCATCCCCTACTCTCTGCCCCCCAAAAAAGCAGAAGCCATCCTCCACCCTCTGTGGCCCCTAAAAAGACACAAAGCAACATGCCAGTACATCAGCAATACTGGCCCTTTTCCAGAAGCAGTGGAAAAGTACTCAACTCCAGGGCAGAAATCTTTTATTAATTTTATTTTTCGTGGGCACATAGTAGGTGTATATATTTATGGGGTACATATTTTGGTCCAGGCATGCAGTATGCAATAAGCACATCATGGAGAATGGGGTATCCACTCCCCCAAGCATTTATCCTTTCAATTACAAACAACCCAATTACACTGTTTAAGTTATTTTTAAATGTGCAATTAAGTTATTATTTACTATAGTCACCATGTGGTGCTATCAGATAGTAGGTCTTATTCATTCTTTCTGTTTTTTGTACCCATTAACCATCCCCACCTCCCTGCCAGCTCACACTACCCTTCCTAGCCTCTGCAAACTATCCTTCTACTCTCTGTGTTCATGAGTTCAATTGTTTTGATTTTTAGATTCCACAAATAAGTGAGAACATGTGATGTTTGTCTTTCTGTGCCTGGCTTGTTTCACTTAACATGATCTCCAGTTCCATCCATGTTGCTGCAAATGACAGGATCTCATTCTTTTCATGGCCAAATAGTACTCCATTGTGTATATGTACTATATTTTCTTTTTTCTTTTTTTTTTTTGAGACAGAGTGTGACTCTGTCACCCAAGTTGGAGTGCAGTGGTGTGATCTCAGCTCACTGCAACCTCTGCCTCCCAGATTCAAGCAATTCTCCTGCCTCAGCCTCCTGAGTAGCTGGGATTCCAGGCATGCACTACCATGCCAGCTAATTTTTGTATTTTCAGTAGAGACAGGGTTTCACCATGTTGGCCAGGCTGGTCTCGAACTCCTGACCTTAAGTGATCCGCTAGCCTTGGCCTCCCAAAGTACTGGGATTACAGGAGTGAGCCACCACACCCGGCCTGTATCACATTTTCTTTATCCATTCCTTATTCGTGCACACTTAGGTTGCTTTCAAATCTTAGCTATTGTAAACAGTGCTGCAACAAACATAAGGGTCCAGGTATCTCTTTGATATACTGATTTCCTTTCTTTTGGGTGTGTACCCAGCAGTGGGATTGCTGGATCATATGGTAGCTCAATTTTTAGTGTTTTGAGGAACCTCCAAACTGTTCTCCACAATGGTTATACTAATTAACATTCCCGCCCCAGTGAACGAGGGTTCCCTTTTCTCCACATCCTCACCAGTATTCGTTATTGCCTGTCTTTTGGATGTAAGCCATTTTAACTGGGGTGAGATGATATCTCATTGTAGTTTTGATTTGCCTTTCTCTGATGATCAATGATGCTGAGCACCTTTTCATATGTCTGTTTGCCATTTGTGTGTCTTCTTTTGAGAAATGTCTATTCAAGTCTTTTGGAGGGCAGAAATGTTTTGAGCTCATAAAAGATAAATGGAGGTTCTTAAGATTTCAAATCTCAGATCCCTGCTAAAATGATATAGCTGAGGCTGAGCTAACCATGTGATGACCCAGTTCCCTGTAAAACAAACCTAGGGTGTGGAACAAACCTAGGGCATATTTAAGACCATTTTCTCCTCTGGGAAGGAGCCTTAGAGGGAGGACCTGCAGCAGAACATGCCCCTCCTGCTGCCCATCAGTTATGACCTAGATTCTCCATGAAGGTGCAGAATACAACTGTCAAAATTTGGGGATTAAAGGACCACTCTGAAAATTCTATGCTGGCATCCTTTTAATGAGCTTAATTCGTATCTTCAAAATATATTTGTAGGGCTGGGTGTGGTGGCTCACACCTTTTATCCTAGTACTTTGGGAGACCAAGGTGGAAGGATCGCTTCAGCCCAGAAGTTCGAGACCAGTCTGGGCAACATGGCAAAATCCCATCTCTACAAAAAATACACAAAATTAGCCAGGCATAGTGGTGCCTGTAGTCCTAGACACTCAGGAGGCTAAGGTAGGAAGATCACCTGAGCCTGAGAGGTCGAGGCTGCAGTGAGCCATGATCATGCCACTGCACTCCAGCCTGAGTGACAGAGTGAGACCCTGTCTCAAAAACAAAAAACAAAAACTAAAACAAATCACAATATATTTGTAAGATAGTGTGGGGGGAAAAGCTAGGAGGGTAATGCTTGACCAGTCAAATGTCTGTAAAGTGATTGGTGGTAGATGAAAATATAAATGAATATTTATCAAGTCTCTGAAGTGGGGAGAGGACTTCCTACACATAAAACAGTGGAGGAAATCATAGCACATATAAGGAAAGCCTTATAGCACAATACTTTCAAATGCTGTACTTCCATATGCAAAAATATATAAGCCAAATTAAAAGTCAAAAGAAAACAAAAATGTGTTTTAAAACCAGTCAAATATCTTTTCTATACAAGGAACGCTTTAAAAGGAACTTTTACAAATCAACAAAGAAAATTAGTAAGACTCTGATGGCCAGATAGGCAAAGCCCCTGAACTGAACAGACAAATTTTGCAAGACCAGGAGCAAGGGATGACATACTTCCGGGAAAACCTTCCACTTCCCTGGCCATCAAAGAAATATGCATTAAGTCAACAATGAGGAACTACAGTGTATCTCCACAGCAAATATTATTCAACAAACAAATATCTTTTTGAATGAAGTCTCCCACCAGTGAAAAGGATATAGGGCAAAGAGCATTTTCACATACTGCTGGTGAGGGGCAAACAACACAAGTCTTTTGGGAAGCAATTTAGTGAAATACAGTCCAAGCCTCCAATGTGCTCATTATACCCTTTGATCTGGTAATTCCATTCCTGAGAGTCCAGCTTAAGAACATATTCTAAAATAGAGAAAATGCTTTTTATGCAAAGAAGCTGATGTTCCCTGCAGCACCATTCAAAACAGTAAAGGACTGAAAACCATCTAAACACTCCTAATTAGTGTGCTGGATAAATAACTTTATGGTTTATAAACATGGCAAAGTATGCAGACATTAAAAGTGTTTTCGGCCGGGTGAGGTGGCTCACGCCTGTAATCCCAGCACTTTGGGAGGCCGAGGCAGATGGATCACAAGGTCAGGAGATGGAGACCATCCTGGCTAACACAGTGAAACCCCATCTCTACTAAAAATACAAAAAGAAATTAGCCGGGCGTGGTGGCGGGTGCCTGTAGTCCCAGCTACTTGGGAGGCTGAGGCAGGAGAATGGCATGAACCTGGGAGGTGGAGCTCGCAGTGAGCCGAGATAGCACCACTACACTCCAGCCTGGGCGACAGAGCGAGACTCCGTCCCAAAAAAAAAAAAAAAAAAGTGTTTTTTTCTACTTTTAAAACTTACATATTTAATACAGAAATACATTCCCATCATTAAAAAAAAAATCAAACACAGAAAATAATGTAAAAGACAAAATCTTCCCTCCCGGTCCCTGCCCTTAACCACTTTTCTTACCCACCCTAATTCTAATCAGCCCCCTTCCCAGTGTGAGACATTACTAGGAGGTGGATGTGTTTCTCTCTAGATACTTTTCTAGCCACTTATTTACATGTATGTGCACACCTGCATGGTTCAGTTTTGTTTTCTTCTGCTAAAATGGGATCATACCACCTGTATTACTGTGTGATTCATTTAATATTTCTAGGCAATCTTTTAATGTCAGTACACATAGATTTACCTCATTCATTTTCAGCCGTTCCACAGAATTCCACAAGACAGACATGATTTACTTAACCACTCACCATCTAATGAATATTGTTTCCTAATTTGTCATCATCACAAATAATGCTGCTGCTCTAAGGAACACTCTTATATATGTAAATAAGCATTTACAGAGTTTATAAAAATTGGCCAGGTGTGGTGGCTCACACCTGTAATGCCAACATTTTGGAAGGCAAAGACAAGTGGGTCACTTGAGCCCAGGAGTTCGACACCAGCCTGGGCAACAGAGGGAGACCCTGTCTCTACAAAAGTTAAAAAGAAAACTAGCTAGGCATGGTGGCACATGCCTGTAGTCCCAGCTACTCAGGAGACTGAGTTGGGAGGCTCCCTTGAGCTCAGGAGTTCAAGGTTGCAGTGAGGCGTGATTGCACCCTGCATTCCAGCCTGGGCAACAGAGTAAAACCCTGTCTCAAAATAAAATGGCAGGGGGTGTGGGGAATATTTACATCATAATAGTAACCAAGTTTCAACTACATAAAATATACATAGCAGAAAAGGACAGAAAACAAAAACAAAAAAGTCCCCAAGATAATAACAGTGGTTGTTTCTGGGTAGTGGGATTATAATTTTTTTTCCTTAGTTTCTATGTTTTCCTGTATTTTCCAAATTCTCTCTAATGAACAAGTATTACTTTATAATTGGAGAAGAGTAAAATTAATTTTTAAATAATAAGAATAATTATTATTCTATTATTTATGTGATGGGAAAGGGTATATCAGAAAGCTATTGAAAGAAGTACAGCAAATATTAGCAGCTGTCAGAATTGGATGATGAAGGAAGTAACCCAACTAGCAACAGCACTAATACACTTAACGAGGCATCCTGAGTCAGGGATAATCAGTTCCCAAGTGTGAAAGAATGGTGGTTACAACTAAAATGGCATGTTAGTAAACATGCTAAATCAGCTAGCAAATCCAAGAGAAATAACAACGTATATTCATGCAAAAACCTGCATGGTGTTCACAGCAACATTATCCATATTAGTTCCAAGAGTGGAACCTTCCCAGATGTGGATAAACAAAATGTGCGTATTCACACATGGAATATTATTTAGCCATAAAAAAGAATGAAGGATGAACCTTAAGAACATTATGGTATGTGAAAATAGCTCATGAAATGCTACATGTTGTATGATTCCACTTATATGAAGTGTCTAGAATAAGTCAATCCATAGAGACAGAAAGCAGATCAGTGGCTGCGTACAGCCACAGGGATTGAGAAGAAATGGAAAATGACAGCTTACAAGTGAGCAGTTTTTCTGGGGGATGATAAAAAAAACGCTCTGAAATTAAATACTGGTGATAGTTGCACAACTCACTTAATATACTAAAAGCCAGTGAATTGTACACTGGAAAAGGGTGAATTTTGTGGCATATGAATTATATCTCAATAACTTATTAAAAATAGCTAGTAATAATGAATTTAGTTTATAGACATGTTAACTTAGATGATAAAAAATTTAGCTTGTAGTCTACTATATATAAAAGGATACAGAAAATTGTTTTCAGTGACGAATTAACCAGGTATAAACTTTCTTTTCTTCCTATCCTGGTGATATCAAAGGAGAAACAATTAAACAATATATAAATAATTTCATCACTGGAAATTAATAAAAATTAAGAAAGAGCAAAAGCAAAACTAAACCAAGACAATATAATCTAACTTGAATAAATGTCTTTTTTGATGAGAAGAAAGAACAGTTTAAAAATTAAGATTACCAGGTGCAGTGGCTCATGCCTGTAATCATAGCACTTTGGGAGGCTGAAGTGGGAGAATCACTTGAGCCTAGGAGTTCAAGACCAGCCTGAGCAACATAGTGAGACCTCGTCTCCACAAAAAATTAAAACAAATAAAAACAAAAACAAAACAGTTGGGCATGGTGGCCTGAACCTGTGGTCCCAGCTACTCAGGAGGTTGAGGTGAGAGAATCACTTGAGCCCAGGAGGCTGAGGCTGCAGTGAGCCGTGATTGTGTCACTGCACTCCAATGTGGGTGACAGAGTGCGACCCTGACTCAAAAAAATAATTATAATAATAATTAAGATAACGGAGGCAGGCTCGGTGGCTTCAGCCTGTAATCCCAGCTACTCGGGAGGCTGAGGTGGAAGTACTGCTTGAGCCCAGGAGCTCAAGACGACAGTGAGCCATGACTGTGCCACTGCACTCCAACCTGGGCAATAGAGAGAGACCCCAATCTCTAAAAGAGGAAAAGAAAATAAAATAATTAAAAAATTAAGATTATGGGCAAAATTTAGAATCAATAAAGTATTTAACTACAGATGCTCCTGGGTGATGCACACATAATTTATGCAAATTCCACCTCATGCAAACTGCTACACATAAGGCACATGATCAAGTTTGGCAATGCGGGAAACTCTGCGTGGAAATGCAAAGTGAAGCACCCCAAGGCAGGTGGTTGAATGACAAGAAGCAAAACCATAAAGTGCCCTGTGGCCACGGGCAGACGAAGGCTTCAGTTGCTGGGCCATGTCTCATCCCTCAGGGCTATTTCAGCATTATTTATGTTATCCCCTCCCCGCTCTCTTTTATGGAGCTCTGATGATGACGAAGAAAGGACCAAGCAATAGTCAGAGTGCAGAACCAATTCAGAAGCCACGAACACTTTCTAGATTTAAAGCAAAACTCCAAAGCCTCAAGGAAATCTGACCAAATCCACCTTTCACTGCACTTGGACTTGATTTGACTACTTCCATAATGAAAATATTTTTGGAAGGCACAGATAAAAAGTGACACCAAGAGGTCCTGCCACATTCAAATCCACAAAGATCAAATGAAGCCTGGCTCAAGTCCCATTCTGAAATGGGAAAGTCAATACCTGAAAAAGAATAAAACTAAAAAATGTGTGCTGCTTAGAGTAATGATTCAGTAAGGGCTAGAAAATCTGCTTGAAGACATAAAGTGCAGCAAGACAAGACAAGTGTCATAGTTTTAAAACTCATGCCAATGTTCAGAACAGGAAAGCCAGTGAGCAGGCTGCTAGTTTGATAATAAAAGTGGCAGTAATATATCTCAAAGAATTGTAAAAGATATTAGAGAAAAATGTGGTTATATAACAAGCACAATAAATCTTTGATTTTGATGGAACTTAATTTTTTTTTTCTTGGAGACAAAGTCTCACTCTGTCACCCAGGCTGGAGTACAGTGGCATGATCATAGCTCACTGCAGCCTTGACCTCCTGGACTCAAGTGATCCTCCCACCTCAGCCTCCCAAGTAGCAGGGACCACGGGTATGCATCACCACATCCAACTAATTTTTGTATTTTTTGTAGAGATAAGGTTTTGCCATGTTGTACAGTCTTGTCTCGGACTCCTGGATTAAAATGATCTGCCCGCCTCGGCCTCCCAAAGTGCTGGGATTGCAGGCATGAGCCACTGAACCCACCTGAAACTAGATTTAAAAAACTAACAAGCAAACAAAAAAACAAGCCAAAAAAAAAAAAAAACTTAAAAAGTTAGACAAGGCAGTTATTTCAAAAGAAGAAAGTGTCAGAGTTTAAGGCCACAAAAGGTTAACTGAGCCTTCTGTTTCAGGATAACATAGCAGAAGATTATGCATGAAATCTTGGCTTGCTTATCACTCAGAAAGACAATGAGTATTTAATATATTTTTAGCTCACAAAAAATCCTGATTGTGCAAAACCATGTGAAAGAGTTACATAAATCAGGGGATCCTCTCCATTAGAATTATTCTGATAAATTTCAATTTCACTAGAATCTCCTGGAATAAATATTTTGGCATTTAAAGGAACAGATCGCATAATTCAAGTACATTGGTCATGTTTTCAGATTTCAATATTTCCTACATTGTAGTTATAATTCTTTGTTTATTTGTTTTTGAGACAGAGTCTTGCTGTGTCACCCAGGCTGGAGTACAGTGGCACGATCATAGCTCATTGCAAGCTCAAACTCCTGGGTTCAAAAGATGCTCCCGCCTCAGCCTCCAGAGAAGGTGGGACTACAGACCCGCACTGCCATGACCAGTTCATGTTTTAATTTTTAGTAGAAACATAGTCTCACTGTGTTGCCCAGGCTGGTCTTGAACTCCTGGCCTCAGGTGATCCTCCCTCCTTGGCCTCCCAAAGTGCCTGGATTACAAGTGTGAGCCACCACGCCCAGCCATAGCTACAATTCTTGCTAACATTCTATGGGACAAAACCACATTCAAACCTGTTAGGACAATGTGGAGTACTCAGTGGTCCTTAAATAGCATCAGTGAAAGCTACCTACACCGAGGCTGGTTAGTGAAAGCTACCTATATAGAGGCTGGTTAACAACAGTGTTCCTGGGGCTCAGTTATTGAAGATAAAGTGAAATTTCTTATTCAGTGACATGCTGGAGCTGCCCACATCTTTTGCCAGCTCTTGAGTTTAGAAATAGCACATTGGTAGCTCAAAATTAACCTTGACGGAAGTGTTTACACCACCCAAATCAGCAAATGCTATAAATCCGTGCTTTTTCTTTTTCTTTCTCTTTTAAGAGAAAATTGATTCTTAAACATTTATCACCACCCCACTAATGACATTCCTAAACTCTCTGGTGAAAGCTCCTAGCCCATAAAACCATTCCAAAGGTCCAGTAGAGACCATACATTGTTCTTCTAAGCTCTGCCCGCATATGAATATCCCATCAACACCACAAATTTGACAAAATGTGTCTTCCCTCAAACTCTTAGTGAAAAGCATCACATTTACCGGCCACAAACTTGGAAACCATCCTCCATAACTCCTACTCCTTCCTCAGATTTCATCTCATCTTAGTTCCTCAAAATCTCTCTAATTAAACCTCCCTCTCCAACCCTCGTTAGTGGGGTCCTCTTTGTCCCTTCCCAGTCCCTCCTCTTGGACACTCTAATCCATCCTCTACATTCTTGCTGGGCTGAACTTCTTCTTCTTCTTTTTTTTTTTTTTTGAGATAGGGTTTCACTGTG
The DNA here is from genome assembly GCF_000001405.40 of Homo sapiens. NCBI lineage: Eukaryota > Metazoa > Chordata > Mammalia > Primates > Hominidae > Homo > Homo sapiens. Next base: position 104,282,534 of record NC_000010.11, on the reverse strand, counting down.
TTGTCCAGGCTGGAGTGCAGTGGTGCAATTATAGCTCACTGCAGCTTCAACCTCCTAGGCTCCAGTGATCCTCTCATCTCAGCCTCCCAAGTACCTAGGACTACAGGCATAAGCCACCATGCCAAGCTAACATTTTGTATTTTTTAAAGAGATGGAGGTTTGCCATGTTGACCAGGGTGTTCTCAAACTTCTGGGCTCAAGCGATCCTACCGTCTTGGCTTCTCAAAGTGCTGGGATTACAGACATGAGCCACTGTGCTCAGCTGGGCTGAATACTTTTTCTTTTCTTTTCTTTTTTTTTTTTTTTTTTGAAACAGAGTCTCACTCTGTTGCCCAGGCTGGAGTGCAGTGGCGCAGTCTTGGCTCACAGCAACCTCCCCCTCCTGGGTTCAAGTGATGGACTGAATACTTTTAAAAGCATGAAGGAGTACACCACTCTCCTGCTTGACAGGCTTCAATTACTCACCATCAACTCTGAAATAAAGTGCAAATCCCTGGGCACAGTGGAAAAGGCCTTTTAGCATCTGACTCTGGTCCACCCTCCACATTCACCTCTTACCAATCACTCCCTCGCTGTCAACCCCTCACTGATTATTGTTTGCCGAACACACCAGGCTCTCACCCTTGTGCCTCTAATTCATCCTAAGAGTCAACAGAGGCATTATCTACCCCCACAGACCAGCCTTCTTGTATGCATGTCTCCAGCCTAGCACTCAACACACCCAGGTTTTAAATGGGCTTAACAGCCTATCTCCCTGTCCAGGCTTTGAGCCCCTCGAGGGTCTTTAATTTCTTTTTATTCCTAGTACCTAGTTCTGAGCCTTTACAGAGAGGCCACTCCAATTTGCAAAACAGGACTAGTACCATTTGTACCTGAGAAGGTTGTTGGAAAGATTGAATGAGATGATGTATGCAAGTATCTGCAGCACGATTCATGGCACAAAATACTGGTTCATTTGCCCTGGAAAAGACCCCCGACTGAAGAAGAACTGTATCTCCATCATAACCCTATACTTTCATCTAGCAATCTGTAATTTAAAAAGTTCATCCATCATCCAAATGGAGGTAGAAGGGAAACTGATGAAAATGTTTCAATTACTGTATCGTTGAATTCAAAGAGTTTTTTTTTTCCCAGCTCCTTTCCCTGGTCCAGTATTTGTTTATCTGTGAGAAGGTAACCAGGCATGATGGGGTCCATTCAGCTGATCTTTAAAATAGACTATAAATTCTCTATTCACAAGATTTTCGAACTTCTTTTTTAAAGCAGCAGCTCTCCTCTCTCCCCAAATGCCATCTTCTTAGATGTCAGGTTGAACATGGTGGTTGAAGGCAGTGCTGACCTAAGTAAAGCAGTGTCTAGAACAATCTACCAGGCCTCCACTCACTGGGCAGTCCCCTGCAGAACCCAGAGGCTCTGAGGAACACACATTTCAAAATAATCCCTCATTTTACACATGGGAAAACCAAGGCCCAGAGAGGTACAGAACATTGCCCAAGGTTCTGGAATTCAGTAAAGCCAAGCCTAAGATCCAAGATTCTTTCCACCACATCATATGGCCTCCTTGGAGTCAAGGCCACAGTTGGTGACCTCAGGACAAAAGGTTGACATTTCCTACACATGACCATTCGTCATCCATAAATACTTAATCGTACAAATTTGAGATAGGCAACTGGAAATATCAATACATTTAATCTGTTTCCACTTGATAAAGGTCAAATGGAAGAGTATTAATAACCAGTCTTCCCTTAAGGGGAAAAAAATTGTATTCTCTGGCTGCCAATAGAGGAACCACCCACCCATAAGGTGAATTTGTCAGTTTCTGGAGCAAAAATAAAGGAAGTAAAAGAACTGCCTTCCTGATTATTCTAGAAGTACAGGATAAGTAGCTCCATTACTGCCAGGTTAATGAAGCATCTACTGGCAAAGAGTATTCCTGCCACCGCACCCATTTCCCCCTTCTTCCTTAATTACAGACCTCTGATTTTATTCAGGGTATCCCAGCTAAAAGACTGTATTTCCCAGCTTTCTCTAAGATAGTTATGACCCCACAACTAAGTTCTGGCCAACGAAATGTAAATAGCCATTGAGTAGAATTTCTGGTAGGATTTAAAGCCCTTTAAAGGGGTATGACCATTTGCCATTTTTTTCTTTATATTCTCCTTTTCAGAGCCTGGAACTTGGATGTGATGGCTGCAGTGACAGCAGCTATCTTGTTATTTTGAGGATGATACCCTTGTACTAAGTTGTGCTAAGGATGACAGAGCCCATAAAGAGAAAAAGCTTCAGTTCCTGATAATGTCATGAAGAAGCCATCAAGATAGGCCTGAACTGCCTACCTCTGGCTTTTTTTTTTTTTTTTTTTTTTTTTTGTCAGTCCTACTTACTCTGTCACCCAGGCTAGAGTGCAGTGGTGCAATCATGGCTCACTGCAGCTTTGACCTCCCAGACTCAAGCAATCCTCCTGCCTCAGCCTCCTAAGTAGCTGGGACTACAGGTATACATCGTTATGCCTGGCTAATTTTTAAAATTATTTTTGTAGAGGAGGGGTCTTGCTATGTTGCCTAGGCTGGTCTTAAACTTCTAGGCTCAAGTGATCCTCCTGCTTCAGCCTCCCCAAGTGCTGGGATCACAGGTGTGAGCCACCGTATGTGTGAGAATAAACCCTTATAATACGTGAGAAAGAATGTTATGTGAGAGAGTAAACCCTTACAACATGAATTTACAGTAGTTAGACTTCAGCAGCCAAACACAACCCCTAACCTTTACAGACCTTGACCTCATTGGCAGAAGCTACAGAAGCCATGCAGAGCTACTCAGGGAGATGGGGTGACTCTGGGAAAGGAAGCAATTCATGGCATGTCCTCCCCAACTCCTCATCAGATTTTCCAGAATAATTCTAGACCAGGTTAGAGGAGGGCAAACATGCAATCAGATGATCAGAAGTCTGACTTATCAAAGGCAGAAAGAATAAGCCTGTGAAAGCTGGTGTTAGAGTGACCAGGTTAGCGACCCTGCCTAGCTTCCTCCACTGTAGCTGACCAGGAGAGGGACCCCTTTTTGTACCTCTTCCAGGTTGCTGAATTCCTGACGCAGGGCTGCCTTCAGATTAGTGCATTCTCTCCCACATCTCAACGCTACCAGGCACTCCTTGGTCAAATGTGGGACCTAATCAGAGGACACAGGTTCTCAGTGGAGAAGTCTGTGGAAACTTCCAGTTCCTGTTCTGCCTGAAAAGGCAGCGAAGCTTTATAACTCCAGCCTAACAGGGCAACACCCACATCAGACCCCCCAGCTCCCTGTGAGAGGCACTAGGTTTTCTCTGTGGTTCCGGTTCTCAGTAGGAATCTACTTCTTATAGTACCCTGGGAAAGCAGGGTGCTTTAGGAGGGTTTCTCCAGTGCTCCTTACTTGATCAGCTGCTTCCATGCTATACATTCTTAGGTGGGACACTCAACCTCTCTAAGCCTCAGTGTTCTCATCTGAAAAATGGATACGATAGCAGTACCCACTTCAAAGGGCAGTTGGATTAAATGAGTTAGCTCCTACAAAGTAACTAGGACAGTGCCTGGCACATCATAAGTGTTCGATATATGTCAGCTGTTAATATCATTGAGGTTTTTAAAAATTCCTTTTCAAAGACACCATCTTAAAATTTCTCCATTCTTTTTTCTTTCATTATCAAAGCTGCCACCATTTATCTATTCTTCACATTTCCTGGACAGCAGGCACTCTTATGCTTCTAAAGAGCATCACTGGCCAGGCACAGTGGCTCACGTCTGTAATCCTAGCACTTTGGGAGGCCGAGGCAGGCAGATCACTTGAGGTCAGGAGTTCAAGACCAGCCTGGCCAATATGGTGAAACCCCATCTCTACTAAAAATACAACAATTAGGGGGTGTGGTGGCATGCGCCTGTAATCCCAGCTACTCAGGAGGCTGAGGCAGGAAAATTGCTTAAACCCAGGTGGCAGAGGTTGCAGTGAGCCGAGATGGTGCCACTGCACTCCAGCCTGGGTGACAGAGCGAGACTCCGTCTCAAAAAAAAAATAATAAAAAAGCATCACCTTCTATGCATAATCTTCGCACTCCATTACTTTTTACCTGAAGCTGGAGAAATACTCCCTTTAAGGATCACCAGTTTTCAGTTCTTTCAGTATTCCTGCTTCAAGTTACACGGTCATTGCCATGTCATAACCATACCTCCTGAGCCTGCCAGTTGAAATGGAGAAGCGCCTAGCAGTTAAGCCTTTAATATCAGTGGCCATGCTCTACCCTAATTCCATGCTAGCTAATCTCCTGAGGATCACATGGTATCAAAACAAAACAGTTTCACCAATGATTTGGCTTTAAAATGGGTTGAGGTTTGGGAAAGACATGCAAAGTAAAATACAGTGTGAGTGACTTTTTAAATTGAATATACCTTACAAAATAGCTCCAATAACATCTTTTGGCGAGCTCGTTCATAAGGGTCATATGGAAACAGCTTCCTTCCTGGATAAGCATCATCCAGGTACTCACAAGCAATAACAGATTCATAGATCAGTTGACATTGGCTGGTCTCCAGGACAGGAATGTGGCCAAAAGGGTGCTTTGTATAGTACCATTCAGGCTTGTTTCTCAGGTTAATGTTGACCACTTCATGTCTTAAAAAGCAAAAGGAAAACAAGACAGAACAAAAATGAGAGGCATCTGCAGGCAGGCACTCTTCTTGAAAGCAGAAGCAATCAGTTTAAAAGTTAAAATTTGCAATTAGTGTTTTAAGGTTTAAGTTTTGTATAAAATACATAACATCATCATCTTCCTTCCTGCAGTAAGATGTGTCGGATGTTTTCCATGCCTTATCTCAGTTGTTCCTCATAATTCCCCCTGAAGTAGGCTCACCTCATAGGAAAGAAGACTCAAGGGGGTTGAATCTCACACCCAATACCACCCACTAAGAAGTAGTAGAGCTGGCCGGGCGCGGTGCCTCACACCTGTAATCCCAGCACTTTGGGAGGCTGGGGCGGGCAGATCATCTGAGGTCAGGAATTCAAGACCTGCCTGGCCAACATGGCAAAACCCCATCTCTACTAAAAAATACAAAAAAGTAGCCAGGCATGGTGGCGGGCGCCTGTAACCCCAGCTACTTGGGAGACTGAGGCAGGAGAATTGCTTGAACCCGGGAGGTGGAGGTTGCAGTGAGCTGAGATTACACCACTGTACTCCAGCCTGGGCAAGAAACTCCATCTAAAAAAAAAAAAAAGTAGTAGAGCCAAGATCACAGCCAGGCAGACAGACTCAGAGCTCACACACTTAACCATGGCATTAGAGAGTTTAGTACATTCTACAGCTTGAAAATACAAATCTGGTATTAACAGGTCACAACAGAATATGGTAAATGTTAACAATTAAGAGTATGAGTTTTGGCATCAGAATAAACGGTCTAGCTTGGGACCTTAACCGAATTCCTAACCTCTCTGTGCTCAGTGTCCTTAATTATAAAATGGGGCTAATAATTACACCCATCTCTTGGTACTGTGGTGGGGATATGTATAAAGTGTTTAGGACAGTGCCTGGCACATAAGCATGCAATAACTTTTTTAATTCTTCTTCTAATTATTAGATGTTCAAATAATACTATTATTATTTAATGTTCACATAATACAATTATTATTTAGATAACTATATAGTTACCAGAAGCATGAACGTATGTTTAAAAACATGAAAGGAAACAAATGGGAACGTTCATTGCTTAGTCTAGGAGATTGTCTTAAACCTACAGCAGAGGCTGGATGAGGTGGCTCACACCTGTAATCTCAGCACTTTGAGAGGCCAGGGTGGGAGGATTGCTTGAGCCCAAGATTTCGAGACCAGCATAGGCCACATAGCAAGACCTAAAGCAGTGGGTCTCAACCTAAAGCAATGGGTCTCGACTAGAAGTGATTTTTGGCCTCCTTCCCAAGGGACATATCACTATGTCTGGAGACATGGTTTTGTTGTCACAACTGAAGGTAGTGCATAGGGAAGGGGGACTCTACTGTCATTGAATGGGTAGAGACCAAGGATACTGCTAAACATCCAGTGATGGACAGGACAGCTTCTATCCCACCTCTCCAACAAAGAATTATCTGGCCTAAACTGTCAACAGTGCCAAGTTTGAGAAACGCTGACCTAAGGAAATACATCAGCTCCTAAGCTGATAATTTATCACCAAATGGGCAAAACATCCAGTTGTTGTTATTTTCCTCAAAAAACAGGTAACCTTAAGGTCAGCTTAATTTGAGCAAAAGGGAAGAATGTGGAAATACAGGCCCTATATACTCAACAAGGCAGATTTACATAATTTTATTTAAAACATCTCTGTATTAGTCTTTGTATCTCTCTGACATGAGTCTGAAACTCTGAAGTCACCCCCTTGTGATGGACTCTCCGAGACAAGAGTCGGGAGCCTGGAGTGACATATTCTCAACACTCTAGCTTGGAGGCCAGCTGCATTATGCAGTCCACATCCCAGCAAAGCTGCTCTGCCCTCCAAATCCAGACCTGCAGGAGCTGGTTTTGCAAACTTCCTTTTGGAAGCATCTGTACCCATTTCTCAAGTTTTCAAGGTGTCTTGAAAACTTCCAGACACCTCTTGATAGCAATTCCTTCTATTTCATTGTTTGGAAAGATTTGTTCATTCATTTAACAGATGTTTTTTGAGCATCCACTATGTGACAGGCTCTCTCCTAGCTCATGAATAAAAGAGACAGAGTTCCTACCCTCGAGAACGCACATGGGTGAAGGGGACTGGGGAGGGGAGATGGATGAACAAATAAGAAAATGCTGGATGCAGTAAGTTCAATAAAGAAAGGAAACAGTGACCTAAGATGCCTGGGGTGTGGTGGGGGAACTACCTCTGTGGAGCAGTCAGGTAAGGCCTCAGTAGTGTTGGCTGTGCCCTTAAACATTCTGGGAGGGAACCAGTTCACCAGCCCCATCATTCACATTACTCTGCGCTGGGCTAGAAGTTTCATGCATAGGCGTGACTCGGAAAAGGGCTCCGCATTTCAGTAGGGCCCGCTAAAAAAAAGCTCGCCCTTTGCTATTTGTTGACTTTGCCTCCGAAAAAAGGGACAGGGAGCCCCTTGTAAAAGCTGAGCAGGGCGCCCCAGATGTTAAACATTCCCGGGCTCCTGTGAGGCGCTGGGTTTGCTCGGGGGCTCTGGGTTCCCGCTTCTCACCTGATGTCTTTGGCCTTGAGGACGAGGCGGGTCCTGTGAGAATAGGGGCAGAACCTCATGCTGTAGATGCGGATCAGCCCCTCCGGGACTGGCCCTGGGGGCTGGCTTCCTGCAGAGCAGCGATGGAGGGGGACAGGGAAAGGAGAGGCTAGTCAGCCCGGTGAGGAAGGAGCTCGCTCACTTGCCCAGATCCCAAGATGGCTGTGGGAGCTCCAACTCCCAAGTCCCAGAGAGGGCAGTGCTGCATGTGGCTTTTCTTCAGGAGAGCCCTCCAAGTCCCTTCCTGCCCCGCCGGTCTGCAGGCCAAGGCCAGGCAGCTCCGCCGAAGCCAACATTTTCTGTCACGCGGCGCCCCCAGCTCGCGGACCCCATGGAGAGCACTCACCTTTCCCCAGGGTCCTGGTCGCATCCCCAGACATGGTCTCCAGGTGGTTTGCGCAGCTCCCGGAGCTCACGGTCGCCGCCCTGTGGCTCGCCACCGCTGCCGCAGGCTCCAGAAACAGCTGCGCTCTGGCGCGCACCCCTTGCCCCAAATTTAATTTTTGAACTACTGGGCTCTGGCGGGGCACGGGGAAGCGATCTGGAGCAGGAGCTAGGGTAATTTAACCTGGGGAGACATCGCCCCAGATTTGGAAGCCCGAGAGTAGGAGCTGGCAAAAAACAAAACAAGACAAAATAACACCAGAAAAGCTCCCCCTTGCTCTGGACATGTGCTTAAAGCTTTGGAGGGGCCTCCTCTACATCAAGAATCCCTCAAGAATGGGCATTTAAACTCCAACATGGATTTCAAAGGAGTTTAATCAAAACTGACTAGGGTAAAGCTGACTTTTTTTTTCCCATTCTGAATCTCTTGCATCACTAAACTGGCCACTCTTTGGTAAGTAAGTACAGCTTTAAAAAATAATAAGGCCAAACATTCTCATGATACAGCAACTAGGAAAGAAAAAGTCATTGGTGTTGAAATCTCACATACCCCAGAGAGTGAGTGCCTCCTAGACACCTAGACAACTTTGGTGTCTAGACAACTCACATTTTGCACCCTAGACACCTCAGTTGCCTCATCCCAGTCCTGGCCCTACTTGTGAGATTTTACCCAAGCTCTGAAAAACTGGCAATGAATAAAATTAAGATACCTGGAGGCAAAGAACAATTTGTGAGCTTCCCCCGTTCCCCAGCATAAATTTTTGAGAACACTCTTACTAGTTGCCAAGGATACATTGCCAACAGCCCAGCCATATAGGGGCGACTTGCACAGCTTTTCTGTTTACGTGAGATAATAGACGTGGCTTTGGCTCTGATGCTGATAAGCTGAGATCCTGAATTTCAGCAGGTAAAAAAATAATTCCTTAAATTTTCCAGAATTGAGCTGATGTGGGAATTGCTTGTAAATGCATTTTGTAGGATTAACAGATCATGAAGGAAAGAAAAATATTTTCTGTGTCTCACTCATACTGACTAAATTATTTCCATAGATTACCTTGATTCCTACAATTGCTCAGTCAGGCAACTCATATTATTTCTACTTTTCAAAACAGAAAACAGCTTCAGAAAAATGAAATTATTTGCCCAAAGTGACCAGCTAGTAGGGTTGAAGAACTTTAAAAGTCCAAAGCTTGACTCGTTGTCTTGACCTTTAAAACTGGTAATAGTGTTAGGAGGAAAGGATTTTAAGTCCAGGAAAAGATATAGCACGTAATGGCTGCTCAACAAATAATACTTGAATCTAAATATCTTTTATTAAAATGACAGAGCCTAATTATGTAGCTTATAACTGGGTACTGTTTGGCCTTTGGAATTCCAGTCTATCCAGAACTTCTTGGTTAATAATAGTGTTAACATTTTTTGCTAGTGAATAAGAATCTTTGCAAATCTTCAGAATAGTGACTCAACTACATTTTTTGCTGTCATTCAATGATTTCATGTGAAATAAGCTTAGATAATAATATGGAAAGTATTAACATTTTATAAGAATCAGGGAATGGCAAAAATGTTTGAATAAATGTTCTCTGAAAATAAAATGCATATATGTCAGCAAGAAATCTGGTGTTGGAGAAGACATATTGGTTCCCGGCTTGCTACGCTGACAACTTTTCATTTAAGAAGACAGAGAAAGTAACAGAGTAACTTCTACTACTTTGGAGCTAATTCTGATCAAGAAGGACAAATTGGATGGTAAAATAGAAGCAAGAAACACAACCATGTCATCTTAGAGCTCCTGGTAGGTAAGATGACTTCTGGGCATACACATGCATCCCTCATATAAAAAAAGCAGATTTCAAGATAGTTGAGAAAAATATATCCATAGCCTAAAAAAGGCCATAAGAGGGTTGCAAAATCTCAAAATCAAAATAAATTATTACTAATATATATTTGGTGCTTCATGTGTATTGACCCAGTTAATTCTTAAAATAGTCCAATAACTGGGCCGGGTGCGGTGGCTCATGCCTGTAATCCCAGCACTTTGGGAGGCCGAGGCGGGCGGATCACGAGGTCAGGAGATTGAGGCCATCCTGGCTAACGTGGTGAAACCCCGTCTCTACTAAAAACACAAAAATTAGCCGGGCGCGGTGGCAGGCGCCTGTAGTCCCAGCTACTCAGGAGGCTGAGGCAGGAGAACGGCGTGAACCCGGGAGGCGGAGCTTGCTGTGAGCCGAGACTGCGCCACTGCACTCCAGCCTGGGCGACAGAGCGAGACTCCGTCTCAAAAAAAAAAAAAAAAAAAAAAAAAAAAAAAAAAAAAAAAAAAAGTCCCATAACTGTTCTATTTTGATTCACTTTAAAAGATGAGTAAACTGAGACTAGCATAGTTAAGCACTTCTCAACTAGTAAGTGAAAGAGGGAGGACTAGGAACCCTGGAAGTTTGACTCCAGCGGCAACAATCTCAACCAGTATCTTAGTCTTTATCAGATGCCATGAACTGAATGATTGGCAAATGTTTTTACATATATTAAATATTTCAGGCTTTTCAGGCCATCTGGTCTCCACTATTTAGTTCTACACTTGTAGTGTAAAAACAGCCATCGATGATAAATAAACAAATGGGTGTGGCTGTATTTATGGACACACTGAATTTGAACTGCATATATGTATTTTAATAGCCTTTTTTTAAAAAAAAGTTTTAGATTCACAGCAAAATTGAGCAGAAAATACACATTTCCCATATACCCTGTGCCCCCGCACATGCACAGTCTCTTCCACTATCAATATTCCAATCAGAGAGGTACATTTATTACAATCAATGAACCCACATTGACATATTATCACCCAACATCCATAGTTAATATATTAGGGCTCACTCTTGGTGAATTTCATATAATTTTCACATATCACGTTGTGACTGGTTTTTCTTTTTCAACCCTTTAAAAATGTAAAAAATCATTCTTAGATATTGAGCTATAAAAAAACCAACAATTGGTTGGATTTAGCCCAATGGCCTTAATTTGCCCATCCATGGTCTCTGGATAATGGCCAAACTGGGAATTCCATTTGTAAATTAAAAGGTTCCTGGATCCACCTTTCTACTTTGCCAGAAGAGGATGATTTTCCAAGTTTTGTTTTTTCATTCCCACCTTTTAAAAGAAACTAACTCTGAGAGTTGGGAAATGTTCATGAAAAGTGTATCTGTATGTGGGAAATCAAGTTCTGAAATGCCAAGTTAATTTGGTAGAGTTAGAAGACAGGGATGGAAGCTGTTCTCCTCTAAAGGGAAACAATCTAGTGTCAAGGTTCTCAGAACAGGCCCTGGAGCCCAATGGGCTGACTTTTTGAGACCCAGCTTTGGCACTTAGGCAAGCTATCTAACCTTTTTGGATTTCACTTTCCTCACCTGCAAAATGAGAACACCAATAATACCTACTTTATGAATTGTGAGTATCGAATCAAATAGTCCAGGGCATCGTCAGTATAGTAAGAGCTCAGTATACGTCAAAGTTAATGACAAACGCTAGTGAGTAAGAACACATTTTAAATAGCAGAGTGCATTCCAATTTTGTATCCACAAAGATGAAGCACACTGTGATTCGGCTTTGCCAAGCATATTAGAATTAAAGTTCAACTCACAATACTTATTTCACCAGTTACCAGTTTAATGCCAATTGAATGGGCTGAATGCTGCAGACTCCATTTCAGTAATGTGGTTTTTAATCTTACCTCTGAACACTATACTTTCCCTAGAAAGATTTTAACCTTAAGCTTATCCCTACTTTCTTTTGAATACCCAACAGGTACTTCTTTGAAATCCTCTTTGCAAACTTTCCTTCTATGTTATTTCATGTTTATACCTTTATTATACTGACCCACTCAATCATGAAACAAATTGTAAGTAGACCATATTAAACCTACTCCAAATCCATTTTCAGCCACCTGAAATATGATCGGATCTGCTTTGAAAATGTTTGGATCTTCGGTCATGGGTGATTAACGACTTAAGCCTTCTAGGAAAATAATGCCACCAAAGAAATAGCTTACACTCTATTTACATGCATTTGTTTTGAGAAGAGGAACTGTGGTTTGCATTCGGCAACTTTTCAAAATTTTTTGTCACGCCATCTCTTGATAGTAGCAGAAACTGGACTGGAGTACATTCCTCTTAATAAGTTAGAAGCCTAATTTATATGAAAGATTATATTACTGGGTGTTCCCTTATTGTCCAATGAGTTCAAAAAGTGAGATACGTTAGGTAAAAGGTTCTATTCTCAAATGTGCTTATATTCAGGAAAAATTTCATATTCCCAATTGGGAAATCAGGGTCAAATGAGGCTATCTTTTTAACTACTTGATTCTGCTTCCCTATCCCTATTTCTCTCTACAACTTGAGGAATCAAAGAAAAAAAAAACTTTTTAAATAAATATTTGGTATAATAACATTTGAATAAGTAAAGGCAAATTGTCAAGATCCTGAAATCAGGAAAAGTCAAATAATTTGTAAAATCAAAACCACTGAGTTTGGAAAAGGAACATTATTAACTCATTAACTCCTGTTAAATCCCACGAATAATGGTGTGGTCAAAAAGGCAGATACAGGCCGGGCGCGGTGGCTCACGCCTGTAATCCCAGCGATTTGGGAGGCTGAGGCGGGCGGATCACGAGGTCAAGAGATCGAGACCATCCTGGCTAACACGGTGAAACCCCGTCTCTACTAAAAATACAAAAAATTAGCCGGGCGCGGTGGCGGGCGCCTGTAGTCCCAGCTACTTGGGAGGCTGAGGCAGGAGAATGGCGTGAACCCGGGAGGCGGAGCTTGCAGTGAGCCGAGATCGCGCCACTGCAGTCCGGCCTGGGCAGAACAGCGAGACTCCGTCTCAAAAAAAAAAAAAAAAGGTAGATACTATCCTCTGTCAGAGCTGTTGGATAAAGAGACTGGAAAAATAGCACATATAAATTCATCTCACGAACGGTCTTACTGTAAGAGTTCAGGCTAGATTCGAATCTCTTCAATATTTATTAGCTGGGTGACCTTGGGCAAATGACAACAACTTTCGGGTGTTCTTATATGTAATTCGTAGCTAATAGTACCAGTACATTATGTGGTTTGCGAAGGTTTCATTCAGAAACTGGATGAGAAATATTGAATGCTTAGCATGTGTCTGATACATAGTAAGTGTTCAACATTAGCTATTATTATTTTATGATTATTTCAATGTAGCAGGGAAGACTTTTCACAGTTTTCACAAAGACAGCACATTCCCAGAAACCAAATTCCCCTGCTTGCCAGTGCCTTAAACACGTAAACACGTGGGACTCGTGGTGTCCCACGCAAGGCTGAGAACTGGTTATCTGGGGTGGTCTCTGCCTGTTTCCAGCCAAATCAGAAAAAATAAGAACACCTTAATTAAAGGTATGCGGTTTAAAGACCTGTTCTTTATTCTTAGGCTGCACTTTGTTGGATGTGAAATTCTTTGATGCAACAGTGGCCAAGGCTAAATAGGATTTCTCGTAAAGTGTTAGGCAAAAGTTAAAGTTGGCAAGCCTACTGTGGGCCCCGAAATTCGTGAAAACCCCAGGAAACAGAATTGACCTCAAACCCCTCTTCCCTTCCAATACAACGCAGGCCGAACGGACCCACCGGTGGCGGTGAGAGAGGTCCCGCGAGAGACCTCCGGGAACTCGGGCAACCGGACCAGGATTGGCGGCGGCAGCAGCAGCAAGGAGGCGGGGCCTAGACGGGGCCTGCCCCTCGCACGTGATCCTACCCGCCAACTAGCCCCGGCGCCCAGAGCATCAGCCAATCCTCAAAGCTTTGGAAGTACCTGCCCAGCAGTGCGGCTGAGCCAATGGGCGGCCTCCTTACAGGCTCCTGGAGATCGGGATTCGCGGGTCCTGCCGGCGCCGGTGGCTGACGAAAGAGGAACCGGTAGTGGTTGGCTGTGGGACCCCGGCACCCGGCTCCGCACCTGAGGGGAAATCCGCTGGAAAGCACTAGGGCCAAGCGGCTCCGGTAGGCGCGCGGCAGCAGAGGTGGTCCGCCGCCGGCAGCCGGGGCTTTGGTGGCCGCTGAAGGTTTGCGGCAGGAGGCCTTTGTGAAGTCAGTCGGCTCCAGGTCGCCCTCCGGATGCGGTCCCCACACCGCCTGCGTCACCTGGGTTGAGGGGCTCATTTGAAATACAGACTTCGCTACCCACCCCAGCCTGCTGAATCGGAAATGCAGCGGTGAGCCATAGGTGATTATTATGCACCCTTAAATTTAAGAATTAGTCATTCGGAGGTTTCTCTCAATGGCGAACTTGAAAATAAGTTCAGGAAACCAGACAATTGGAGCGGACCGACAGCCCTGATTCCAATGGTAAGAGCAGTGCGCTGGGTGTGATCTTTCTGCCAGCACCTTAAGGCCTCACTTAACCTCGGGACCTTAGTTGCATCATCTATAGAATGAAATGATTGCTCTCCGACCTACCTTCTCGTGGTGGTGATGTGATAATAAAAATTGAATAGTGAGCAACCCAGTGGGCTATGGAAATGTGTGGAAGATGGCATTTCTATTTCTCAGTGGGGCTCTTACCTATTACTCATCAACCTTGTAGGCAGAATTGACTGATGCAGCCTACACAGTATTTAATTACATAAATGGGACACCACCTATGTGCCCAACATGGGATTTGATAGGAAGGATTTGAAGGGGTTAGAGACAGGGAGACCAAATAGGAGTCTGCCCAGCCACCCAGCTTTCGGGTAATGTGCGTCTGGTCTTCAGGGCCAACAATAGAGAGAATGTGAAATTAAGTTGATGATGGAAATGAAAGAAGGAGGAATTGAAAGCTTCTCAACTAAGAAACCAGAAGACAAGCAACAAGAGAGCATCTCATGAAATCACACAACAGGGTAACTGAGTGGGTATTTCCTGTGAGCAGTTATAAAGTTAGATTGTGGACGGGTACGGTGGCTCATGCCACTTTGGGAGGCCGAGGCGCGCCGATCACCTGAGGTCGGGAGTTGGAGACCAGCCTGACCAACATGGAGAAACCCCTTCTCTACTGATAATACAAAAAAATTAGCCAGGCGTGGTGACGCATGCCTGTAATCCCAGCTACTCAGGAGGCTGAGGCAGGAGAATCGCTTGAACTCAGGAGGCGGAGGTTGCGGTGAGCTGAGATCAGGCCATTGCACTCCAGCCTGGTCAACAAGAGTGAAACTCCGTCTCAAAAAAAAAAAAAAGATTCAAGTCCAGATTTTGCTAAAGATGATAATTTGGGGGTTTTCAGCATGGACTATGATAGAACCCTCAGAGTCGTTTCAGCATCCTGAGACAGGAAATGCATTTTCATTTCTGTAGGGGGGCGTTAAGGAGACCCCCACCGTTTGGCTGTTGATGTCAAATCAGTCAGAGAAGATGATCCCATGCAACCTGAACCTTGGTAAAATAAAAGCATGCTATTATTCATATTAGTGAAGGAAAATATCAGACATAGCTTTATTGCTGACTCCTGCCCCCTTCAGAGCCCATAGTCACAGGCCTCAGGGCTGTTCTGTAAGTAGAGCTCTAGGAAACCTTGCCAGTCTTTCTCACTAGTAAGCAGGGCTGAGACTGTGGGATCTTCCTTCATGGCTGCCATCCACAGTTTCAGTTTTGGAGTGTGGTCTACACACCTGTGGGAAGAGGAAAAAATGAAAGGTGTGAGCTAGGTCAACTAGGATGACATCACAGAGTCTCCCATATGTAATTATTACTCTACAGTTTCACTTTTTTCCCTTAAATATTTCATTAAAAATATTTAAAAATGCCTGTAATAGAATATTCAATTTGAAAGACACTATAGAGGTCCCTTTTTTACACAAAAGGAATGAGACTAGAGTGAAGCAATTTGTTCAGTTAATGTGAGAACTTGCCCAAAGAGAGAAACTGACAATTTATTAAAATAAGAACAGGGAATACAATCAGGAATGTTCTATGTTAATTATTCTACACCCAGATTATGACCAAAAGTAACCCTGAATAGCTCTATCGTCCAAGAAGCCGGAGTAAGGCAAGGTGGCTGCCAAACTCAAAACAGAATTTGGAAAATAATGTGGAAATCTTACGGTAAATGGGAGGTAACACTGGTCGTACAATCCCGCAACAACATCCTTACAAAAATTTACAACCTTATGGAATTTTTTTTTTTTTTTTGATGAAGTGTCTTGCTCTTGCCCAGGCTGGAGTTCAGTGACATGATCTCAGCTCACTGCAACTGCCTCCCGGGTTCAAGTGATTCTCCTGCCTCAGCCTCCCGAGTAGCTGAGATTACAGGTGTGTACCACCATGCCCAGCTAATTTTTGTATTTTTAGTAGAGATGGGGTTTCACCACATTGGCCAGGCTGGTCTCTAACTCCTGACCTCAGATGATCCACCCGTCTCGGCCTCCCGAAGTGCTGGGCTTACAGGCGTAAGCTACCATATCCTTCCCCTTATGGGTTTTTAATCAGGAAGGAAGGAATAAATTTTAAAGCACTTTACTACATGTCTCAGAAATCCCCTGCCCCATTGCAGTGATGGAGAGTAGTTAGTGTAGGTATATGACATGCCTGGGATAGTCCAAGATTCCCCTGTCTGCTTGTTCTCATTCAGACCAGTTGTATTAAATATTTCAACTTCTGTTATAAAGAAAGGTCAATATATACTATTCCACCTGTCATCCTAAATTATGCACAAAATATTCAAATATCTTACTCATTTAACTTCATTGCTTCCAGCCGTTCAAACCAGGGCCAGATGAGGTAATCAATCATAGAGATAGAATTGCCACCAAAGAAGGTCGTCTTCTTATTAGTCAGAACCTGAACATTAAACAGCATAAAAGTATTTCTTACTTGTGCATGTAGTAAGACTCACTAGAAATGCTGAAGGGAAATAAGTAGAGCAGGTGAGAGAAGCAGTTTTTACTCCGATGTATCCAAGTTGGGTTTTTTTCTGATCAAAAAGCTTAATTAAGCTTTAGAATCTGTTGGTCTGGGATGAAGTAAAACAATCAACAACATAAACTGGAAAATTGAAAAATAAAACAAGTCACAGAGTACAACATATTTGTAATACAAAGGACTGGTATTCAGAATATAGAAAGGATTCCTGGGAATCAGTAAGAAAAATAGCAAACGACCCATTGGAAAAATGAGCAAGACTTGATCTTCAAGAAAGATGATGTCCAAATGGCCAATTATCATTTGGAAAGGTGTTCAACTGCATTAGTCATTAGGGAAATGCAAATTAAAACCAAAATGCAATAACACTATACACCCAAGAGAATGCCTACAATGAACAAAATGAAGTTGGCAAGGGTATGGAACCACTGTCGTAGAGGTGTAAATTGGTACAACCATGTTTTAAGAGTATGCATACTCATCACCCAGCAATTGTACTTGGCAATGTAACACATGTTCACCAAAAGATATGTTATGTGAATGTTCACTGCAGCACTATTTGTAATAGCCCAAATGTGAAAACGTTTACTATCAAGAGTAGAATGGGTAAAGTGTAATATACTATACTTTGGAACACTGTATAAAGAACAGGAAAGAACTACACACAGCAGAGATGAACCCACAAACCTAATATTGAATGAAAGCAGGCAGACCCAAAAGATGAACATTATATGAGTCCATTTGTATAAAGTACAAAAAAGCCCAAACTAGTATTTTGTTAGTTGATATGGGTGCTGGTTCCATGGCTGTGTTCGCTTTGTGAAAACGTGTTGTGTTTTTATGCTTTGGGTACTTCTCTGCATTAAAAATTAAAAATATTAACTTTTCAATATAAAATGCACAGTCTGCAGCTTATGATGGTTCAATTTAAATTCTTTTCAACTTTACGACGGTGCAAAAGCAAGCATTCAGTAAAAACTCTACTTTGAACTTTGAATTTTGCTCTTTTCCTGGGCTATCGATTTGCAGTATGATAACTCTTGATGCTGGGCAGCCATACCATCAAGAGAGTAAACAACCAATGCTCTAAAGTGTGCTGTGTTGCCAGCATCTTTTGGATGCAGGTATTCGATAAATTATATGAGATATTCAACACTTTATAAATATTTTATGTTTGATGGTTTTATGTTTGATGATTTTGCCTAATTGCAGGCTAATGGAAGTTTTCTGAGCACATTTAAAGCAGGCTAGGCTAAGCTATGATGCTCTGTAGGTTGGGTTTATTAAATGCATTTTCCACTTATGATATTTTCAGCTTACGGTGGGTTTATTGGATGTAACCCCATTGTAAGTGCAAAAGCATTTGTACTTAAAATATACTGGAAATAGACTGGATTAACTGCTAAACAGATGACAATCATTTGAAAACAAAACACAAATTGTATGTTTCTGAAATTTTAAGAAGGCGAATTGGTTACAGGGTTTGCCAAAGGGGGTGATTGAGAATATTATCTGGCTATTTAAACCACCAAACTAATTTGCCCTTTATAAATAACCTCCATAGTTTTTTTTCAATGCATAATATGCATTTTAGATTGCTTATATCTACCTACTGTGTTCTGTCTACTACTAAACTAATTATCTGAAGAATATGGACTGCATCTTACTTTCCAGCTCCCACACTGTTCAGCAGAAAAATATAAAAGTACCAACACTGATTCAAGAAGAAATATAAAACCAAAAAACCAATTACCATTAAAGAAATCAAACTAGTAATGAAAAATCTACCCCTGTTAAAGACACCAGGCTCAAATGTTTTAAAGAAACCGCTAGTCCCTACCAAATGGTTTCAGAGATTAGAAAAACAGGTTAGTTACCCAACTCATTTTATGAGGTCAGAATATCCTTGAAACCAAAAGCCAATAATGATACTATAAGAGTAGAAAATTTATAGGCCAATCTCATTTATGAACACACATACAAAAATCATTCATTAGCTAATTCTACAGTACATATAAAAATCCATAGAGAACAAGTAGGTTTTATCTTAGGAATGCTAGGATGGTTAAACATTAAAAAAAAAAAAATTTGTCAATAGCACCATATTCACCAGATTAAGAGGAAAAAATTCTATGAACATTTCAATAGATGTAACAGATGCAGAAAAACCATTCAATAAAATTCAACATTTATGACTTTTTTAAAAATTAGCAAACTAGTAATAGAAGAGAACTTTATAATGAAAAAAAGGTTTCTGAAAAACCTACAGCAAACATCATGCTTACTGATAAAATGTTAAAATGCATTCCCATGAAAGACAGGAACTATGTCTTCTGTCAGTAAAAACTTCAGGCTTAGCATGAATGAAATATTTCAAGGCCAAGAGACAGACTCCAAGGCCCAAATGTCAGCTGTCCCCAAAAGAAGGTAAAATACATCTGGGCTTCCCTCAAGTGTCTGTACTGTTCATTGCAAACTTTTTCTGGTGGGAAATATTTAGTATGTAATACTAAGTGGACACAGGAAAAAAAGCAGGACACAGAATGATATCTATGCTCTGATTAGAGCTATATTAATTTTTTTTAAATATATGGACAAGGACTGCAAACAAGCATGGAAAACTGGATACATAAAAACTTGTGGAAACGTGGGTACAATTTCCTTTTTCCTTGTTATTTTAACATTAGCAGAATATTTTAAAAGCAAGCCCATGACAAAGTCTGTTTAGGTGTTTTGATTTATATCTTAAGCAGGACAGCTTTCTGCTTTATAACAGCAGTCTGCTGTAAACAAAAATGTTTAGGGGAATTTTCCTAATTACCTTAAAGTGACTTGGAAAGTGGGAATATAAAGAAAAGAATAGGAGGAAAAGGAGGGTAGATATAGTTATCGTTTACTCTGATGATAGCTAGGAGAAATAATTACCTCCTCTAGCTTGGTAAATTCTTTACGAAATTCTTCTTTTAGGCCAGCATAGTCTTCTTTATTTTGGCTTCTAATAAAGCTTCCTACCAAGGATGGCACCTAGACAGAGAATAATTTCTTAGTTTATCAGTTTATGGCTAACTGTATCGGCCCCCTCACATAAAAATATGGTAGAACCCTTACAGTCCTGGTGTCAAGGTGTTCTAGAAACACCAAGGGTGCATCAAGTTCCTGCGCTCACAGAGGTAATGGACTGGTCTTAGGAACAGTTTTGTGGCCTAAAATGCTGGCTTGGTCAGGATTTTATAAATTACAAATAACAGAAGCTACCCTGGCACGTTTAAGAAACAACTTTCTTTCTTTTTTGAAATGGAGTCATGCTCTATCACCCAGGCTGGAATGCAGTGGCACGATCTCAGCTCACTGCAACCTCCACTGCCCGGGCTCAAGCAATTCTCCTGTCTCCGCCTCCTTAGTAGCTGAGATTATGGGCGTGCGCCACCACGCCAGGCTAATTTTTGTATTTTTAGTAGAGATGGGGATTCACCATATTGGCCAGGCTGGTCTGAAAACTCCTGACCTCAGGTGATCCATCTGCCTCAGCCTCCCAAAGTGCTGGGATTACAGGCTTGAGCCACCACGCCCGGCCAACACAACTTTCTTTAAAGGAGACTGAGTGGCTCATAGAATTATTGGGAGGCGGAACAAACAGGCTTGGAATTAAGACAGAACATCCCAAATTCATGCTGAGAAATGGCCTAATGGGAAGCACTCACTGCTGCCAGTCCAAGCTGAGCACCAGATGCTTCAGTTTGTGAGGCTGCCAGAAAGTAGAGTCTGAGATAACTGCTAACACCACTGGCACTGATGCCATTTCTACTCTGGAATTTTATCTTGTAACCCACACTGCTGAAACCCAGAAGCTCTGCCGCTGCTCTCACCAGGAAAACCAGTGGAGAGCTGAATATCTTAAGCAGATATCCCACCAAGCCTGTTTCCTTACCTTGCTCGTTTCTGATTTGAACTCTATGTGTGTGTCTGACAGGAAGAGCCTAGGTCACAAAACTTGGCCCCAACTGCAAAGAGCTAGGGAAGAAAATTTTTCTGATTTCTTTGTTGGGGAGGACACCAGGAGACTGTTCAAAAGGGACCGACTACCTAAAGACTTGATGGGTGTAGCATCAGATGCTTTAATGCTCGTGATGGTGTTTATGTGTTTTAATACTTTGGTCTTTGGTATCATTTTATTGCAAGACGCAGAAGTCCACTCATCCTAGTTTAAGTAAACAGGCACTTGTAAAAATATAGAATCCCATGAAATCCCATCCACATCAGTTCAGCCTGCCTTCACTGGGACTGAAGGCTTTCAGGCAGCCCTTTCATCCACATTTCCACCTGGGTCTGCCTGGTCTTTCGTCTGTTTTTCCTCACATTTCTGCTCCATATTACTTTGCATACTTCAGTCCCTTTGCAATGTTTTTAATTCTTGCTCCTCTAAAAATTTATTTCTTAAGTGGCTTTGGTTTTTCTAGCCTCTAATTAACATTATTTGAGCCCCAACGCTTAGTTGTCTTTACTGTCCTAACCTTTACTGTCTTAGTTCTGTGTCTCATTTCCAAGTTCCCAGGAGAGAAGATAACTGGCCCAGGTGTGTGGGGTGGGGTACATTTCTGTTCTGATGGGCTGTGGCCAGGAGAGCAGGGTCATATGTACATAAAGCCACCTCTCCTTTAAAACCCAAGCAGGGAAGTAAAGGTGGGCATCTTCAGCATTACTTTTAAATCTCATTTTCTTTCTAGATAGTACAATGAATCTCTTGTGACTACTTTTTAAAGTAGTAGCTTTATGCATGAAAGTAAAGCTTCATGTCTAAAAGCTTTACTTTTAAAGCTCATTTTCTCTGACGTGTCCTACAAGTCCTTTCACGATCCAGTTCCTGTTTACCTCTCCAAAGTTACCCCTTTTATCTCTTCTCCTGACACTTTATATTCCAGCCATACTAAAAAAAGTTTTCCAGAACTGGCACCAGACCAAAGAGATTTTTCTTTAAGAACCACTTAGGCTTATTTTTTTTGGTTGGTATTGATGACTTCGTGTCTTGAAGCTGCATGCCTTTAACTTGTTACTACTTTGTAAAACTCTCCCACATCGTTCTTGAAAATGTCATGTTCCCTTTACATTATCTTTCACAGCAGCCGCCTCTACTATTCTTTCACCCTCATCTTACTAAGCAGATGACTCACTCTTCCTGTCCCATTGGCTTCCCTTTATAATGTCTCCTAAAACAGAATGTTTTCCCTATAACTCTCTCTTAGGGCATTTCTTTAACCATCTTTTTCTCTAAAGATAATCCTTTATATACTGACCGTACTACCAAGGTGACAATGTTATAGGCATATAACCAGACATGCTATTCTTGGTGTCTAAACACACATCTTTTAGTCATTTCTTTGTTAATACTAATTGTTTGAACTAATCCACAGTGTTGATGCTAAGTAAGGTACAAACAGTTCTTCTACAGGATTGCTATTTATTCAGTCATCTGAGTTATTGCCAACACAAAGTAGATGCTCACTGCTTGATGCTATGGCTATAAGGACAAGAATTAAGTAGTTCCCATGTGTCAGACTCTGTTCTGGGTGTTTTATATTAACTGATTTTTATCTTATGAGGTGGGAACAATTACTATATCCATTTTACCAATGATGAACGGAGAGGCAAAGTAATAAGTAACTTGCTCAGAGTCACAAGAAAGTAGCAGAGCCAGTCATAAAACTAGGCAGTGAACTAACAGTGATCAAAACACAGCCCTCACCCTCAAGGAGCTCACAGCCCCAGTGCAGTACACAGGCAAGAAGGCAGGCAAAAGTTCACACGGATGGGAACTCAGAAGCTAGAGCACTAACCAGCCTGCCAAGCTCCTGAAAAGGCAGCAGTGTCGGAGCAGACATGTGAAAAATGACGTGGAGATAACCAGGCACAGTGAGAAGTGGGAAGAATCTGACAGCAAGAATTGAAAGAGAAAGGGGCGAATTTGGGAATTCTGAGAAAAGTTTAGTATGGCTGGCATATATAAAGTGTCAGGAGACGAGTGAAAAGGGATAATTTTGGAGGTAAACAGGAACTGGATCGTGAAAGGACTTGCAGGACACTCAGAGCTGACAAGCATATTCCTGTTTTGTTTTTCTCTCCCAAATCACTGAACCATAAATGGCAGCACTGATTTCGCTTTAAAAAACAGGTTTTTCAAATAGGAGCTGAAATTTCTTATGCACAAACCTTAGAAAACAACTCTAAGATCATCTTCTGGCAAGCTTTCTCATAGGGGTCATCCGGCAACAGCTTCTTCCCTGGGTATGCTTCATCCAGGTACTCACAGGTGATGGCAGACTCGTAGATCAGCTGACCCTGACTGTTTTCCAGAACTGGCACCAGACCAAAGGGATTTTTCTTAAAGAACCACTCAGGCTTATTTTTCAGGTTGATATTGATGACTTCATGCCTGAAAGACACATAGGAGACTATGAAGAGAAGGAAACAACTTTTGTGCTTTTGGATAAATTCTCACTGGCTTTGCCATCCACTTAGCTGATCAGACCCCAAATTTAGGAGTCTGCCTAGATTCCTTCCATTCTAGTTTTTGATTTTATGAATCTGACTACTTTTGATACACCTTTTAAGAACAATCATGCAGTATTTGTCTTTCTGTGTCTGGCTTATTTTACTTAGCATAATGTCCGCAATGTCCATCCATGTTGTCACATATTGCAGAATTTCCTTCCTTTTTAGGTGGAATAGCATTAACACATTTTCTTTATCCATTCATCTGCTGATGGACATTGACATTATGCTGTTGTGAACAGTGCTGCAGTCTACGTGAGAGTGCTAATATCTCTTTGAGAACTTGATTTCATTTAATTTGGATATATACCCAGTAGTGAGATTGCTGAATCACATGGTAGTTCTAGTTTTAATTTTTTGAAGAACATCTATACTGTTTTCCATAGCAGCTGTACCATTTTACATTCCCGCCAACAGTGTGCAAAGGTTCTGATTTCTACACATCCTTGCTAACACTTGTCTTTTTTCATTATAGTCATCTTGACAAGTGTGAGGTTATTATGTGATTTTGATTTGCATTTTCCTGATGATTAGTGATAAGAACTTTTTCATATATGTGTTGCCCATTTTTATATCCTCTTTGAAGAAATGTCTATTTTTTTAATTTTTAATTTTTTTTGACACTCTGTCTCCCAGACTGGAGTACAGTGGCTTGATCGCAGCTCACTGCAGCCTCGACCTCCTGGGCTAAAGCGATCCTCCTACCTCCCGAGTAGTTGGGACCACAGGCGTGCACCATCACACCCAGCTAATTTCTTTGTAGAGACAGGATTCTGCCATGTTGCCAAGGCTGGTCTTGAACTCCTGGGCTCAAGTGAACTGTCTGCCTCGGGGTTATAGGCGTGAGCTACCATGCCCAGCCTGAGAAGTGTCTATGTAAGATCTTAGCCCATGTTAAAATCAGGTTTTTTTGTTGTTGAGTTGTAGAGATTCCTTATGTATTTTGGAGATTAACCCCTTACCAGGTATGTGGTTTGCAAGTACTTTCTCCTATTCCATAGGTTGCCTTTTTGCTCTGTTAATCGTTTCCTTTGCTGTGTGGAAGCTTGTTTGCTGTAGTCTCATGTGTTTATTTTTGGTCTTGTTGCCTGGTCTTTGGTGTCATGTCCAGGAAATCATTGCCAAGGCCAGTGTCATGAAGCTTTTCCCCTATGTTTTCTTTTACACGTTGGCGGTTTTTATATTCCTTGAATTTGCCAAATGTGTTTCCACCTTAGAGTCTTTGCACTTGATGGTCCTCTGCCTCCTCTGCCTGCCTTTTCCCAGGTCTTCCCAGGTCAAACACACATCCCCAGGCCCTCCCTGACCATAGCTCTGAAGTTGCTGAGCAGCTTCTATTACATGATTATCATGTTTTACTTTCTTCATTGAACTGATAATATGTATCTGAAATTACTTTGCTCACTTATTTACAAGTTTGTTATCTTCCTAGAATGTAAGCTTCACGAAAGGTGGGATCTTGTGTATCTGTTCATAGTAATAAACAAACATGTAAATGAGCAAAATGCTATATAGATATAAATGCTCTGAAGAAAATAAAAAGTTTCAAATAAGGACTCAGTAAATATTTTTGTTTTGAAATATTTCATATAAATGAATGAATAAATCTGTGGAAATGCTTCAAAATTGTCAATAAGATACTCCATTTATGGCTAAGAGGTATCTTAGTTATAAATCATATGAGGCAACTAATTGAATTGTGTCCACTATCCACTATATGAGAACCAACATAAAATTCAATTTATTTTGCTAATTTGAGTAAAAAGTTTCTTGGTTTTTATGAAGATATTAAGGAATCCTTAAAATCCACCCACAAGGCCAGGCTTGGTAGCTTACATCTGTAATCCCAGAACCTTGGGAGACTGCAGTGGGCGGATTGCTTAAACCCAGGAGTTCAAGACCAGCCTGGGCAACATGATGAAACCCTATCTCTACAAAAAATATAAAAATTAGCCAAGTGTGGTGGTACTCACCTGTAGTCTCGGCTACTCCGGATGCTGAGGTGAGAAGATTGCTTGAGCCCTGGAGGCAGAGGTTGCAGTGAGCCATGATTGCACCACTGCATTCCAGCCTGGGTGACAGGGCGAGACCCTGTCTCGAAAAAAAAAAAAAAATCCACCCACAAAATAAGCTTTCAGATTAAATCTCCATGTACTGATTTTTTAAAAAATGTTGTCTGAGTAAATCATACAAAGTAAACCAAAAAGGAAGAAAACAGGTGAAGTCCAGGCTATAGTCAGATTGTATTTAGGTCTATCTTGTATGTTGCCTGAGACTGTAGAGGAACTAAGAGAAAGGAGCTAGGTCCATATGATTGTCAAGGCTGAATAAATGTTCAATAGAACAGATTACTAAAAAAAAAATAGACACCAATACCTTTTGTTTTCTATTTTCCCATCCACAGCTGTAGCTAGAACAGCATTTCATTTGAGGATTTAAATACATAATCCCCCATGTAAACAAAGGAACATCCAATTTGAACATGAGCACAGGTGTGCATGTAATTTAAAAGGTTCATGTGCTGACAATACTGGACACTTAAGTACCAGCCATTGCAAAAAAAAAAAAAATTATTTGGCTCCTTGCCAAAGAATTATCAACATTTTTGAACTATAAAACAAAAACTTTTGTTACTATGAAAACAAAAAGATCCTGGGCTTTTGTTATTTAAAAAAAAAAAAGTATGTCAGAACACACATGAATTTTGGTAAGCTGGCATTGTGAGCCAACAAGTCTACACACCTGCCACAGCAAGTTGGAAGATGCATCTTTTAGAGAAAACCATGCTTTGTTAAGTCATATCATGTGGTTAAAATCTAGTACTTTCCCAGTAAAAGCCTCCTCGGGCTCAAGCTTAAAACTGGTCTATTAATGTAGTAGACCTTTGTTGTTTGCACTGTCTGGAAGCTGTTAACCACTCTCTTCCTCCCCTCTACCCCACACTATTAGGGGAAGATAGTTTCAATGTTCCTTTGGAAAACTGCCCCAGTAAATAAGGTAGGGTTGTTTTCAAACTAAAGGTCCAGGGTGAAGCACATAACCCAGGACTTTGTGCCTCTGAATCCAGCTGTGTCATGCTCCTGGACTTTTCAAATAAATGAGTACCAAAAAATGTCTTTTTTCAATTTTGGTTACATTAGATTTCTCTTAGTACAATAAAAGAGTTCTATCACAGCAAATATGACAGTGTTTTTGAGAAACATTATGAAATAGTAAGTACTCTATGTGTTCAGAATCATAATCTCATCCAAATGAGATGCATTTCTTAGTGAAGTAATGACAAATCCCCTTCAAATGTATTTTTTAAATGCATTTTACCTTTCTTTTAGGGAAAATAATTGCCTACCCCTAAAGATTATCCCCTTAGAAGACTAAAATTAGTTCACAAACACTAAGCACACAGACAGAAAATTCCTTAAGAATAGGGGGTTTGTTTTAAACTTCCACAGAACCTTCCACACCAAAGGTATCTAATAAATGTCTAATCAACAGACATCCAAAGGTCATGGGAAGGGAAGTGGTTCCAATGGATACTTGGTGTCAGAGAAAAGTCAAGTGACTGTTGCACATATCCTGTGGATAGCCCGTAAGTCAAAAACTATGCTAGTTTCAAAACAGGCTCTGCAGAAGGATGAGCTAGACAGACACTTCCCTCTATTTGACTCAACCAACAGCCCAATCCACAGGAATATGTGCAGTAAACTCAGCACTACCCTAGGAGGGTCAGGGTCTAAACTCTGCTGTACTGGGGTAAATTACTATTCTAGGAGGGAACAATACATTCAGAATAACAACTAACAGTTAAGCTGGAATAAGAACGGGAAATCACAATAGGGCGAAAGCGAAAGGACTCTGGACCAGGAATTCGTGACCTACCAAAGCTAAAAGAGCTGCTGCCGGTTATTACCGGGCAAATCACTAACATCACTGGAGCCTCAGCTTTTCTAATCCATTAAATGGTTGGTTAATCTAAATGAGGTGTCCTAGACCGTTGGAATCTGTGGCCTATTTTTCCTAGGGGAATGGCCTATAACTTGCTATTTTCCAAAGGGCCGAGAATAGTTTAATGTGCAGTAAAGGACGCTGGTGGGAGGGGGGTAGAAGGGGGCTGAGACCCCACCCCACCCCGCCGCCTGCAGCAGGCTCCCGGACGGCTCGGGGAGCGTCCCCCGCCTGGGTGCCCACCTGATTCCCTTGGCCTTCAGGACTAGACGCGTCCTCTCAGCAAACGGGCAGAACCTCATGCTGTAGATGCGGATCGAGCCCTCCGGGACCGGCCCCGGGGGCGCGCTTCCTGCCGGGGAGAAGCGAAGGCGATTACGGCCCAGAGAGGTGTCGAGACCCCCCGTATCCCACCGCCCCCGCGTCCCACTGCAGCTCCGACCCGTTCCCCGCCGGTGGGGCGCTCCCGGGCGGCTGGGCTCCCGGAGCAGCCTCGAACATGCCGCCGGGGGTCGCCGAGATCACCCCCTCTTCGCGGCGGGCAGGCCTCACCCTTCCCCAAGCTCCTGGCTGACTCCCCGGACATCGTGGCGCAGCGCAGGCCGAGCTCCTCTGGGGTTTGCAGGGGATTCAGGAAGTAGGTGGCGCGTCCTTCCCGCCCTCCTTCCCTCCCCCGCTTCCTCCTTAGCTCAAAAGTGCCTGCCCCCGGCGGCCGCCAGCTCCACCCGTTGTGCCTTCCCGGCTTTATGGGATAGCCCTTAAAACATCTTAAGGGGCTGTGTCAAAGCATCTCGCTGGCCAAGGGCTGCACCCACGGGGAGATACACAAAAGTTATAAATGCTCAGTCATCCCTCCGCCCCCGAACGAAGGGGTCACCACTCCGCACTCCACGGGGCTCCACGTCTGACCCTGACCCTGACCTCCCTCCCGTGACACTGACCTCGAAGCACCACCCGCTCCGTCCCAAGGCTTCACGACTTCAGAGCCTGTGGCCCGACCTCATGGCTCACTCACCGGTCCAGAGCGTTCTCTCCAAAGGCTCCTGTTCAGCTTGTGAAGGGAAAATAAAAATCTCTTGACTCCAAACTCACTATGCCAAAGGGAAGAGTCAAGCTTGGAAACTGAGTCAGGCAACACTGCCTCCCATTTTGTTGCTAAATAGCTACAAAGATCAAAGGCCACACACCTCCCCAAGGAAATTCCTTGTTGGCCCGCAAGATCTTTACTCTAAAACAGATCAGTTGAATTTCATCTTGGCAATGTAAACTAACAGCTTATCTTCCCAAGTATGGGACAAAGACAGGTCTAGGAGTCATCCTTCCTCTCGCTGGAGAAAAATGCAATTTGACCGCTTCCTCTACCCTATATTTAATCTTGTAAAAATGCAGATTCACCAAGCACTAGACGAATGCATAACTGACTATTCCTCTACGACCTCCTTTCACGAATGTAACATGCGCATTCAGTGAATGCTGATCAAAGGCCCCAAAGAATGCAACTACTCTCCCCTTTTATCTACCTTCCCTTTTTACTTTCCACTTTCCCCTACTGCCTGCTCTTTCCCTTTAAATATTGAAGTCCTCAAGCCCTCTTTGGAAAGAGCACAGATCACAGATGTTCCTGTGATTTTGTGTTCCTTTTTCTCAGATGTGTCCTCAACCTTGGCAAAATAAACCTCTAAAAGGATTGAGACTCACCTTGGTCATTTCCTTTGATTTACAAGCTCATCTATGCCTCGCTGCAGGGTTGCCCAGCCACCTGGACAGGCTTTTCCTTTTTCTGTCAGTACTAGCTTAACGTGACTACTGGGAGGGCCTCTGTCCCTACCGTCACCTGTAGGATACATCCTTTTCATTTTAACCCATAGGAGACAGCACAAACCTGGATATTATCAACCTCAGAATAATGGTGCTGCTTTCAAAACTCTCCCACTTATTAAACATTTGTGTTTTGGAGCCCTGGTAATATAACAGTACTCCCATTTTTCTAAGAGATAGAGGATGAGTTATTTTTTACATTATTTATTTCTCCCATCTTCTCTGTTTCCTCCTTTCTCCCTGTTCCCCACTTCCTACTTAGCTCTTTAGAAATGCAATTATCATCTTTTACCTTCCCTTCACCTGACACTCCCTACAGGGCAAGCTTATCTAACTGGGTGTTTACTTAAAAGCTCCAGAGCAGGACTCTCACCCCCCAGGAGACTGCCTCCAGAGATAACAGTCCATTTACATCCAAAAGTATGCCTGAGACAAGGCCACTTTACAAATGACTTCTGCCCATGATGGCACAACCCAGCAGATAAAGCACCAAAGTGAGTCATGCGAACCCCCACCCACTCGCTCCCTCCCCAGCATGCAGTTCATACCAACTGCCCCCTTTAAAAGCCCCTGCTTTCTGCCCCAGAAGCAAAGTGGTACCCTTAAGGCAGGAAGCCTGTTTTGCTCCCCCTAAGCTAGCTTTGGAATAAAAAATCACTTTCTTTATACCAGACTTTGCTCTTCTTATTAATAATTGGACTCTGAAAGCGGGAAGCAACTGAACCTGCATTTCAGTTACAATAAGGGCACAGGCTCAGAATCAAGCAGGTGGCATGAGTGAATTTAGTTTTGGGTCTGGGAATAAAGGTCTGGCCAGAGAGTCCTCTCAAACAGCTCTTTTAACTTAGGGGTCAGGAAAGAGGGGTTCCAGGGCCATCATACAGATGAGGAAAAAGACTATTCAATGATTTCCTTGTTTGCCTAGATTTGAAAGCTGGTAACTCCTGTGCCATTTATTGGGGTGAGATTGGGGTAGATGTCTATTTTTATTTTGATTAGCCCTATTATGGGAGGAGCAGAGAATGAGGTGAAAAGCACCAAGTGTTGGAGCACCCTGCCTGTTTTGATCCTGGCTCCACCCCTGTATTCAGTTGCTAGGACTAGGGTAACAAAGTACTGCAGAGTGGCTTAAATAACAGAAGTGTGTTGCCTCACAGTTCTAGAGGCTACAAGTCCAAGATGAAGGTGTCAGCAGGGTTGCTGCCTTCTGAGGAGGGAGTCTGTGAGGGAGTCTGTTCCATGCCTCTCTCCCAGCTTCTAGTGGTTTGAGGGAATCTTTGGTGTCCCTTGGAGTGCAGAAGCACCACCCACCCCATCTGTGCCTTCATCTTCATTCACACTCCAGTATGACCTCATTTTAATTTAGTTACATCTGCAACAACCCTATTTCCAAATAAGGTCACATACTGGGGCACTGGGGATTAGAACATCAATGTATGAAATTGGGGGAGCACAATTCAACCCGTAACAACCACTTATTAACTGTGAACATGGGGAAGTCACTAACCTCAGTGTGTTTCAGTTTCCTCACCTGTAAAATAAGATGGAACACATGTTATTCCTCCTGCATAGATGTTACGGGAAAGGGGTCCTGATCCAGACCCAAGAGAGGGTTCTTGGATCTCGCATAAGAAAGAATTCAGAGCGAGTCCACCGTGCAAAACAAAAGCAAGTTTATTAAGAAAGTAAAGTGGTGAAAAAACAGCTACTCCATAGACAGAGTAGGGTGTTCCCGAAAGTAAGAGGACGAAGGCGTCCACCCCAGGTTCAATGCCTGTATATATAGGATGAAAAAAAGATATGGGGAGATGTGCTCTTTTTGTGATAAAGGGTTAATTTTCATAATTACTATGTTTTGCAAGAATCAATATTATTATCTTTAAAGCAAAATTAGGAATGCCTTTGTTCTCAAGATATCGGGATATCTGGACACTCCTAAGTCTGGGTCTGTTTAGTAAACATTATCAATCTATTCCCTTAACCATAAACATCTAGAGGCTAGGAATACCTAACTTTCTGGGAATGCGGCCCAGCAAGTCCCAGCCGCATCTTCCTAGCCCTCACTCAAGATGGAGTCGCTCTGGTTCAAACGTCTCTGACATAGAGTCTGTGGCAGGATTAAATTAGTTACTATACAGAAAGCACTCAGAGCAGTGCTTGGCATAGAATATGTTAAATAAATGTGATCACTACATATTTTGATTTAATTTAGTAAATAGGCAAGAAATAGATATAAATTTTTAAAAATCGACCACATTTTTGCTAAAATATGGGCACTGCTTAACTCTTTTTAAGGATATTGACTTTTTAGCACATTAATGACTTCATGCAAATAACCTTGTAAATTGAAACTTGGCAAGGTAAAACTTCTGAATGGCCAAAAAAAAATTTCACATCAAGGTATTACTTTAAAAGTTTTACTTGGAATGCCCTGTCCCCTAATTTAGTATGAATAATGTAATATTTTATTGCAATGATTTGAAAGATCCACCTCATCAATAAATAAAGTAAAAGGTTAATTCCTCAAAGAAAGAAATTGAAAATATACTCTCCCAGTGAACTACCGTACTATATTACTGGTGTGCATTACAATAGGTCCTCTCCAAGTCCTTTGTGGTTGTGTAAACATCTGAATATACACCTGAGGAAAGAATAGAACTTTCATCTGAGGAATGTGAGCCATTTCAAATTATTAGGCCCAAAGAGACATTAAAATGAGACAGCAATCATGCCCCACTCCCCGCTTCGAGCTATGTATTCACCTCTTGAAACTGCTTGTTATAGCCACAAGTAGCTATAAATTAACCTAATAATGCTACAGCAAATATAACCCACAGTCTATAGCTTAACAATGTGTAGCCAGCTACTAATCAATGTTATTTCTGTAAACCAATGAGAATTCCTGACAGACAACTCTATGTCAGCCCACTTCCTGAAGCCCCTTTTTGCCTTTAGAAATCCACTTGTAACTGCTGCTAATGAGAGTATCTATTCAGAGCAACTTGAACCTATACTCCTGGGTTGCAACCCTCAACCTTGGCTCAAATTACCTAATTGCATTAATTTTGGTTCACCCTCTTCCTTTTATGTTGACATGCTGCCCATAGCCACAGTTAAAAGGAAACAATACATGCGTTTTTACAACTACATTTCTTAATAACCTAAGAGACTAATCTGAGAGGATTCTGCTGGTTAAAGATCAAGAGTTCATGCCATTGCACTCCAGCCTGGGCAACAGAGTGAGTGAGACTTTGTCTCAAAAAAAAAAAAAAAAAAGAAGAAGCTTGAATAGAAAAAAAATTGAGGGGATATTAAAAGTCCATTGAAAGAAGAATGGATAAATTGTGTTGTATTCATATAATGGACATCTACCCAACAATGAAAACAAATAGTCTACAGCTATAGTTATCAACTTAAATCCCTCTCAAAAACATGATATTGAGCCAGAATAGCAAGTCACAATAATATATATGGTATGATTCTACATGTGTTAACTTTAAAAACAGGCAAAGTGAAACAGCACATTAGTTATGGCTCATGCATACATGGTAGAATTGAAAAGCAGGGAACAATAATCACAGAATTCAGGATGGTAGCTACATCCAGGGGAAAGGAAGGGAATGGAAAAGGGTGGGTGCATGATGTAGGGAGGTGCTTCCAGGGTATTGGTTCCCTTCTGTTTCTTCAGTTGGAAGGTGGCTTCTAGAGAATGGCATTGAGATGGGAAAGGATCAGGTGGGGAGAAATGAGGTGGCGACTGCTGTCATTTGAAAAGCTTTCTATTCACTTTGATTTTTTACTCTTAATATACGCTATATTGGGAAAAATTAAGATTTAAGAAACATTTTTTAAAGAACAGGAAAAAAAAAACCTACTGTTAAAAGACAACTGTTAAAAGTAATGAAGTAGATTCATATATACTGATGCAGAAACATGCCAGAGATACACTGTTAAATAAAAATGTTGTAAAACAGCATGCAGGAGGTAATCTCATCTGTTGAATGTACATGTCCTGCCAGTTATCTCCTAAATGTTCTACCTGGAAAGTCTTTAATCCTCACAACAATCCTAAGATTTAAATACTGTTAATATTACCATCTCAGGGATAGGGAAACTGGGGGGCACAGGTTAAGTGATTTTCTCAAAATCAATATATTTTTTATGGTGGAGATGGGTTGTCAACTCTGGTCTTGTGTCTGGAATTTATTCCTTCCGGTGGGTTCTTGGTCTCGCTGACTTCAAGAATGAAGCTGCGGACCCTCGCAGTGAGTGTTACAGTTCTTAAAGATCGTGTGTCCAGAGTTTGTTCCTTCAGATGTTCAGATGTGTCCGGAGTTTCTTCCTTCTGGTGGGTTCATGGTCTCGCTGACTTCAGGAGTGAAGCTGCAGACCTTTGCAGTGAGTCTTATAGCTCTTAAAGGTGCTGCGTCCAGAGTTGTTTGTTCCTCCCGGGGGTTTACGGTCTCACTGACTTCAGGAATGAAGCTGCAGACCCTCACAGTGAGTGTTACAGCTCAT
The DNA here is from genome assembly GCF_000001405.40 of Homo sapiens. NCBI lineage: Eukaryota > Metazoa > Chordata > Mammalia > Primates > Hominidae > Homo > Homo sapiens. The sequence goes on along the minus strand of NC_000010.11, from coordinate 104,249,178 downwards.
AAACCTAGTGCAGACCCAAAGAGTGAGCAGCAGTAAGATTTATTGTGAAGAGCAAAAGAACAAAGCTCCCACAGCCCGGAAGGGGACTCCAGCCTGTTGCCCCTGCTGGCTCCGGTGGCCAGCTTTTATTCCCTTATTTGGCCCCGCCCATGTCGTGCTGTTTGGTCCATTTTACGGAGTGCTGATTGGTCCGTTTTTAACAGAGTGCTGATTGGTGCGTTTACAAACCTTTAGTTAGACACAGAGCGCTGATTGGTGCATTTTTACAGAGTGCTCATTGGTGTGTTTACAAACCTTTAGCTAGACACAGAGTGCTGATTTGCGTGTTTACAACCATTTAGCTAGACAGAAAAGTACTCCAAGTCCCTACCCGATCCAGAAGCCCAGCTGGCTTCACCCATCAGTCTGACACCTAAGTCTGATCGAGAGATCAGGTAGCAGTTAAGACTGCTACCATATCTCATGGATTCTAAGATTCACATTTCTTCATGTTTAAATACCTCTAAAAATGGAAGTGTATCTAAAATTACAGCAGGCTGTGTAGCAGTTTTGACACTGATGTTATTGCTCTTGCTTGGACTTGCAGGGTAGCTGTCAATGGCTTTGGAAGAAAATCCCAGAGATAACAGAACATTCTTGCTGCATTATGGAATTAAATGATCTTCTTGGCACAGAGGACAATGCTATGGGATGAATGAGTTGGGGAAATGAATGCCTATGATGCTGATTTTAAAAATTATTCAAAAGAGCTGGATTCTAAAAGTTGAATGAATACTTTATATAACTTATATTTTCCTTTTTATACTTGCACAAGAGTAAAATAGAATAAAAATCATTTCTAAATAAGCTTAAGAGTTCTTTTATCATAAAAATCTGGGCTTAAAAGAGCTCTTTCAATAAGCGTTAAATAAAAATTTTAGGATTCTGTTGTAATTTAATTGGTTATTTATTTAATTATTCCCTCCTTGTCAGTTGATCTTAGAGCTGACTAAATACAGTTTGTCTCCCTCACAGTCCCCCTAAAGTACTTACTGACATTTTTAAAGAAAAAAATGTATTTTATTTAATGTCCAATAAAAAATACATACACACACACACACCCCTAAAACAGAATTTACACTTACCATTGGGATGCACTGTGAAGTTTTTTTGTTCCGTTCATTTTAAAGACATGTTGGTTACAACTTAGTAAGCAGATCTTACCAACCACTAATACGTTCCAACTCAGAACTGCTCTAGAGCACAAATGTGTGTTATAAATGCTAATTAACAATTTAAGGGAAATTTATAGCCTTCCTTCTGAGAATTAGCTCACAATAGTATTCTATGAACTCAGAAAAAAAATTTAAAAAACTAACATAGTCTTGTTACCATGTATCCTGCCTAGACAGGGCATATTGTTTCAGTGTGCCTGTAAACCACTTTTCTTCCCAGACTCAACAGCTAAGGGGAAATGACTTGCAACTATGTAACAAGACCACATAACTGTATCGTACATTTTCTATGAAAGTCCTTTTTTATGTACATGACTTTATCTGATCTTCACCACAATCCTGTGAGGGTAGACAGGGAAATATCAGATCCACTTTACAGATGAAGTTAAGATTCAGAGAGGTTAAGTGGCTTTTCCAGTTATAACAGACCTAGTAAAAGGCAGAGATAGAATAAGAACCATGAACTTTAAGGTCGAGGGCTTTTTTCTCCATGCCACGTAGCCTCTGAGAGTATAATCTGAACTCAAATATTTTCACCACTTCATCCTCACTTATGTTAACTCAAATTTTTGTCATAGAATACAACAAAACACCTACTTCTAAACTTACTGTAATCACCTAATGGGTTCATCTTGCCTGCTGCACAGATAAAGCCATTCTCTGAGACAGTGGTGTTGCAGTAGAGGAGTTTAATCATCACAGGGCCAGATAAGTGGTAGGACAGGAGATAATTCTCAAATCTGCCTCTACGAGAGCTCAGAAGCTAGGGCTTTTAAGGATAATTTGGTGTGTAGCAGACTAAGAGAATGGGTGCTGCTGATTGGTTGGGGATGAAATCATAGGAGTGTCCAAACTGTCTCCAAGTGCTGAATCAATTCTGGGTGGGGACCAACAGTTGAGTCAGTTCCTTGATACGAATCATGGGTCTGGGTGGAGTTAGTTACCAGAATGCAGAAGTCTGAAAAGTATTTCAAAAACCAGTCTTAGGTTTTGACAATAGTGATGTCAACTGTAGAAGCAATTACAAATCTTATGACCTCTGACTTCATGACTCCTGAACAGTAAGAAATTATAGAAAAGCAAGCTAGGAAATAGTAACTGCTGGTAGTACTGCTTAACTACACCTACATTTTAATACTCAGGGATTATACAAAACAATAGTTGGTTATCATTTCACCATGCTTACATTTTAGCAGAATTCAGGCCTCTCCCACACGCCTAATCTTGTGTCTTTTTCATTAGTCTTACAAAGGTGGTTTCAGTCCCCAGATAATGAGGGGATCAGTTTTAGGGACAGACTATTACCATCCTTGCTTCAAAGTTAAACCATAAACTAAATTCCTCCCGGGGTTAGCTGAGCCTACACCCAGGAATGAGCGAGGACAGGCAGCCTGTGAGGCTAGAAGCAAGATGCAGTCAGCCATGCTGGACTTCTTGCACTGTCATAATATTTGCAAAGTTAGTTTTATTGTTATGCCAGGTTTTTACTAGTGAAAAAGGCCCCAAAACATGTATTTTTCTGGAAAGTATTGTTTGTCTCCCGTCTAAGGGAACACAAGCAATATGAAAAACCCTAAAAGCCAAAAAAATTAAAGGGAAGTCCAATTGTGTACAGAATTGGTGGATTCTTGGTCTCACTGACTTCAAGAATGAAGCCATAGACCCTTGCGGTGAGTGTTACAGTTCTTAAAGGCGGCGTGTCTGGAAGTTGTTCCTTCTGATGTTCCGATGTGTTCAGAGTTCTTTCTGGTGGGTTCGTTGTCTCGCTGGCTTCAAGAGTGAAGCTGCGGACCTTCACGATGAGTGTTACAGCTCTTAAGGCCGCACATCTGGAGTCGTTTGTTCCTCCCGCTGGGTTCATGGTCTTGCTGCCTTCATAAGTGAAGCTGCAGACCTTTGCAGTGAGTGTTACAGCTCATAAACGCAGTGTGGACCCAAATGGCGAGCAGCAGCAAGATTTACTGCAAGGAGCAGCAAGATTTACTGCAAGGAGCGAAAAGACAAGGCTTCCACGCCACAGAAACGGACCTGAGCAAGTTGCCACTGCTAGCTCAGGCAGCCTGCTTTTATTCCCTTATCTGGCCCCACCCACATCCTGCTGATTGGTCCATTTTACAGAGAGCTGATTGGTCCGTTTTGACAGGGTGCTGATTTGTGCATTTATAATCCCTGAGCTAGACACAAAAGTTCTCCAAGTCCCCACTAGATTAGCTAGACACAGAGCACTGATTGGTGCATTTACAAACCTTGAGCTAGATACAGAGTGCTGATTGGTGTATTTACAATCCCTTAGCTAGACATAAAGATTCTCCAAGTCCCTACCAAACTCAGGAGCCCAGCTGGCTTCACCCAGTGGATCCTGCACAGGGCTGCAGGTGGAGCTGCCTGCCAGTCCTGCACTGTGCGCTGGCAGGTCTCAGCCCTTGGGTGGTCGATGGGACCAGGCGCCCTGGAGCAGTGGGCAGTGCTGGTCGGGGAGGCTCGGGTGGCACAGGAGCCCACGGCGGAGTGGGGAGGTTTAGGCATGGCGGGCTGCAGGTCCGGAGCCCTGCCCCATGGGGAGGTGGCTAAGGCCCAGCGAGAAATCGAGCGCAGCGCCAGTGGGCTGGCACTGCTGGGGGACCCTGTGCGTCCTCCACAGCTGCTGACCTGGGTGCTAAGCCCCTTACTGCCCGGGGTGGTGGGGCCAGCCGGCCGCTCCGAGTGCAGGGCCGCCGAGCCCACGCCCACCCAGAACTCGCGCTGGCCCGCAAGCACCGTGGGCAGCCCCGGTTCCCGCCCACGCCTCTCCCTCCACACCTCCCCGCAAGCTGAGGGAGCCCGCTCCGGCCTTGGCCAGCCCAGAAAAGGGCTCCCACAGTGCAGCGGCGGGCTGAAGGGCTGGCTCCTCAAGCACCGCCAGAGTGGGTGCCCAGGCAGAGGAGGAGCCCAGAGCGAGCGAGGGCTGCGAGGGCTGCCAGCACGCTGTCACCTCTCACGATGAGACGACACAAAATAGAATATATTGATACATTAGTAGTTTTAAGTTTATACTTTTGGGAAGAGGTTTACTTTTGTGAGAAATTAATAAAGATGAGCTTTGAAGCTTTTTAAGAGGATCTTAAGTCTTCATGATATTATTCAATGTGAAATGTGGAATGATGGTCTTCAGACACTTCTTCAGACCATGTCTTCACACACTTGGTACTTGGTGCTTTCCTAACGTGCTATTTTAGGTGATATTTAGGCAACAGTGCAAATTGATTTGTGTTTTTGTTTATTAATCGTCCTTGGAGTTCTTTAAATGGAGTCCATGTTAGAGTCCATAGATGTCAGTGTTCTGCAAAACTGGTAATTACCTGGCATCCAAGGCTCCAAGACATATCAGAAGTCCCATGCCCACCACAAACCAAGTACTTCAAGGGGGTAAATTCCTTACTTTATATTACTCTGCAATGTATTTTGTCATTCTTATAAATTCCACTGTCTTCCCCTTTTGTTGTCTCCTACAAAGTCTTCCTCCTATGTTATTTTATCTTTCAGTAAGTACTAGTTTCTCAAACATGTACCATAGTGTTACAGGCAGTTAGGCATGAGCAGGGCAGGAGACAGCTCTCCCCCGCCCACTAGGAATGTCAGGTGATGGTTCAGCAATTATCACATTGCCTCTCTAAAAGTGATAAATTGGCAGCTGGAGCCAGGGAGAGGCCATTTTCTGATGGTCCACAATTACTGCACTAAAGTGTTAATTGAATGCGGGCACCAGAGAGAAGCAACTTTCTGGGCATATGCATTAACAGACAAAATGGGCCGGGTGAAGTGGTTCACGTCTGTAATCCCAGCACTTTGGGAGGCCGAGGCAGGCAGATCACCTGAGGTCGCGAGTTTGAGACCAGCCTGACCAACATGGAGAAACCCCATCTCTACTAAAAATACAAAATTAGCTGGGTGTGGTGGCACATGCCTGTAATCCCAGCTACTTGGGAGGCTGAGGCAGGAGAAGAAGCTCTTGAACCCAGGAGGCGGAGGTTGCAGTGAGCCAAGATTGCGCCATTGCATTCCAGCCTGGGCAACAAGAGTGAAACTCGGTCTCAAAAAAAAAAAAAAAAAAAAGACAGTGGTAGAGTATGACCTTCTAGGGGCACTCCCCCAGAAAAGGGCAGAAAGCCTCAGATGGCCATGTGTACAACTTCCTAAACACACTGTGTGTGCTCAGTTCCCAAAGGTAAAGAGGCATTGTGCGTGTGGGCAGCCCACCCTAAGGGAAGAATTATGGGAAAGGGGCTAGCCTATAAAGTCCTAGGATCAAGGTTAAACATTGCGCTTATTCTTCAAGTCGCATGCTTGGATCTCTTCCAAGTGTACTTTCCTATCTTTCTTGTTCTAAAGCCTTTTAAAATAAACTTCCACTCCTGCTCTGAAACTTGCCTCGGTCTCTTTTTCTGCTTTATGCCCCTCAAATTCTTTCTTCTGAAGAGGCAAGAGTTGAGTTACACACCTGTTCTGATTTGCCCCCCGTAACTCAAATACCTTCCACCAGTAAAAATAGTGCCACCCATAGACCCCACAAGGTGTGCCCCTGCCATGGGCCCCACCCTTTAGAGGGCCTACACCACTGTCATGTGGGATCCACCTCTCAACACTCTCCCAGCATGATGTGACTCTGAAGATCTGCCACATGACTTCACGTTAGCCCCATGTCCTTGAAACAAAAGGCTACTGTGTTTGGACACTGTGAGGTTTGTGTGTTGTGCCTCTTTCAACATCAGAGATGGAAACTACTTAAGGAGTATGGGGAGGGTGGGAATGCTTGGATAAGATAAAAGATATTGGCCAGGTGCTGTGGCTCATGCCTGTAATCCCAACACTTTGAGAGGCCAAGGCAGGCAGATCACCTGAGGTCAGGAGTTACAGACCAGCCTGGCCAACATGGCGAAATCCCATCTCTACTAAAAATACAAAGAATTAGCCAGGCGTGGTGGCGTGTGCCTGTCATTCCATCTACTCGGGAGGCTGAGGCAGGAGAATAGGGTGAACCTGGGAGACAGAGGTTGCAGTGAGCTAAAATTGTGCCACTGCACTCCAGCCTGGGTGACAGAGCAAGACTCCATCTCAGAAAAATATATTAAGGAATTTGTTGACTCCCTTTTTCAGAGAGCATGAGTGTATTCATTCATTCAGTATTGCTTTGTGAATAATTAAGTATTGTTTCCCAGTACAATCAAGTGACTATTTTCTTGTGTCTCTTTGATTCCAACTCCATTTGGTTCCAGGGGTTGTCATGAGTTAGTGTGGTATTGGCAATAGCTGCACATGGATGCTGAAGAATGTTTTGCAATATAGAAAAAAATGTATTAGTCCTACATTTCTGTAGGTATGTAGGTCTAGATATAACATGTATGAAGCTTGATACCAATTATTTGACAACTAGATAAATAATAAATATTAGAATTGCAAATTTATATAAAAATATGTAATAAATTTCATTTAAATTAAAAATATTTGCTTTAAAAATTTTTGATTTGAATTTTTAATTTTCAATCTTATAATTTGTATTTGACTTTTAAATTTTAAGAACTAATTTGAAAATAATTGAACAAATGATTTATGAGTCTCCATTAATATTCTTGCCTTAGAATTCTAGGTAAGCGTAATGTGACAATCCCCTCTGTCTTGCAAAATAACCTTCTCATTCTTCTTCATTAAAACATTATTTAAAACCACATGTTCAGTGTGCTATTTTCCTGAATGTTGACCTACAAACCCTTTCTGTATTTAACCTAGTGTAGTTATTTCAGCATCAAGAGTAAAGGAAGCATCTTGGGACACAAAATTTAGTCATAAAGCTATACTCCACAGATATCTCGAAAATATTTGAAGCTTGAAAATGAAGTCTGAATTTGTAGATTAAACGCACCAAATAATAACATTCAGCCATTTTCACTAAGTGGCCCAGGATATCCATAACAATGTAGCCTCTTCCCATATTATTTATTCTAAAACTTTTGGAAATTATGAAGGATTTCCTATTTTTCCTCTCTTTTTCCAGAAAAATGCAAAATTTAAACTAAATGTCCAATTTACTTTGAAATTTACAAGTCTGCTGGAAAGAAGAGTTATTTTCAGACAATTAACTACCTGAATTCAAGTTCATTTGAAACTTGTGAGATGTTGGGCAAAAAATCTTAACTTTCTGAGACTCATCTTTCCTGTCTCTACAATAAGGATTAAATAATACAGGTTTTATAAGGATGTACAATGCCAGGCACAGAGGAGTGGCTTAATATAAGTTAGCTATTATTATACAAACATGCGTGGATGCGGCGGCAGAGCAGAGAGAAAAACTGTGCAGAAGACGTAGACTTTAGGCCAGACGCAGTGGCTCACACTTGTAATCCCAGCACTTCGGGTGGCCAGGGTGGGAATATTGCTTGAGACCAGGAGTTCAAGACCAGCTTGGGCAACATAGCAAGACCCCATCTCTACAAAAAAAAAATAAAAATAAATGCAGACTTCAGGGGCAGGTGAACCCATGATTGAATCCAACTCTGCCTACTAACTAAATGTGTAATCTTGAGTCTCACTCATCTCTCTGAGCCACAGGTTCCTATGTAGCATAGTTGGTGGGAGCATTCAGAATCTATGGAGCTCCAAACACGTAATAGCTGCTTAGTAAATTGTGGTCATCGCTGCTATAAAAGGGGTCAATTGCCATAGAATAACTAGATACTCTCTATCACAGCAGATTATTCCTTTATTTTAAAAACATTAATTATTTACATTTCTTTTTACACAGAGAAACAATGCCAACTTATTTTTTTGACTTTTTGCATAAACAAGGTGCATTTCACAAAAAGCAAATAATTAGCTGATAAACAGGAAACCACTTACTCATCTACTTAATAAAATAAGTTCTAGTATGCTGTATGATTTTTTTCCCATGTTTAAATGGTCATAGAAAACTTAATTAATGGGTGAAAAACTTAGTGAAATTTCATCTTGCAGATTATCTTGGAATTTGGCTGGAACCCTACAGAAGCCAGGACTGAAATGATCCCTTAGTGGGAAATAAGGATTTTTTTGTTCTGTGACTGGCTGTGGACTAGTTTGGTTTTAGGGCTTGCTCCATGAACTTGAATTAACCACTGCTCTTTTAGCCTTTAATACAAGCTGAGTTCTACAAAAGTATAAAACCTCACACTGAGGATTAGGCGTATTCTGTCAAGGACTAGGCTGTTGGTGGCAAGGTGGAGATTTGCCAGGGAAGAGAAGATTGGGAGGGGCAAGGCCAGTTTAGGGGAGTTGAGCCCTTCCTAAAAATGGTGGAACACACTGGTTATTACTTTAGGAAGCCCAGGACTGCTCACTGGGTCACTGATTAGAGAAAAACTTGTGTGTCTTAGATTTTGTTTCTAATACCCATAAATCTTTCAATGTGAGAACTGGAACCGATTTTCCTAACTTATCCTTCCCAGTCCATTCTCTGGGATGATCTGCATTTCCCCTTCCAGAATAAGAAAGAAAGACCACTCATCCTTCTGTAATCTGGCACGGTGTAGGGGTCAGGTAATCTCTTGCATATCAGAACATTCTGGTATCCCCAGAAACTCAGCCAGAGACCTCCCTTTCCATCTAAACCATAACACCAAGATTTCAAGAGTAAGATACACACAAGACTGCCTTTTCAATTTGATTCCATTCAGTTCCTCTTTTGCTGTAACACAGGGTAAGTTCAGCTTCCCAGGGTCACTGCTGATTCCAGGCCAGCATCTCTTTCCCGAAGTCTATATTTCCTGCCTACCTTTCATCCTCTGCCAGTCACTTACTTTGGGAGCAGGGCAAGACTGGCCTCCTCACATTCTGCTCTAGGGTTGGCTTTAAAATTAAGGGAGGTCTCTAGCTGGGTTTCTGGGGATACCCATAGTTGATATTCAGGAGATTCCCTGACCCCCACACCGGGCCTGGTTGCAGAAGGATGAGTGGCCTTTCTTTCTTAGTTGTGGTTAAAGGTATGAGGGTGGGGTGGAGAGGGCTTGGTCAAAACACAAATAAGCAAAGTCATCAGGGGTGGCAAGAGAAAGTTTGACTTTTCCTCCTTGCCACTTCTCCCTGGGACTCTGCAACTTGAGATTTTGTCAGTCAGTTTTATGAGTTTTTAAGAACTAAGCATGGTGTGTGTCTGGCACTCACATTTCTGCATAGAAACACGTGTCTCCATTTCCTCCTCACCCCGTCTCAGTGAAGAGCACCACCATCTCTGTGGTAATTAGAAATCTAGGAACATCCTTGACTCTCCTTTCTCCCTTTCCTCTTTTTATCAATCCATCACCAAATCCTATAGATTTTTACCTTTTAAAATAACTTTTTAATACACTGACTTACCAGTGGTTTTCAACTGGGGAGTGATTGTGCTATCCAGGGGACATTTGACAATGTGCATAGACATTTTTGGTTGTCAAAACTGCAGAGGTGCTACATTGCTAAACACCCTGCAATGCACAGGACTCTACCAACAATCGCCAAATCTAGCCCAGAATACCGATAGTGCTGAATTTGAGAAATCCTGCATTGGCTCCACTTGTTAGGAGAATGGAATAGACTCCCGACTGATCTGCCTATTTCAATTCTCCCTGTTCTCCCACCCCAACCAATTGATAATCCTGCAGCCAAATGATCTTTTAAAAGCATAGACCTGATCCTGTCACTCCCCTGCTGAAAACCCCTTAATGTCTTATAGGGGAGGAGAAGGTGTGATACCTTTCCTCATCTATCATAAGGGTTATAGCCGACACTCCTATAACAAAAGACAGACTAACCAGAGAAAAGCATGACAAATTTGTTAAATCAAAGTTTTACACGACACAGGAGCCTTCAGAAATAAAGACTCAAAGACCCAGGGAAAAGTATTTTTATGTTTAGGCTCCATGAAGAACGGACAGCTGTGTAGAAATGTGATTGGACAAAAAGGGTATGATCTAATGGTAACAGACTGAAAGGGGAACCCAGCAAGGCCCATCTATTTACATTCTTTGTGGCCTCTCCGAGTAGGATTCCTTCCTGCTGGGTACAGAGCAGGACCCCTCTGGAATAAGATGCTTATGATCTACATTAGACAGGTAGGCTAGAGAATTTCTTTATGGCCAGTTCCTACAAATAAAGGCAGGGGAAGGTTAGAGTAATATTTCCAGGTTTTTATGCCTTGCTTTGAGGGAGGGGGTTCTATAATATATACAATATATATATTAATAGTTTCTATGACCCACCTTGGGGAAGAGGAATTCTGGTGTCTATGACTTGCTTTGGGGGAGAAACAGGGGCAGGAGACAGGAAAACAGAAAAAGGTCGGAGAGAAACTTTGCTTCTGAGGCCTTCCAGTCTTCTTTAATTCAAAGTATTCAGCATACCAAAGCATTATACTTTTATTTACTTATTTATTTATTTTTTTGAGATAGGGTCTCACTCTGTCACCCAGGCTGGAGTGCAGTGGTGAGATCATGAATTACTGCAGCCTCGACCTACCAAGGCTCAACTGATCCTCCTGCCTCAGCCTCCCAAACAGCTGGGACTATATGCACATGCCACCATGCCCATCTAATTTTTGTATTTTTAGTAGAAATGAAGTCTCACTATGTTACCTAGGCTGGTCTTGAACTCCTGGGCTCTAAGCCCCAATAGTCTTTTCATGGCTCTTAGGATAAAGGCCAGAACTTTCAACTTGTCCTTCACCTGGCCATTGGTTCCTTCACTAGCCTCATCTTAAGTATTTTCTTCTTATCTCCCTCTGCACCAATCACACTGCCCTTCCCAGTTCATCCAATCTGTGGCCCTGCCTTAGTGTCTTTATAAAAATTATCCTCAGCCCATCCCACCCCCATCCAGCAATCACTCCTCATGGTTTGACCCTCAGTGAAAGCGGTGCATGCACACAGAGACCATCCCTAACACTGCCCATTCAGCTCGTGTTAAAGAACGAATTATTCAACGGTACTTGCTAAAGCACGGTAAGGCCACCTTTACTCAGGACCATCATGAAAGGTATAGGAACCATGACAATGGAAGTTTGAGTACAGAGCTCAACTCTAAATATAGCATGGGCAAGTGGGAATTTATAGCCAAGGAGCAGGGTGGGGGTCAGTGGATGGAAAATTACTATAAGAAACCATCAGGGCTGATGGAGGATTCTGGCTAAATTGACCTAATGGGCTTCTTGCTGAAGACAGGTATGAAAGGAAAATAAATCTTGGGGCCCTCAAATCACTAAGCCAAAGGGAAAGTCAAGCTGGGAACTGTGTCAGGCAAATCTGCCTCCCATTTTATTCCCACATAAGATAGCTACAAATATAAAAAAAGCTACATACCTCCCTCATAATTTTCCCACAAGGAAATTCCTTGTGGACAAAGGACAGACAAAACTCAAAGTTGTCCCTCTGGTCACAAGAGACAACTGTATATCTGATGGCTTTCTCTGCCCTGTTGTTTCACTAAGCCAGACTTAGGCATAAGTGACTATTCCTCTACCCTCCTCTCATATGTAAATTGTTGTATTCAGTGAAAAGCTAATCAGAGACTCAAAGGAATGCAATCTTTTATCTCTTATCTCCCTATGACCTGAGTGAACCAATGTACATCTTAAACATATTGTGTAGGATGTCTCATGTCTCCCTAAAATGTACACAACCAAGCTGTGCCCCGACCACCATGGGCACATGTCAGGACCTCCTGAGGCTGTGTCATGGGCATGTTCTTAATCTTAGCAAAATAAACTTTCTAAATTGATTGAGACCTGTCTCAGATATTTTGGGTTCACATAGGCCAAGGTAATCAGACATCACCTGGGGGACGGTAGAGAATGAGGAACCTGATCAGATATGGAGGGTGATCAGACACTGAGGACACTGACTGACTGACTTAGCAGTGTTGCCAAACTGACTTAGCAGTGTTCTTTGCTAAAACCGGATCTTACAAGGAAGGGCGCAGACAAGCCTAGGGAAAGGCTCAGTAGCCTGACGAAAGTTTGACCAGGCAGAGAATCTTTGTCACTAGGCGAGGATCCTAACATAAGCATTCATACTATCATGTTTCTTTTCTTCTTATTTCAATCTATAATTCTATTTGCATAATGATGTTGTTATAGGAAAGGGGTCCTGATCCAGACCCCAAGAGAGGGTTCTTGGATCTCACGCAAGAACGAATTCAGGGTGACTCCGCAGTGCAAAGTGAAAGCAAGTTTATTAAGAAAGTAAAGGAATAAAAGATGATATACTAAACAAGGAGTGGATTACTCATGCCTCCCCTTTTTAGACCATCTAGGGTAACTTCCTGATGTTGCCATGGCATTTGTAAACTGTCATGAAGCTGGTGAGAGTGTAGCAGTGAGGATGACCAGAGGTCACTCTCGTCGCCATTTTGGTTTTGGTGGGTTTTGGCTGGCTCCTTTACTGCAAATTATTTTATCAGCAAGGTCTTTATGACCTGTATTTTGTGCTGACCTCCTATTTCATCCTGTGACTTAGAATGCCTAACCATCTGGAAATGCAGCCCAGTAGGTTTCAGCCTCGTTTTGCCCAGCTCCTATTTAAGATGGAGTTGCTCTTGTTCACATGCCTCTGACATTTCCCCCTTGTCTTTTATAAGAGAACCCTTAATCCTAAGGGTTGCAGAGGGACAAAGATCCATCTTTTGTAACTTTTTCAGGCTGAATAGGGGCGATGATATTCCTGCCTAACTATGAGGGTCTCTTGCATTCAGGGTAGAGAGGAGTTCAGTCAGAGAACATCAGTATGGTAAGGTCCATTCATAACTGTTGAGTTTTGACAAAAGGTGATATCTGGAAGATTAATACGTGTTTAAGAAAACATTTAGTAAGCTTGTCCTGTATTCCTACACAAAGAGTATAACAGCAATATATTCCACAAGGGTAGAGCAAAATAAGTAAAGTTGTTCCAAGTAAGCTAAATTAGAAGGCTTTTCATGAACTGGGCAGCTGTTGGAACTAAGCTGATATGGGGTTATTAGCTGAATGTGATGTGCCCGGAATTAGAATACTGATCCAGATTTTTACATTACCCATCCCTTTTGTTTATTCTGAGCAGCAGTCAGAGATCATTGGTTGGTTCACAGGAATAAGCAGGGTTAGCCTAAATTGCAGAAACGAACTTAAAAACAACTAATGAGACTAGAATTTAATAACAAGTATACCACAGTACTTGAAACATAATATTTCTCTCTCCAGTTTCTCATTTTTACTAAAGACAAATCATGGTAAGGCTGATTTGCTTTGTTATACTTGGCCTGATTATTTGTATAAAGTGCAACAAAAATAATTATTTTTCACATAGGCTCTTTTTAAATTAGCTTTGATGGAACTCTGCTCTATAGAAGTAATCTTAGACAAGACTTTGTAAAGCCAAGCTCGGCCATGTGTTTGTATCCTCAAATATCTATGAGTTGAGTAAATTCCTGTTCTCTTGAGGTCCCAAGATAACTTAGGACTCCTGGACCTGCCAGAAAGTGACATTCTTTACTTACCACAGGTCATTCTTTACTTACCTTTACAGGGACAGTTGCAGACAAGATCTGAGGCCAATTCTCCAAGTGGCTTTTATTGGCTTTACAAGTCAAGTTTGATTCCTTAAAGGAAAGCACACCATTCCAGTTAAAGCCGTGGTGAAATAACCAATTTATCCAATTGTGTTCTGCTACAAAAGAAAACAGATCCTTATTGCATGTATGCAAATAACTATATTGCCATAAATTAAGAATACTCACAAATAGTTTCCAAATTTTGGAAAAATCAGGTAGAGAGAAACAAATATACTCCAAATTTTGTTCACAGAAGTATACTCAATTGCTAAAAGCTGTAAATAGCTCAAAAGAAAAGTTTCCTTGACTCTGATATTCATGAACATTCCAGCTCTACATGAGGGTTCTGAAAGTTGTTTCCTCTATTCTAATGTTACAATTTCCAAAGTTATTGGAAACCTGCATTTGGGAACACCTGCTGGAGTTCTACAGTTGATTATAAACCACCTTCTAAAGAGGATTAGAACAAGAAAACAATTGTGGATGATAAAAAGTTTTAGGATAGCCACTATTAAAGCCACAATTGATAAGGAAACTTGGTTACCTATGTGGCACACAAAATTTTACATAACAATTATAATTATTAATAATCTACACTAAGTCATATTAGAATTATAAGAGTTTCTCATAACTTTGTAACATATACCAATAACACATTTATGCAAATATAGTCCAAAAAAAGCAAAAAACCATTTCATATTTGGCAATGCTTCCTATATGATTTTTATAGCAAATAAGCCAAATTTTACCTTTACATTAATGTGCTATTAATGTTAAACCCAATTTTTAATAAAACCTTATAGACATATTTACCCAATTTTAATGTTAACCATAAGGTAAGAGTCTTATAAACCTCGTATAACCCTTTACAATTGTGTGTGTGTGTGTGTGTGTGTGAAAGAGCAGATCAACTCTAAGAAAAACCTGTTGTGCTTTTATTCCAATGTTTAATTTATCGAAAAACTGAATAATACCCCTGTAACTTTAGCCAGTATGTTCACATACAGAATCTCTTACAATTAATTTTTATAAACCTTCCACAACTTATTTAAACCTTTAGTTTTTTTTTTTACTTAAAGCAATCCTTTAACACTTAAATGTAGGCAGAGAAAAATCCACATTCCCATTACTTCTTATAATCTTTCACCAAAAACACATTTTACTTTCTTTACACACCTTGCATGTAAAACTGTTTCTTTAGTAGTTTTAATTACATGTTATAATGTTAACTTTTTGCAACTTTTATTTTTGGTGAAAACCTTGGTAAGTAAGAGATTTTAATTGTGTACTAGGTGTGGAGCCTAGCCTAGGACACAACAGGCAGAAGTGCAGATAACAGCTGACTCTCTAGCATAGCTAGAGGGCATAGCTAACTCCACATGTCCACAGGGCTCACCCT